>NC_000002.12:11237023-11543779 GCF_000001405.40 Homo sapiens
CACCTGTAATCCCAGCAACTTGGGAGGCTGAGGCAGGAGAACTGCTTGAACCCCGGAGGCGGAGGTTGCAGTGAGCTGAGATTATACCATTGCACTCCAGCCTGGGCAACAAGAGCAAAACTCTGTCTCAAAAGAAAACAAAAAATATATGTAAAATCGATACCCTCAAAAGGGTAACAGATGTCACATCAATTAAACATTAGGCTGATATGAGGACCAAAAAAACCCTGAAGTCTAAGAATTCACTATATGACTGATGATAGACAAACATTACAGTTAGAAAACTGAAAAAATGAATGTTCTCTGAACACACTGAAGGAGTAAGAGATGAAATACAGAGCAATGTCAGAAAAGCACCAACGTCTACCTAAAAGTAGTTCTAGAGAGTATGTAGACTAGAACAAAGGAATAGTAAACAAAAATTTCTAGAAATGAGTAAAGTTAAAAATCTAAGATCAAGAAAACCTCTAAATGAAACTGATACTTTACACAGCTAGGGCTAAATTTTCAGAAATCCAAGAGAAAAATCCTGTTTCCAAAAAATGCCATATACACAAAAACATAAAATCATATTGGCAACAAACCTCTCAGCCAACATACTGAATATAAAAGGCAACATAGCTATATCTTCAAAGTTTTGAGGGAAAATAATTTTGATTCTAGAATATGGCAGACAAGAAAACAAAGGAGATGACAAAATGAAATTTTATAATTGACAGACCATTTTCAAAAAAATTATTCAAGAATATAGTTTGACAAAATGAAGAATAGCTGGGCACAGCAGTGGCTCATGCCTGTAATCCCAGCATTTTGGGAGGCCGAGGCAGGCAGATCACCTGAGGTCAGGAGTTTGAGATCAGCCTGGCCAACATGGCAAAACCCCCATCTCTACTAAAATTACAAAAATGAGCCAGGAATGGTGGCGCATGCCGTAATCCCAGCTAATCGGGAGGCTGAGGTGGGAGAATTGCTGGAACCCGGGAGGCAGAGGTTGCACTGAGCCGAGATCGTGCCACTGCACTCCAGGCTGGGCGACAGAGTGAGACTTTGACTAGCGGGGAGAAAAGGAATAAATCCAAGTAAGAGGATTATTATGTGAGACATAATTTTAAAATGGAAGGCATCAGGATGAAGAGAAGGAAGAAATAGGAAAGCATGATAAGGCTGGTTACCAAATTGAGAAAGAGTGTGTGTGTGTGTGTGTGTGTGTGTGTGTGTCTGTTGTGTGTGTCAGTGTACAACATGTTTAAATGATTAAAGGAAATATGAAAATAAATGAAGAGACCACCTCATGTACACGGATTGGAAGAATCAATACTATCAAAATGGCAACTCTCCCCAAATTGATCATTATATTCAATGCAATCTCCATCTCAATCCCAGTGGGTCTTTTCCAAAAACCAACAAGCAGGTCCTAAAATTTATTTGGAAATGCAAAGGACTCAGAAGAGCCAAAACAATCTGGAACTAGAACAAAGCAGGAGGACTTACATTTCCCAATTTCAAAACTTACTACAAAATTACAATAATCAAGACAATACTGGCCAGGCACGGTGGCTCACGCCGGTAATCCCAACACTTGAGGAGGCCTAAGTGGGAGGATGACTTGAGGCCAGGAATTTGAGACCAGCCTGGGCAACAAAGTGAGACTGTGTCTCTATACAAATATTAAAAATTAGCCAGGAATGGTCGCACACCTGTAGTCCCAGCTACTTGGGAGGCTGAGGTGGGAAGATCGCTTGAGCCCAGGATTTTGAGGTTTACAGTGAGTTACAATTGCACCACTGTACTCCAGTCTGCGCAACACAGTGAGATATGAGTACTGGCATATGAAAAGATACATAGATCGATTGAACACAGTTGTATAGAACTGAGAACCCAGAAATAAATCCTTGTATTTATGATCAATAAATTTGTTGACAAAGGTGCCAGGGCAATTTAATGAGGGAAAAAATAATTAAAAAAAAAAAGTTTGAACAACTGGATAGCTACAGCCAAAATATTTTTAGACCCTTACCTCACACCATAAGTCAAAAATTAATTCAAAATGAATTATAGGCCTAAATTTAAGAGTTAAAACTACAAAAATCTTAAAAAAACACAGGAGAATATCTTAATGAACCTAGATTAGACAAAGGTTTCTTAGATATAACACCAAAAACGCAACTGACAAAATAAAAAACTGATACATGGTATTTCATCAAAATAAAAATTTTCTGGCTTGAAAGATACTATTAATAAAATGAGAAGATGAACCACAGGTTGGGAGGAAATATTTACAAGTGATATATATATAGCATTGGTCATTAGGGAAATGCACACTAAAACCACAATGACATACCACTTAACACCCATCAGAATAGCTATACTAAAAAAGACAGAAAATAGTTAAGTGTTGATGAGAATGCAAAATGGCACAACCATTTTGGAAAGCAGTTTGATAATGTCTTACAAAGTTAAACATAAATGTAGCAAACAATCAAGGATTCCACGCCTATGTACCTACCTAAAAGAAATGAAATATATCTGCCAAAGACTAATAAGCAAATATTCATATCGGCATTATTCATTATTCATAATGGCCAAAAAGTGGAAGCAATTCAAATGTCCATTAACCGGTAAATGAGCAAATAACATGGAGTACATCTGTATACCGTTTCCACCCCAACTGGGTGTTCTGCAATGCAATTCTGACATTAACCAACAAGGCTTGGTATGAGATCCCACAAGTGAAGAGCTCAGTCTTCTACAAAATTTCCCTCACTTCAGAAATCAGCTGCACTTTGGGGATCCCCAGGTTCCCTATATTTTGGACTTACTGGCTACAAATTCAGGGGTTCCCACAACCTCCTCAGGCTTAACAATTTACTAGGATGACTCACAGAACTCAGCACAGTGCTATATTTATGATTACAGTTTTATTATAAAGGATGCACACAGGACAAAGTGTGGAACAGATTACAGAGCTTCTCCACCCTGTCTGTGTAGAATAAAAGTGCATTTCTCTCCTGGCACCAGAACATCAATGTGTTCACCAACCAGTAAGCTCCACTGAGTGTCAGTATCCAGAGTTTCTATAAGGGCCCCATTACACAGACATGATTAATTAAATCACTGGCCGAATGATTAAACTCAATCTCTAATCCTCCCCCAATACCTCCTTCTCCCTCTCCCGGGAGGTCTGGCAGCTAAAAGCCTTAATCTTCTAATCATGTGTTTGGTCTTTTGTAGCGGTCAGCCCTCATCCTGAAGCTATCAGAAGGACACGTGAGTCACCTCACTGGTGTAACAAAGACACTCCTATCACTCAGGAAATTCCAGGGCTTTTGAAGCTCTGTGCCAGAAATGGCAACAAAGACTAGATATATTATTTATTATAACACACCATACAATGGAATACTATTCAGCACTAAAAAGGGATGAAGTATAACAAACGTTACAATGTGGATGAACCTTAAAAACAGTATGCTAAGGAAAAAGTACCAGATGTAAAAGATAACATATTGTATGATTCCATTTATAAGACCTGTCTAGAAAAAGCAAACCTACAGGGACAGAAAGCACATTAATGGTTGCCTGGGGCTCAGAGGGTAATAGGAAATGTCATTGAAGGGTACAAGTGACCACTTTGGGATGGTGGAAATGCTCTAAAATCAGATGGTAGTGGTGGTTCCACAATGCTATAAATTTCCTAAAACTCACTAAAGCATACACTTCACGCAGGTGAATTTTATGCTATGCAAATTATACCTCATAAAGTTCTATTATAAAGTTGTCTTACAAAGGTATAAAAAGTTGCATACCTCAATAAAGTTGTATAGTTATTATACCTCAATAAAATTAATTTTGAAAACTTAAATGTGCATGTTAAAATGGTAAACACAGCCACTAGAACAACAGAAAAGAGATACCGTATATATTTTCCATCAGAGTAAAGACAACTCTAAATTTACCACAGCTCAACAACAACTTTCAAAGAATCAAGTTAATCCAGAAATAATAATGTAGTTTTATTTATAAGAGAGAAAAACTGGAAAAAACCTGAATGTCCATTAATAGATGAACAGATAAATTGTCACATCTCCCTACAAGGATATATGTAATAAAAGTAATCAAAAGGAATGAAATATTGATATACATCATGGATGAATCTCAAAACAATTTTGTGGAGTCAAATAAGCCAAATAGAATGGGACTGAAGTTAGAGCAGATACTGTAGAAGAGAAGATCCATGAACTTAAGGACATAGCAAAAAAACTATACAAAATGAAGCATGCAAAGAAAAAAAGACTGGTGGGAAAAAGAGTATCAGTTACCTATGGGACAACATCAAGCAGATTACACATGTGTAACTGAAGTCTGAGAAAGGGGATAGGGGCTTAGGAGACAGAAGCTGAGACAGAAAAAACATTTAAAGAGATAATGGCCTAACTACCTCCAAGTTTGATGAACTCTATAAACCCATAATTCTAAGAAACTCCAATAAATACCAAGCAAGGTAAGCCAAGCTAATTAAAGTATTGTGTTACTGGTGGCAAGAACAGATAAATGATGCAGTGAGACACAGAACCCCAAAACAGATCTATGCACAGATGGATAAATGCATGACAACATAAGGAGTTAACATACACCAGTGGGGAACAGAAAGTTTTGTCAATATGTAATGTTGGAACAACTGAATATCCATATGGAAACACGTAAAATTGAATACTTAAGTAACACTATTAAAAAATCCATTCTGGGCTGATCATAGGTGCTATGGTCTGAATGTTTTGTGTTCCCTCAAAATTCATATGAAATCTTAATGACGGTATAACACCGTCATCCTAAGGTGATGGTATTAGGAGAAGGGGCTTTTGGGAAAATGAGTAGGTCATGGAGGTCACTTGAGCCACCTTGTTAGCATAACATGAAGTCAGCCATCATAAATGGGTTTACTGCCCTTGTAAAATAGGCCCAAGGGAGCTTATTCACCCCCTTCTACTGTGTGAGGACACAGAGACAAGGTGCCATATATAACAAAGTGGATTCTCACCAGACAACAAATCTGCCAGGACTTTGATCTTGGACTTCCCAGCATCCAGAACTTTGGGAAATAAATTTCTGTTGTTTATAAGCTACCTGGTTCATAGTATTTTGTTATAGGAGCCCTAATGGACCATGATAGGACAGATTAATAGGGAAAAAATAAAAGTCAGAAAGGTAACATAGCACAATATCTTCATGCTCTCAAGGTAGGGACAAATTTTACTGAACACAAAAGGCCATTAACCATAAAAGTTTGATTAAACTTTTACTGCATTAAAATTATGAATTACTATTCATCAAAACATACTATAAAAGGAGTCAGAAGTCAAGCCGCACAGAGGGTATCAGAGCTCAGAAAGGGAAGGAGGACCATTCACGTGTGAGGATGGGTGCCATGGGATACCAAAGCCCAAGTGAGAGAGGAGGGACGGGATTCTACCCCTACCTTGACCTTCCTTCCAGATGATGGCTGGAATTTGAGGAAACCAAGATAAGCAGAATCCCACCCTAAATCTTATCAAGTGCCACACTCACTGAAGTATGATCTTGAAGAAACTAAAATACACAGCATCCCACCTTAAATCTTACTCAAGGGAGTTAATCCTATCGCCCATATGTGCATAAGACCAGAAGAATGGCTAATCTCCACCCCTTGCCTCCTTACAATACTAAACTCCCCACCCAGGGAGGAGCTTATTCACCATTTTGTTATCATGCCATGTGTGTACTACCATGATTTCTCACTGCGCCTGCACACCTTGTGCTCCACCCTGCACATGTAATGACATTCAAGTATCTCATGCTTATTTATGTCATCATGGTTCTTAAAACAACAAAAAGACCTGTCCTCAGGGAGCCAGCTGGAGAACTCTCTCTCTAGTGCTCTCCTTTGTGTTCTAACATCAGCCATGAATAAAGCCTTGTCTGGGACACTTTCTTGCCTCATTTCACTTTCTAGTGCCTGGGACCCTAGGAACCTGTGGTTGGTAACACAAACAGGGTCCAAAGGACATCCAAGCAAAGGGGCAGCCTAGTGGGGGATATAACAGCCAAAAAGGTTGAGGAGTCAAGGGAAGACTGAGGAAATGTTCAAAACTGAAAGAAAATAAATGTGATGTGGTTTGAAACTGGATCCTCCTGCTATAAAAGACATTACTGGGACAACTGGTGAAAACCTGATTGGGATCTGAATATTAATCAGTAATGTATCAATGTTAATTTCCTCATTTTGCAGCAGCATTTTTGGCCCAAATGTAAGCGCAATGGAAATATCCATATTTCAAAATCTATTTGAACTTTCCAATCAAGGGGCTTCTTCTATCTAATCTTCAATTAGAAATGATTAACCTGTAACTATCAAAAGAAGAATTTTAAAATTTTCTGAAAACGCCTTCTCCAAGTGATAAATATGGTAAATCAAAATTATATGCTTGAGGTCAACATTAACAGTCATAAATAATGTATTAGTATGTACTCCTGATATGACAGCATGAAAATGGCACTTTAACTCTGCAGTCTTTCTCCCAAAAACCCATAACCCTAGTATAATTAATAAGAAAAACATCAGACAAATTCCTACAGAGGAGCATCCACATCCTACAGTATAATTCATGTACTCCTCCAAACTGTCAAGGTCATCAAAAACAAGGAAAGTATGAGAAACTGTCACAGCCAAGAAGAGCCCAGGAAGACACGATAACTAAATGTAATGTGGCATTCTGGATGGGATCCTGAAACAAAGAACATAGGTAAAAATTTTAAAAATCTAAATAAAGACTTCAGTTTAATGTATCAATACTGGTTCATTCATACATTTGTAATAACAGGGAAAACTGTATTGGGGATAGATAGGAACTCTATACTGTCTGCTCAATTTTTCTATAAATCTACAACTTTAAAAAACAATCATACGTTAGTGGATAATTATAGTACGTGGCAATACCTAGCTGTGTGAAAGGACATTTTCACAGATGAACATGTAAAATATTTTTACACACCAGCATTAACAGATGAGTATTTGCACTTAATTTTGATGATAGGAAACACTAATTGTGGACCCCAGTTGAGCAAACATTCAGAAAAGAATTTCATTCTTGTCATTAGTAGACCTGTATTTTTAAAATTGTATTTATTATCTCTTGAATTTTATCAATAAAAACTGTGCAGAAATTTGTTTCCTCATTATATAAATACTTATGTAATATCTTCAACTTTGCCTCTTAGGTTGCAAAGCCTAAATATTTACCATCTGGCCCTTTACCAAAAAATGTTTGCAATTCCTGGCATAAATGAAATGAGATTGGCCATGGTTGGTAATTGTTGAAGCTGGGTGAACTGTACATGGGGATTCAATATACTTTTTTCTTCTACTTTGGGATATATTTGAAATTTATCATAATACATTTTTAAAATGGAAAAATGTATCATTAGGCTGGGTGCAGTGGCTCATGTCTATAATAATCCCAGTGCTTTGGTAAGCAGAGATAGGAGGAATGCTTGAGGCCAGGAGTTCGAGACCAGCCTGGGCAACATAGTGAGACCCCAATCTTTACCAAAGATGAGCCAGGGCATGGTGGTACATGCCTGCAGTACCAGCTACTTGGGAAACTGAGGTGAGAGGATTGTTTGTGCCCAGGAGTTTGAGGGTGCAGTGAGCCATGACCTTGCCACTGTACTAAATACAGCCTGGGCAACAGAGTGAGATCCTGTCTCTAGAAAAAAGAAAAAAAAAAGAATTTTTTTCTAGAAAGCTTTGCAAGTAAGTTCATTCAAGCCTCATGAAATGAATAGTTTATATTTTATATAAACTGTATCAAAGCACAGAAAAAAGTAGTATGCTTCCCTATTATGTCTATTAGAGTAGTCTTACCGTAATAAGAAAACCAAGAGCCCATGTTTAAATAATTAAATTAAATTAAAGGTCAAATCTCATTATGCACATAGATGCAAAACTACTTAACAAAATATTAGTAAATCAAATTCAGTATCCCACTTTTAAAAATCACATTATTGCAAATAGCATTTACTTTAAATTTTACACTACTTTGAAATCTTTTTCAGTGCACTATAAAAGATTAGCATATTTCATTTGCTTACTAATTTATATTCCTTATACATTAGCAATGAAATTTATATTCCTTATACTTTGCTTGATGTATAAAATATAAATTATATTATAAATCATGTATTATTTATAAAATTATATTATAAATTTATAAAAATATAAATTATATTTTAGGCTTAATGTATAAGGAATATAAATTATTAATAAGCATATGAAAGATGCTGAATCTCGTAAGTAATCAAGGAAGTACAACTTAACACAGTTAACACCTTATTTCTCAAGCATGCAACTAGTAAAAATTTAAAATAGTTACAATATCAAGTATTTGCTAAAACTGTGGTGAAAGAGAACATCTATTGTACAAAGATAATGTAAACTTGTAAAGAAAAATTTTTTAACAAAGCAATCTGGTGCTATCAATCAAAATGTCAAATGTGCATACCATCTGACCTAGCAATCCCAATGCTAGGAATCTATTGTAAAGAAAAACTCACACATGTATAAAAGACAGACCTACAAGCACAGTTAATTACACATCAAGAGCAGCAAATGTTTAAGATAGGTCTGGAGCACCCTGTTACATCACATTGCAAGCAAGCTATCAAAGATTATTAAGGCTTCGTTAAAGGTTTCAGAAACCAACCTCATTCTGATCCCACTGGTCAAAGGTACCACAATTTGAGCATCAATAAGATATTCAAAGGACTGAAACATATCACACAGGTTTTAAGTCCATGAGTTCAAACTGATTCTCCCCCAAAATTGGTCACCCTTATTTTGAAAACTGGTAAATACAATAAAAGAATAAAGCATTTATCCTGTCCTTCCAGTGTGAACTGCACCCTGAGTAACTTAACAAGTAAACAGAGAAATATTTTTCTTCACAGAAGTATTCCAGTCACTATAACCAAGGAGGAATGATTGAACTGAAGTATCATTTGACAAATCTTAATAAATGATATATCAAGACACTGAGCACAAATAGCTGGTAACACACCAGATAACCAGACATTAGTCTTCTTATAGGTGGCCTATGAACCTGGCCTATGAAGTAGTCCTATACCGTCCCCTTCCAAAGTGGAACCTGAATCTGATCAAGCCTCTATATCTAACAACCAATTTACAAAAATACAAGTGAGAGAGAAACATGTTAAACTACACCACAAGAAGAGATCAGCAAAATCTAGGTTTCTTCAACCTGGGGACAAAAGTAAATGAAAGAAGAGGGAAACTCTCTACATTGAGAGATTTAAAAGATATACCTGAACTTAAATTTTTTTTTAATGCCAAAACTAAACTAAGGTGTTTAGGGGTACACATCTGGGTGATAAAACTACAAAGGAAAGCAAGGAAGCATTTGCCATAAAAATAACAACACTAGAAAAACACAGCAAACTGGATATATAAATGGCTTTAAAAAGACAAAGTCCTCTCTACCCGCAAATGAATAAAAGTTTTTAAAATATGTCAATATTTATCTATTGAATTCAGAAATCACCCTAATAATATATTTCTAAGAAATACAGATAGGCCCAAGATTTAACCTATTACTGTGGCTAATTTATATTAACAAAAATGAAAAGTGATATTTCTAACAAAAGTATAGTAACTGTGGGGGTATTAATACAATTAAATATTTAATAGTCATTTAAAAATAAGAGCTGAGATTTGGAAAACTGAAATAGTCCAATAAAATTAATTATAGGCATATCCAATGACTCATTAATTTCACTGCAATGTAGATTCCTAAAAGAAATGTGTGAACATATGTACCAAAATCCTTATGAAAGAACACTCAAAGCAGCATTATTCATTATAGTCAAAAAGGAGAAACAACACAAATGTCCATTAAGTGATGAATGAACGAAGTGTGGTACAACCATGTAACAGAATACTATTTAACCATAATAAGAAATTAAGTGTTGATACATGCTATAACATGAATGAATGAATGTCAAAACATTAGGCTAGGTGAAAGATGTCACAAAAGACATACATACATGTTGTGTGATTGATTTATAGGAAGCTTTCAGAATAGGCAAATCCATAAAGACATAAAATAGAATAGCAGTTGGCAGGGGCAGGGGGGCAGGTGGAATTGGGGGAATAAATGCTAATTGGTCCAGGGCTTCTTTGGAGGGTGAGAAAAATGTCCTAAAATTAGGTAATGGTGATGGTTGTACAACTCTGTGAAAATATTCAAAATCATTGAATAAAACAATAAATAAAAATAAGTCAGTCACTTTGACAAGTTTTCACAAAAGGTCAAACATTTTATACACATAAATATAATGGTGCATGGAATGTTGTTCTTTACCCAGAGAGATAAGCATATAAAGGCCACAATTATAATCGGATTTACTTTTTCAATTGTACTATGTTTCACTATTGGTTTGCTCCCTCAGATCCATTATCTCAATTACTTCAATAATCAGCAGATTTTCTTCTATCTCAATTAACACTTTATAAAGGTTCACATAGCAGAATTAAAGATCAAAGAATATCAATTTATGAAATAACCAGAAATGGCAATCCGCTACTATGAAAGCAATTTAAAGCTAAAAGTGAAACAAATACTTTACTGCAATCATTCTTTAATCAGATAAATTATCATGGTATGCAGGCCAGGCGCAGAGGCTCATGCCTGTAATCCCAGCACTTTGGGGGGCCAAGGCAGGCAGATCACTTGAGGTCAGGAGTTCGAGACCAGCCTGGCCAACATGGTGAGACCCCGTCTCTCTACTAAAAATACAAAAATTAACCAGGTGTGGTAGTGAGGACCTGTAATCCCAGCTACTCGGGAGGCTGAGGCAGGAGAATCGCTTGAATCCAGGAGGTGGAGGTTGCAATGAGCGAAGATCACGCCACTGAACTCCAGCCTGGGTGACAGAGGGAGACTCCGTCTCAAGGGAAAAAAAAAAATTATCATGGTATAGAATTTACCATAGAAGTTTTAGTTTCACTGTACATATCAGAATTTCTATTCACTGCCTACAATTTAAATAAAAAGTGGGGGAGGGAGCAGGAATGAGGATCAATCTTATAAAAAAGCAACATTAATGAGCTTCTAAATAACATGGTCAAAAGTGGGTTTTTTTTGGGGGGGGATGGGGGGAGGGGAATCTGAACTGCCTTCCACAAGCAAGGTATCAAACTCCCAGATCATTTAAGCATTCTGAACAAGAACTGGTGTATACCTAATCTTACTCAGGACACTTGTTCAAAAATGTCTGCAGATTTACTTACTAGTATAAAAAAAATGTTTACAGAAGCAAAGCTAGTGAAGAAATATAATAGTAACGAAGGCAAAGGCCAGGTGCGGTGGCTCACATCTGTAATCCCAGCACTTCGGGAGGCTAAGGCAGGCACATCACTTGAGGTCAGCAGTTCAAGACCAGCCTGGCCAACATGGCAAAAACCCCATCTCTACTAAAAATGCAAAAATTAGCCAGGCATGGTGGCAGATGCCTGTAGTCCCAGCTATTCGAGAGACTGAGGCAGGAGAACCGCTTGAACCCGGGAAGCAGAGGATGGAATGAACAGAGATTCCAACACTGCACTCCAGCCTGAGCAACAGAGCAAGACTTCATCTCAAAAAAAAAAAAAAAAAAAAAAAAAAAAAAGAAAGAATGAAGGCAAAGCAGAACCATAAATTCCTTAACCCACAGTCAAATAAAAGGCAAAATTAGGAGCCACAATATTGTAGAATTTTCTAAATGTTTATTGTAGGAAGTTTTTTGTTGTTTTTTTTCTTTTCAAGATAGGCTGATTAATGTAACATAAGCTTCTTTTTTTGTTTTAGACGGAGTCTTGCTCTGTTGCCAGGCTGGAGTGCAGTGGTACAATCTCGGCTCACTGCAACCTCTGCCTCCCAGGTTCAAGCGATTCTCCTGCCTCAGCCTCCCAAGTAGCTGGGATTACAGGTGTGTGCCACTATGCCCGGCTAATTTTTTTGTATTTTTAGTAGAGACAGGGTTTCATTGTGTTAGCCACGATGGTCTCAATCTCCTGACCTCGTGATCCACCTGCCTTGGCCTCCCAAAGTGCTGGGATTACAGGTGTGAGCCACTGCGCCTGGCCACACAAACTTTTTATTTTTTTAATGATTATACTTTAAGTTCTAGAGTACATGTGCACAACGTGCAGGTCTGTTACATATGTACACATGTGCCATGTTGGAATATTAATATGTATATATCCTTCCAGATGATTCAATGAATTTACTATGTTCCTACTATGTAAATCACAAGAATAAGTGGGTATGAAACAATGGCATACTGGTATTCAAGCCAATTCTTTATCAAGAAGAAAAAGCTGCAAGTAATACTTGCTTCCATACAACAATTTAAGTAAGTATTACATGTCATATCTATGTGGACATACTGTTTTGGAACATTAAACAAATGTTTTGAATCAAATCTCCTAAAAATAACTGCACTGTTACCATGTAAATGAAGCATAAGACTTGGCACACAAAAATCAACTCATGAATAATAAAGCACTCATAAAAAAAGGAAATAAACTTATAAAAGTTAGTATGCTTACCTGAACCACCCAGGGGCTATTGGCAAAGGCCATAATATCTCTTTCTTCCCAAAAAAAGGCAGAATCTGATCTTTTTATCATTTCAAACTTACTAAGAAGCTTCATAGCATAAACCTTCTGCGATGCCTTGTGACGAACCTGTTGATTTTTGAAAACACAAAAATTAATACTTTCATGTTATGAGAGAAAGGTAAATAGATGATACTATAATGCTATTATTAAAGACTTCAGTTACAAAAAAATGGTCCTTAGCTAATAAAAAGTAAAAGCAAAACATTTTTAATGAAAGAAACAAAGGAGAACATTTCTAACAACCTAAGTATTTCATGAAATATGTAATACTTTTAAACACTAAATTCAATATACAACTCTCTCATTTCAACTAAATGAAGGTAAATTCGTGAAGCTTCATTCTCTCATATTAATTAAGCTAACCAACTTTAAGAATGAGATATTGTTAAATAAGAAACTTAAAATATATGTCTACTGAAAAAAAACCATTTATGTAAGTAGTCTGAAAGATCAATGTATACACATCCCTCACTATCTGCCCGTAAGAACCTAATAAATTTAGATATCAAGGGATACCTATGATTTTGTTAAGTCACTCTTATTTCTCTTTAGGTGCCCTAATTAAAGGGTTTTTTTGTTTGTTTGTGTTTTAGGAAAAAAATACTACCAATGATGAGGTCATTTGACCAATTTCTATGTTTCCAATTAGACTGCAAATTTCATAAAGGCAAGAAGATTGTCTATTTTTGACCACCCTTTTAATTCCAAGAACATAGCAAATTGTTCACCAGAGAGCCAATAAATATTTAATGAATGATTATAACAGTTAACATTTATTAGATAAGTAACAACTGCTAACACGAATACTTGGATGTCTAATAGGATGCCTAAAACTGAAACTCCTAATCTTCACCCGAATTTATTCCTCCCACAGTTATTCCCCGTTTCAGTAAATGGTAAAATGGTAGCTTCATCCTTCTAGTTGCTCTAGCTAAAAAAACCTCTGGCACCTCTTTTTCTCTCAAACAACTTATCAAATTTATCAGCAAATCCTGTCAGTTCTACCTTCAAGAAGTTTCAGAATCCAACCATTTCTAACTACCTCCACTGATACCACCCTGGTTCAACATATTTTATTTCAATTCCCAACTTGTTTCCCTGCTGTCACTCTCTCTTATCCACAGCCTAGTCATCCTTCTAGAATATAAACCATTTCCTGTCATTCCTCTGCTTAAAACCCCCTAACTACTTCCCATATCATCTCTGCATGTTCCCTCTGCCTGGAATCACCTCCTGTAGCTGGCTCAATCCCTCACTTCCTTAAATCCCTGTTCAAATCATACCTTCTCAATGAGGTCTACTCTGATCAATCTACTTAAACTTTCAGCTCACTATTCCCTTCTGCTGCCAGCATATTACATATTAGCTCACCATCCCCTTCTGCTGCCAGCATATTCCATATTCCATTCTCTGTGTCATGTTTTTGCTTCATCGTACTTATTACCATCTTACATCCCATTTTTAACTTATTTATCACCTATTTCTCAGCACCAGAATATAAACCCAATGAAGTCAAGGATTTCTGTGTTTGGTTCAATGTTTAATCCCCATTGCCTAGTATAATGTCTGGCACATAATAACCTTTCAATAAATATCTGCTGAAAGAACAGATTTACTAAGTACTTGGCATGTGCCAGGCACTGTGTGTTTTGATACATATATTATCTTACTTAATCTTCATTCCCAGTGAGGTATTATTTCCCCATACTACAAATGGGAAATCTGAGGCACAGAGACATCAAACTGCCCAAGGGCTATATAGATAGTAAGCAGAATTAACTCAAGATGGATTAGAGACTTAAATGTAAGACCTAAAACCATAAAAACTCTAGAAGAAAACCTAGGCAATACCATTCAGGACACAAGCATGGGCAAAGACTTCATGACAAAAACACCAAAAGGAATGGCAACAAAGCCAAAACTGACAAATAGGATCTAATTAAACTAAAGAGCTTCTGCACAACAAAAGAAACTATCATCAGAGTGAACAGGCAACCTACAGAATGGGAGAAAATTTTTGCAATCTATCCAGCTGACAAAGGGCTAATAACCAGAATCTACAAGGAACTTAAACAAATTTACAAGAAAAAAACAAACAACTCCATCAAAAAGTGGGCAAAGGATATGAACAGACACCTCTCAAAAGAAGACATTTATGCAGCCAACAAACATGAAAAAAAGCTCATCATCACTGGTCATTAGAGAAATGCAAATCAAAACCAGAATGAGATACCACCTCATGCCAGTTAGAATGGCAATCATTAAAAAGTCAGGAAACAATAGATGCTGGAGAGGATGTGGAGAAATAGAACACCTTTATGCTGTTGGTGGGAGCGTAAATTAGTTAAACCACTGTGGAAGACAGTGTGGCAACTGCTCAAGGATATAGAACCAGAGGCCAGGCATGGTGGCTCACGCCTGTAAACCCAGCACTTTGGGAGGCTGAGGTGGGTGGATCACCTGAAGTCAGGCGTTCGAGACCAGCCTGGCCAACATGGTGAAACCCCGTTTCTACCAAAAATACAAAAATTAGCTTGGCATGGTGGTGCACACCTGTAATCCCAGGTACCTGGGAGACTGAGGCAGGAGAATGGCTTGAACCCGGGTGGCTGAGGCTGCAGCCAGCCAAGATCACGCCATTGCACTCCAGCCTGGGTGAAAAAAAAAAAAAAGATCTAGAACCAGAAATACCATTTGACCCAGCAATCCCATTACTGGGTATATACCCAAAGGATTATAAATCATTCTACTATGAAGACACATGCACACGTATGTTTATTGCAGCACTGTTCACAACAGCAAAGACTTGGAACCAACACAAATGCCCATCAGTGATAGACTGGATAAACAAAATGTGGCACATATACACCATGGAATACTATGCAGCCATAAAAAAGGATGAGTTCATGTCCTCTGCAGGGACATGGATGAAGCTGGAAACCATCACTCTCAGCAAATTAACACAGGAACAGAAAACCAAACACCGCAGGTTCCCACTCATAAGTGGGAGTTGAACAATGAGAACACGTGGACACAGGGAGTGGAACATCACACACCAGTGCCTGTCACGGGGTGAGGGGCTAGAGGAGGGATAGCATTAGGAGAAATGTAGATGACAGGTTGATGGGTGCAGCAAACCACCATGGCACACGTATACCTATGTAACAAACCTGCACGTTCCGTGCATGTATCCCAGAACTTAAAAGTATAATAATAATAATAATAATAATAATAATAATAATAATAATAATATTTAAAGGTAATCTGCAGGCAGAATCTATACTATTTCTACATATGTTATGTACACAATTAGGATGATTTTACCAAACAGGGCTAGATTACATCTGTCCACCCAGTATTCCATCCAGTTGGTGCTCCTTTTTACTCAGAGTATGCCAGTTTTTGTACAACAAATTATATAGTTACCCTATTCAGCGATGGAAGAAAGAAGAAGAAATCAAGCACCTTACCATTGTCTACAGGGTCCTAAATGATCTAGCCTATGTCCACCTTCCCGACTTAAATCTTGTCATTTTCTTCCCATTGTTCATACTTCAGACACACTTATCTTCTCTCAGTTCCTCTAATATAACGAAACTTTCCTCAGGATCTTTATGGGTACTGGAAAGGTATTTAAAAACCCATCATAGTACCTAATTCAACCTCTCCCATAAGGACACTACCTCCTTATCCATTCAGTTTAAATATAAAACTCCTCAAAGAGGTCTTCTCTGACCACCCTAACTGAACTAAGAACTCACTGTTCTCAACCATAGAACCCTATTTGTTTTCTTCCTGGTAGGTATCATAATTTGTAATTTTTGATGTTGTTTCTTTGTATTTATTGCCTGTCTCCCATAGTGGAATGTAAATTCAACAAGGATGGGGATTATGCATGCCTATTTTGTTCTCCATTATATCCCTAGTGCCAAGTACAATGCCAGCAATGGCAATAAAACAGGCACTCACTAAATATTTAATGACTCAATTAATATCTGCAAAAATTTATTTTAAAAGTGGCCACACCATCAATTTCCAGTTTTAAAAAAGATTCAGCAGCTAATATTTCTAGCTATCTTTTGTCAAATACTATCCACATGTACAGCTAATACTTATATTGATGAAAATAAGGTAAACCAAAGATATGCTGGTGTCTTCCCCAGAGCAGACAGGGAAGAACCATGACACTTATCAGATACTCTATAAAATGCAATAAAATTTTAGAAAATCATAAAATGCTACGCCTCTTTAATAGAGAAAGTTTTGCTCCCCCTCCAATAAAAGCCAGGTACAAAATTTTATTAGGGGAGTGGGTTTGAACAAATCACTAATGGAAAATACAAATAAGTCCCAGCATGACACAATACATTTGTATACTTATTACTCAGAATCATGCACTTCTGGCTATGATGAAGTAATTGGTACCAGCTAGCCCTCCCATTGTAAACAACCATCAAAAATGACAAAACACACAAGGCAACCGTATTCAGGTTTCGTAAAATAAACACAAGACTGTAATTCCTGAGAGAAGAGAAACTCACCAAGTCAACCCCATAATTGCCCAGAAACTCTGATAAAAGTCAATATTGCAACCAGTGTGCAGCATATAATTGCATGTTTCTGCTGAGTTGAGGAGGCAGAGATCAGAGTTTAAGACAAATGAAGCAGCTAAATTATTCTGGGCAGGACACTGGAAAGCAAGGAGAGGGAGATCCCTAGAAGTCACATGTGTGTACTTGGCTAAAGGCTGGGCTACCCAGAGAGAAAGCAGTCCAGGTTTATTAGAGACCAACTGCTTTGGGGTTATGGTAAAACATAAACACTGGAGGTTAAGTGGCATTGGAAGAACACAGGATTTCCAGACAAGCAAAAGTAGAGAAGGGCAGGTGTGGTGGCTCACGCCTGTAATCCCAGCACTTTGGGAAGCTGAGGCAGGAGGACTGCTTAAGCCCAAGAGTTTGAGACAGCCTAGGCAACAGTGAGACCCTGTCTCTTAAAAAAAAAAAAAAAAAAAAAAAAAAAAAGGTAGAGAAACCTGGCTAATTTCTTGGTCGTTCAGCTGACACATCTTATGAAAAAGAACCAGGCTCTAAAGTAAGACCTACTCTAGCACAAACCTAACAAAACCTAACATTAAACCCTAAAAGATCCAAAGGGAAACACAGTTTGGAGGTTGTACCCTACAAATTTAAAAGAACTTGGGGGCCGGGCGCAGTGGCTCACGCCTGTAATCCCTGCACTTTGGGAGGCTGAGGCGGGCAGATCATGAGGTCAGGAGATTGAGACCATCCTGGCTAACACGGTGAAACCCCGTCTGTACTAAAAATACAAAAAATTAGCCAGGCATGGTGGCGGGCACCTGTAGTCCCAGCTACTTGGGAGGCTGAGGCAGGAGAATGGCATGAACCCAGGAGGCGGAGCTTGCAGTGAGCGGAGATTGCGCCACTGCACTCCAGCCTGGGGGAAAGAGCGAGACCCCATCTCAAAAAAAAAAAAAAAAAAAAACTTGGGAAACATCTTGATCTTTCCACACATCTACATTTACAAAGTATAAAACAGCCTGCAAGAGTTAAGGATGAACAGCAAGTAACTGGACAGCCTATCAGAATGAAAATCAATAGTATTCAAAGAAAAATAACAAAACCCCAGAGTCTCTACCATACATCCACAAGGTACAGTATATAATTTAAAAATTACTAGATAGGCAAAAAGGAAAATGCGACTCATCATCAAGAAAAAAGCAGTCAATAGAAAATGGCCCCAAAAGATGTTAGATTCAACTGACAAATACTTAAAAATAGCTCTTATAAATATGTTCAAAGAACTAAGGGAAAATATATTAAAGAAATAAAATATAGTCTTAATGAGTGAATAGAAGTAAATATCAACAGAAAAATGGAAACTAGGCCGGGTGCAGTGGCTCACACCTGTGATCCCAGCACTTTGGGAGGCTGAGGTGAGCGGATCACTTGAGGTCAGGAGTTCGAGACCAGCCTGGCCAACATGGTGAAACCCCGTCTCTACTAAAAATACAAAAATTAGCCAGGCATGGTGGCATGTGCCTGTAATCTCAGCTACTCGGGAGGCTGAGGCAGGGGAATTGCTTAAACCTGGGAGGCAGGGGTTGCAGTGAGCCGAGATGGTGCCACTGCACTCCATGCACTCCAGTCTGGATGAGAGAGTATGACTCCATCTCAAAAAAAAAAAAAAAAAAAAAAAAAAGGAAACTATATGGAAGTCAGTGAACTTCAACACAAATCAATCTGAAAAATAAAGACAAAATGAATAAATGAAACTGAAGAGACTCAGGGGATTCCAATACCATTTTAAACAGTCTAAAATATGTGTAATTATAAATGGATTAAATACTCCAATTAATAAACATAAATTATAAAAACTGATTAAAAAGCAATTATAGTTCACATACTTATATATAATAATTATATATTGATATGGTTTGGATTTGTGCCCCCACCCAAATTTCAGGTCAAATTGTAATTCCCAGTGTTGGAGGGAAGGGCCTAGTGGGAGGTGACTGGATCACGGGGAGGGACTTCCCCCTTGTTGTTCTCCTGATAGTGAGTTCTCATGAGATCTGGTTGTTAAAAGTATATGGCATTCTCCCTCTTTGTTCTCGTCTTCCTTCTCTGGCCACGTAAGACGTGCTTGCTTCCCTTTCACCTTCTGCCATGATTGTAAATTTCCTGAGGCCTGCCCAGCCACGCTTCCTGTACGGCCTGCAGAACTGTGAGTCAATTAAACCTCTTTTATGAATTATCCAGTCTCTCAGGTAGTTCTTTACAGCAATGTGAGAACGGACTAATACATATATCTAATATACATATTATATATAAATATATACATAAGTTATATAGTTTAATTATGAGTTCAAATGAGTTGAAAACAAATGAATGGAGAAAGATCTACCATGCAAACTGCAAGGGTAAAAAAGTTGGTATATAAATAATAAAGCAGACTTCAAGGCAAAGAGTATTATAAGAGATAAGGTAATTTAGATAAAAGGGGTAATCCATTACGGAGGCATAACCATTCTAATTACGTATGCATCTTCAATAAATGAGCCTGAAAATTAATAACATAAAAACTAACAGGACTAAGAAAGAAACGGACAAATCTATACCTTCAGTTGGAAATATTAATACCCCATGGTCTTAGTTTAGGTTGTTCGGAGGTTGAATTACGCTCCAAGGTCACCCCGACCAAAATTTTTAATGCAGGGATAGTAGGCTAGGGACTCTCAGTATTTGATAGAACAAGCAAACAAAACATCAGTATGGATATAAAGAAAATATAGCCCAAAATAAAAACTGCCTAAACAAATTATAATTACAAAGATTATATTAATAGATTACATCACTTCTCATTTTAAAATATTTTGAAATTTGGGAGGTTAGCCTAGGCAGCTACAGTGGTGGAGGAGCAGGGGCTGGTATGCGCTGGGCAGCGAGAGCCTCATGGCGGAGGAAGACAGCGATCAAAAGGCCGAACGCCTCAGAGAAGAGCTTGTGGCCACTGTGGAGTCCCTGCTGGCCCTGTGGGGCTTAGAGCTGCGGGCGACGGCAGAGGCGGTGCTGGCAGCTGCAGTGGCGGCGTCACGATCAGCTGTCGGGGTTACTGCTGACGCTTCTGTCAGGTGGTTGAAGATTACGTTGGAAGATGGCAGGTCCCTTTGCCACAGCTTCAGGTTCTTCAGACTGTACTTTGTTGTTTTACAACAGCCAGTGCATCATTCCCAGATGAATGTGAGCACGTACAACATGTTTTGAGTAGCCTTGCTGTGAGTTTCTTCGAGTTGCTGCTGTTCTTTGGAAGAGGTGAGTTTTATGAAGAGCCCTTAAAGGATATTCTTGGATCATTCCAGGAATACCAGAATCACCTCCGCAGATATGGAAATGTGAATCTGGAACTGGTGACTCGAATCATTAGAGATGGCGGCCCATGGGAAGATCCAGTGTTGCAAGCTGTCCTTAAAGCTCAGCCAGCATCTCAGGAGATAGGTACTTTAGGAGATTCGAAATCAAACCAACATTTGTAATAAGCAAATACACTTTCATTTACTAACTAGAGCAGTAATAGTGATTTTTCTTCATTTTATAATACTGAATAATGGAGTGATGTATTCTCAAGTGAAAAGTGTTTGTTTTTCTAACCTGGCCCACAGTGATTTCTGACACCAGGTTTGGTACATTTATTTATCATAATAGAAATTCTGAGTGGTAACACATCTACCAGATGTTATTTACAGAAAGTGTATTTTTGTCACTTCAGTTATATTTTTAAAATCTGTTTAAGGAGGAACTTTTTTTTTTAAGAAACAAAAACTCTGCTTTTCATAAAAGCACATGGAATCTCCCTTCCCTTACACAGGAAACTCCATGAGGGCTGAAACTGAATTTTTGTCATACTACTGCATAGCCAGCCCAATGCTTGGTACAGAGTAGATGCTTAATATAATGACGACATGGTGAATGCATGAGTGAATAAGTGACTGACTGAATGAATAAATTCGAATTCCAAATACTCTAGAGCAGTATTTCCCAAACTTCATGCATTAGAAGTTTTGTCTCATACCCTTACTACCTGCGTATTTCTTTGATATCACCTGCTGTCCAATCTGATTTAACAGTGGTCCTTTGTAAGCCAAAATCTCCTTTCAAGGCAGGAGGCTTTGTCAACTGCTCTTAGTTAATTCTTTTTTAAAATGTTCCCCATATTATTCGTGAATCCCAGAACATTCTGAATCACCAAAACTGTAGAATGTAAGCTTAGCAACAGTGAATAAGCACAAAAGTGTAGAAAACATTTAAAAGTGTGGAGAGAGCCTATGGAGTTCAGTTATGAGACAGCCAAGGGGAAGAAAACAAGACCTCCCAATCCTGGAACCAGTTAGACCTTGGTTTGGTGAGAAAGACACTTCATACTACAGATTTTGTTGAGCAGGTTATTTCTGTTAGTCACGGGTTAAGGAGTTAGGGTGGGTTGTGAATGCAGTTGACTGGAGAAGGAGCTGTGATAGGATGGGAGGTAGGATAAGTCTAGGGCTAAGGTATATGTGAAAGTGTTATGAAGAACCCAAGGGGTAAAGAGGACACTGGTGTTTGATGTGTGGATCCTGGAAAGGGATTAAAAAAAAAAGAAAACTGAAAAGGGAAAGAGTTGGAGCTGAGGAGGAAGAGTTGGATTACTGAAGAAGTATGAAGAGTCAAATATAGGAAAGGCAAGGGTGACAGACTGGAGGAAATTATGAGGGGACTGCATGTGCCCAGAGGGGAAGGAGCTAGACAAAGAGCTTCAAGAGAAGTGAGGACAGGGGAAAAGAAAGTTTGAGCTTTTAAGGGAGATTTAGGCTTCACTACATAAAATCTAGAATAAACCTGTTGTTGGTTGGTCTGAGGGCTGATGGCCTTTTAGGCTGAGAATTACATTAAAATAATAAATATTCCTTTGATACCTACACTAGCATACCTCACACTTTGGGAAAAGCTGCTCTAGAGCCTCATTTAAATGGATGACTTTTCCCTAGTTGGTGATCACTAGGGTAAAGACCAGACTGAAGTATCTTTGCATTAACTATACAAATCAGTGTTTGCATATCATATACTGTAAATGGAACTGCAAGACAAATGTTTAAGCCAAAATAAAACATTCATAAGCACTCTGGAAGCTACCAATTAAGTGTAAGTAATTAAAATACTTCTGGATTCAAAATCATACAAATATGGGTTTCAGGTCCTGCTCTGCCACTTAATTCTTTCTCCTTGGGCAGGTCATTTGACCTCTCTGAGACTCAGTTTTGCAATCTATAAAGCTAGTATCATAATACCCATCATAAGGTTGTTGTTAGGTCTAAATAAGTTTATGTAGCTAACGGTGTTTATATATTTTTAAATTGTGTAAAAGTATTAATTAGTAATTATCCTTAGTGATACATAAATCTATACTAATAAGCAGTCCTATTTGGCACTACTTTTGGATTAATTTTATCTTTAAAATATACTTTTCTTGTAAAAAAAATTTTTTGAAATTTGAAGGATTGATATACAGTAACTGTATATAACAAGAATCCTAAATGCAAAGAGCCAAGTAAGTAATGACAAGAATCATGGCTTACATCCATCTTTTATATTAAATGACCAAGCTGGAGTAACAATTCCTTTGATTTGTATACTGTTGTAAAATTTATAGAATACTGAAAATAAATGCACAGGAAAGGACTATGAAAACACAGGTGGGGAGTGGGAATTTAAGGAATGAATTATCCTAGACTTGAAACTAGAAAACCCTCTTACAGCAGATAGACTAGATTTTCAACTGATTTGTGTTCAATTAGCAGGTTATCTCAAATAGTCATTCCAGCAATGTTGTTAAATATAGTTTAAAATATGTCAACAGTGTTAAAAAGAAGTTGCTTAGGCCGGGTGTGGTGGCTCACGCCTGTAATCCCAGCACTTTGGGAGGCTGAGGCAGGTGTATCATCTGAGGTCAGGAGTTCCAGACCAGTGTGGCCAACATGGCGAAACCCCATCTCTACTAAAAACACAAAAATTAGCTGGGTGTGGTGGCAGGTGCCTGTGATTCCAGCTACTCAGGAGGCTGAGGCAGGAGAATTGCTTGAACCTGGGAGGTAGAGGTTGCAGTGAGCTGAGATCACACCATTGCACTCCAGCCTGGGTGACAGAGCGAGACTCTGTCTCCAAAAAAAAAAAAAAAAAAAGGAGTTGTGCTAACATAGTCCTTCTTCTATATATATTTACACCACTCTTCAAATCTTCACTTACTTTAAGAACAAATCAAATTTTGAATGCTTCCTAACTTCATTAGAGAAAGCAATCCATACAACATTAAGAGCCAATTTTAATTTATACAGTATTATTACCTATGCTTGACTCAGAACATGACAAGAACAGTTTTTAAACTTCTGTTATAAAGATATCAACAGAAGCTAAAATATATTTGTCAGCTGGTAGAAAACAGTTAAATATTTAAACTAGCATTTACATATGAGATAACTAAACAGAAAAACAAATATACCTAGAAGGAAAAAGATATTCATTTATATAAAATAAAATCACACAAGATAGGCATAAGATGGCTTTTGAATATGAGAAAAATGCTGACTGACTTCACTTTTGGTGATTCTTCATGCAAAAATGCTCCCCTCTATGTGTTTCCATAGCACTTAAAATAATCTATTACTTGTGAACATGTCTACTTCATACGCTCCTTTAGGAATATAACACATACTTTCATTTGTGAGACTGCGTAGTGGCTGGCACAATGCTAAATTGACTAATTCAACAAAATCATATATCTGTAGGATATCTACAAAACTTTAGAATATTTTGGCTACATGTTCTAGTTCATAGGGCCTGAATTTCACTTAAACTGCTTTGACAGGACAGTTCCTGGCTCATAAATCAAGAGCTGGGAACCATCAGCTTGTGGTCTTTGACATAACTTAATCTACAGAGCAAACATTAAGAGGCAATAAGCTTATTTATGCCAAATATCTATACCATACCTTTATAATTCGTTAGCAGTCATGTTACAAGTACCACAATAAAGTGCTATTACTTTAGCAAAGCTGGTTTCCACTGATTATCCTTTGAGGATGTCTCTTTCCAAGTTATTTTATTATTATTTTCCTCAGCATCTCTGTAGATTTCCCTTTATTCTTCAACTCCTTCTCCTTTATTCAATACAGATGGACACACAGATGAACAGTCAGATACAGTGACTGTTCATTATCACACCATACAGAGTAATGTTTAAAAGCATGGATTTGCCGGGCTTGGTGGCTCATGCCTGTAATCCCAACACTTTGGGAGGCTGAGGCGGGTGGATCATGAGGTCAGCAGTTCGAGACCAGCCTGACCAACATGGTGAAACCCTGTCTTTACTAAAAATACAAAAATTAGGCGGGCGTGGTGGCAGGCACCTGTAATCCCAGCTACTCAGGAAGCTGAGGCAGGAGAATCGCTTCAACCCAGGAACCCAGGAGACGGAGGATGCAGTGATCCGAGATCACGCCATTGCACTCCAGCCTGGGTCACAGAGCAAGACTCTGTCTTAAATAAATAAAGAAAGAAGTAGCAAGCGTGGATTTAAATGTCAACAAACCTGGGCAAACTCCTAGCTGTTTATGAACTATGTGGCCAATTTATCTAATCTCTAAATTTCAATGGCTTCATCTACATCATATCATAGAGTTATTGCATAGATAAAATGAGATAATGGCTATAAATATTCAGCACACAGAATATCCTCAATGAAAATGTTAGCTGACTCCACCACAGACAAATGGAATTTAGCTCATTCTGTTATGTAGTATGACATGAATTTCCCGTCACTAGTCTATGAGTACCTAAAGGATAAAAACGTTGCTCCTATTACAGTGTTTCTCTTTGTATAGAAAAGATTGCTACATCCCTTGTTTTTAATTTTAAAAGTGGATGAGTGTAAAAACACCATCTAACTGGCTATACATATGAAAAAAAACAAAGAACAAAAAAATAAATAATGGTCAAAAAGTTAACAGGGGTTATAACATAACTGATAAAATCTTTGGTAATTTTTATTCTTATTTTTATTTGTACTTTCTGAAGCTAATATGTAGAGCTTAAAAAAAACTTAAATAGATGAGACATTCCTAAGTGTAGCCAGAGACATACATGGTGATATGGTGTGGCTGTGCCCCCAAACAAATCTCATCTTGAATTCCCATATGTTGTGGGAGGGACCCAGTGGGAGGTAACTGAATCATGAGGGCAGGTCTTTCCTGTGCTGTTCTCATGATAGTAAGTAGTAAGTCTCATGAGATCTAATGGTTATTATAAGGGGGGAGTTTTCCTGCACAAGCTCTCTTTGCCTGCTGCCATCCATGTAAGATGTGACTTGCTGCTCCTTGCCTTCTGCCATGATTGTGAAGCCTCCCCAGCCACGTGGAACTGTAAGTCCAATAAACTTCTTTCTTTTGTAAATTGCCCAGTCTCGGGTATGTCTTTATTAGCAGCATGAAAACAGACTAATACACTTGGAAAATCCTAAAATGGACCTCCTCAAACACTTATGGACAAAAACTTTTGAACATCATTCTAAGTAAAACACCTCATTTGAAATTTTCAAATTTATTTTTATTAACAAAAATATATTATTTTTATAAGAAGATCCAATGAATCTACTTGACAGACCTGGAGCAGTTACTGTTTCTACCATAGATACACAAAAAAAATGTTCTCACATTTTCTGTTTGTGGCAGCCAAGATCAAATGGGGGATACAGAAATTACAAAAACATGTTGAGAGATAATTTTTGCAACTTAGAAATAACCCTGTAAACAGTGAAGAGCCTGTTTTATTCCAAAAAAGGAATTAAAAAGTTGAGTTTACATGAGTAGCATTGGAAAATCATGCCCCCAACATCCTTGCCTCCTGGTTGGTTCTACTTTAAAAGCCTGGCTTAAAACTAAATTAAAAGCCAGTGGATGCCCAGGAAGCAATAAGCCCAGTGATCAGGAAGGATCACAGTCAATTCTTCAATGAAAACTTTCTACATTCAAGTTTCTGTGCTATACAGCATACTGAAAGACAAGAAAAATCTAACTCCAGATATGATCTGGTTGCACACACACACATTAGTTACCAATGTCTGGGTTGAACTGACAAATGCCTACAGTAAGGGTTCTCCTTTTCTTCCTGCTGCTCTACAGATATTCCTCCAAAACTGTGTTCCTGACTAAGTAAGATAATCTTCCCGATACAAGTGAACTATGTAGAACAGCTATGAATCCCTGATGTAAATGCCAAAAGTACTTGAAAGACACAGTTCCTGCATCCAAAGTTTTACATTATTAAAAAAAAAAAAGAAATCAAAGTATATATATAAACTATAGCACAAGGCACACACACACACACACACACAAAAAAAAACAAAGAGCATGCTCTGAAATGAGCAGCCTGACTACAATGAATAGCTCAGTGGAAGATAAGGGTTAAAGTTTTTTTTTTTTTAATTGGCAACACCTTAAAAGGCAGCCTGGAGGGCCAGGATGAAGTTTTCATAGTTCATTTGGTTGGAAAAAGATCCATTGAATATACAGCAGAGATAGTACATAAATATATTTTATAAGGTCACCTTGACAGCAGTTTATATTAGTCAGATCAGATGTAGAATTCCCATTTTTTATCTAACTCAATATAAGGAGGTGGGGAAATAAAGAAAAAAGATGAAAAAAAAAAAAACATGTATGCTAAAAAGCTCCACTCTTAATTCCACTACACATAAACCAGGAATGGGGATAGGAGTAATACATGAGAACGCAAGGATATTTCAAGCAGGAGGAAGATGGTCTGCTAAATAGTAATGTCAGTCTAACTGAGCTTGGATAGTGTGAATTTATAGATGTAATAAGCAGAGTCCTGACACTGTCTTTATCAGCACTTCACAACCTAAGATTAATAGTAACAATGGTGAAACACTGTTAGCAGAAGTGGAAAATAGAATGCAAAGCAGGTGTTCATACATAACTGGATAACGATGGAGTGGCCTGATGAAGGTGATGACAGTAAAAGTGGATGGACTGGAGAAATATTATGAAAGCAGAAACAGGACTTACTGAAAAATTAACTATAAGAGTTGACAGAAAAAAGAGTAATCAGTGATGACTCCTAATTTTTTGACTTGAACAACTAGGTTGATGCAAGAGCCATTTACTACGATCAGAAAGAGAAGGAACAGATTTGTGGAGGAAGAACAAAGTTAGAGAGGGAATCAAACATTCTGATTTCACACATTTTAGAGATCTATGACACATCTTCATGAAGATGTCAAATAAGCCACTGTGGATATGAGTTGGGGAGCAAAGTAGAAAGTTCCGAGCAGTAACTGTAAATTTGAGCATTGCCATTATATAAACTGTATTTAAAGTCACAGGAATGCATGAGCTTACCTTAAGAAGGCAAATAAACAAAGAGCCTGGCCATTGGAAACTACAAATTTAGAAGTCAGGTAGAGAATGAACCATGAAGGAAACTTAGAAGGAAGAGCCTGTAAAGAAAAAATCCTTTCAAGAAATGAAGATATGTGAATATTACTAAGAGTTTGAGTGAGATGAAAGTGAAATACTATACAGCCAATACAAGTACAGGTGAAGTCTATATTTATTGACATGGAAAGATGGTTATGACCATATGTCAAAGAGAACACACTCTGGAATCCTCTGCCTAAATTCAAATCTCATTTCAACCACTTAGCAGCTATGTGAACTTTGGGGGTTATTTATCCTAACTACGTGAGTTTAATTTTCCCATCTGTACAATGGGCATAATAGTAATAATACTTACCTGAAAGGACTGTTGTGAAGACCTAGGTTACTAAATACAAATGGATTAAAAGTCTGGCTGGCATGTTACAACTGCTAAAAGAGTGTATGCTACCATTTATTACTACATTAAAAAACACAAATTACAAAACTATGTATATAATGATCCTTTAAGACTTAAATATATTACATTTATCTTCAGAAATGGGCAAGTTGGAAATCTAGATATCAAATTAATAAGAGTAGTTCTCTCTCAATTCTAACACTACAGGTGAATTTTAAAAATATAACGTTGGCTTATTTTCTCATTATTCTACTGTGAACATATTCATCATTTACATAATTCTTAATTTCAAGGGAAATTTTCATAACTCAATAGCGAAAAGTTTTAAACTTTCCTAGAATGAAAATGATTAGGAGAAAATATAAATACCCACTGAAAATAATTCAACATTAGTTTTGCAACAGTCTCCAAATGTCTGTAAATCACCAAGCAGTGAAACGATACAAAAAGGGTGGTTACCTTTATGTTTGAAAATGGTAATAGGGAGAAAGAAACATGATAAATGGAGGTTTTAACACGTTTTTCCACCTAATTCTAAGCAATTTAGACCTTTGTGAATGAGAATGCATTCATATATTAAATTCCATAGTTTAAAATAAAACAGCGACCAGGAAAAAATTTAATGTCACTTAACATTTTTCTTAGGAATAAGAAGTAAGCAGGGGGATTACACAGTGGGATTGCAGGATTACTCACACCTGTAATCCCAGCAATTTAGGAGGCCAAAGCAGGAGGACTGCTTGAGGCCAGGAGTTAGAGACAAGTGTGGGCAACACTGGGGGACCTTGTTTCTACAAAAAAAAAAAAAAATTCAAAACTAGCCATGTATGGCGGTACACACCTGTGGTCCTTTTTCTATTTTTAGATTTTTAAAGCTTTCTTATTGAAAACTAAAACACGCACGCCCACTAGCATAGGCCTACAGAGGGTCAGGATCATAAATATCACTGTCTTCCACCTCTACATCTTGTCCCACTAAAAGGTTTTCAGGCGAAATAACATGAATGGAGCTGGCATTTCCTATGGTAACAATGCCTTCTCCTGGAATCCCTCCTGAGGGACCTGCCTGAGGTACTTCTTGAGGAGGTGTCACTTTTTTCAGAAATATGTTCATGGTGGTTTGTTGGGCTTGTTTCTTTTCTCACTATTGAGTTGCATGAGTAATGTGTTGGAACTACGGCATTAAGATGGCTATGACCTTAAGACAGCTGACATTACTAGGTAAAAGGAATTTTTCAGCTCCATTATAGTCTTTGGGGACCACTGACATATATGCAGTCTATCATTTACCAAAACACCATAATGCTGCGCATGACTGTACTGTGCAATACCTACTGTGACATACTAAAGTTACTTGTACAATGAGAATTCTATCTGTAGAAATTGGCAGATCCTCTGTGGTAATGCATTTTTAACTTGAAATGAAAAAGTATTTCACATAAAAGGACAAATTTGCACCAACTATTATAAAACTTTCTTCAAATGTCTACAAAAACATACTCATAAAGATGTGCCAAATGTGGAACAGTCCACACATATCCGCCATACTAATTTATTTACTGTATACGAATCAACTTTAAAAGGCTATGAAAGAAGCACCTGCACTTCTCCTTTGGATTCTTATCCTTATTTTAAAGAATCTCTACATAAAGTAAAACAGAACCAAGAATTAAAGCTAAAACAAACATGCTATAAACTCTTGGGTCAGGTCATCAGATTAATGGAATGTTAAAATATTTTTCATTTCTAAAAATTAAGACTTTCTTTCTGCATATTTTGTAGCCAAAACAAATTTTGAGATGAAAAATTAATGATAAAAACAAAAATAAAAGCCTTCTTTATTTATACATCTTCCTTTTTCTTCTCTTTCCTTTAACAGATTAAATTGTAATGATCAAATTAACACAGTACAGTGAATATCCTGCCATTAAGACATGATAAATCAAGGTCTGTCATATTCCTTCCAAATTTCAACTCCAAATTCTGTATCTCTTCCATAACTACACAGGTATGCAGAAACAATGCATCTGTTTAAAATATTTACAGCATGAATCTATATACCAATAGGCAATAATACAATTAACCCTTAGGAAGCACTTTGACCAGGCTTATTTATATTATTAATCCCCCATAATGACTCCCATAAGATAGGTATAATTATCTCTATGCTATAGGTGGGAACTCAGAAAGACTCACGCCTGTGGTCACCACGATCTCTGAGTTAGAAAATGGAAGAGCTAGGATTCAACTACTATATATTTTCCCTATCTTTAGGCTCTTCTATAACTCAACTGTCATGTCATCTAATCTCCCACTCTCCCGACCACAGTACCAAAATTCTAAAAGCCAAAGCTTCACCATTTTCACATACAAAAAAAAAAAACCAAAAACCAAAAAACACAAACAACAACAAAAACCCCGAACAATAACAAAGCTTCATTGCTTTCTGAGGCAGTCCTCTCCTCAAATGTACCCCAAATGAAACTTTCAATTCTCTCAACCTCAGACGGCATTGTTCAAGTCCCCTGAGCGCCATACCCCTTGAGTATATCCTATCAATACGCCTTTTTTTTTTTTTTTTTTGAGATGGAGTCTCACCCTGTCACCCAGGCTGGAGTGCAGTGGCACGATCTCGGCTCGCTGGGACTACAGGTGCACGCCACCAAGCCCGGCTAATTTTTTATATTTTTAGCAGAGACGGGGTTTCACTGTGTGAGCCAGGATGGTCTCAAACTCCTGGCCTCAGGAGATCTGCCCGCCTCAGCCTCCCAAAATGCTGGGATTACAGGTGTGAGCCACCGCGCCTGGCCCCAATATGCCTTTTAAGACAGGGCAACAGGTTTCTGGTTCCACAGATAAGGAGCTTGGAAATCACCATCCATCCTACCAACAAATAAAATGCTGAAGAGACTGAAAAACCAACAGTGCTTCCGGGATCCAAAAGACAGGGGAGAACACCAAGCAAACCACTGACCCCAAACTAGAGAGACAAACAAATAAAGGGAGCCATGGCTACAAGATCCAAGATTCACAAGCAGAAATTGCCACAGGAACCAGTGCTGAGGTAGGAAACCTGAGCTGTAACTGACAAATTGCTGGGGGCTAAGTGGTGGTCAAGTCAGAAAATTAAAAACTTTGAAAGGGACCCAGTTATAGGTGAGACCCCACACCTTTACAGATTTTATATCCAAGAGCTCAACCAGAGTCTCACAGTAAATATTGGAGAAAAATCCCCTCACACTTCCAAGAGGGTTAAAGGGAAAGGAACATTTTGAAATATGCCACAGCATTCGCTTCTTAAGGTCAGCCCTCCGGATGTAACAGTTTTACTGTGTGTGTGTGTTTTTTTCCTTGTGTGTGTGTGTGTGTATTTAACAGTTTTGCACTGTGTGTGTGTGTGTGTGTGTGTGTGTGTGTGTGTCTCTGCATTCACAGATGACTTTTTTTCTATCAGCCCTTTGAATATATTGGCCCACTGTCTCCTGGCCTCTGAAATATTTGATGAGAAATCTATTCATAATCTATTGAAGATTCTTTGTATGTGACAAATCACTTCTCTTTTGCTGCTTTCAAATTCTCTTTGTAATTTTCAAGTGTGACCGTAAGATTTCTCATTGTAGATTTCCTTGAGTTCAAGTTCATTTTAGTTGGATTTTGTTGACTTTCTTGGATATTCATGGCTTTCATCAAAATTCGGGAGTTTACACCCATTCAAATATTTTGTCTCTTTCTTCTTCTGTTACTCCCACAGTATCTATTTTGTTCTATTTGAATGTGTCCTACTCATACCCCTTAGACTCTGTTCACTTTTCAATCTGTTTTCTTTGTTCCTCAGACTCAGTAATCTTCATTTTACTATATACAAGTTTGCTGATTCTTCTGCCGGCTCAAATCTGCCCCTTTGACTCCTTTTAGTGTTTTTTATTTCAGTTATTGTACTTTTCAGCTCTAGAAATTTTTTGGTTTCTTTTTAGGTTTTCTGTCTCTTTACTGATATTTTCATATTGGTCATACATCACTTTCGTGACTTTCTCTACATCTTCCTTTAGTTCTTTGAGCATCTTTTGGATAGCTGTTTTAAAGTCTTTGTTTTGGCCAGTAGTGGTGGCTCATGCCTGTAATATCAGCACTTTGGGAGGCTGAGGCAGGCGGATCACCTGAGATCAGGAGTTTGAGACCAGCCTGGCCAACATGGCAAAACCCCATCTCTACTAAAAACACAAAAACTAGCCAGGTGTGGTGACAGGCGCCTGTAATACTAGCTACTCAGGAGGCTGAGGCACGAGACTCTCTTGAACCGGGAGGTGGAGGTTGCAGTGAGCCAAGACTGCACGACTGCACTGCAGCGTGGGTGACAGAGCAAGACTCCATCTCAAAAAAAAAAAAAAAATCTTTTTTGAATGGATCGGCCATATTGGCCATCAGGTCTTTTTCAAGGACGGTTTCTTTTGATTTGTTTTTGTTTTCTTTGAATGGCCTATATACATTTTCCTGTTTCTTCGGATATAAGACATATTCTGCCGGTGTGATTGTTGTCCAGGTAACGAAAGAGATTCCTCTTGCTTGTTACTCCCCTCTCTTTTCAGAATCCTCTCTCTCCCCATCATTTGTGTTTGTGTGCTTTTTCATTAAGAGATGGGGTCTTGCTCTGTCACCCAGGCTGGAGTAAAGTGGTATGATCATGGCTCACAGGAGCCTTGACCTCCCAGGCTCAAGCAATCCTGCCACTTCAGCCTCCAGAGTAGCTGGGACTACAGGCACATGCCACCACATATGGCTAATTATTTTTAATTTTCTCGTAGAGATGGGGTCTCACTATGTTGCCCAGGCCGGTCTCAAACTCCTGGCCTCAAGCAATCCTTCCACCTTGGCCTCCCAAAGTGCCAGGATTACACGTATGAGCTACTGCACCCAGCCACCCCATCACTTTTGAAGGATAATTTCCTAAAGTGCAGAATTCTAGATTGGTAATTTTGCTTTCTTTTTTATTCGCAATTTTGCTTTCTTTTTTATTCTCAATACTTTAAAAATTTTATTCCACTCTTTTTGCTTGCATGGTTTCTGAGGAGAAGTCAGATAAAATTCTTATCTTTGTTCCTGTATAGGTAAAGTGTGGTTTGTTAGGCTTTTTCTTCTCTTGGCTTTCAGGCTTTTTCTTATGCTTGGTTTTCTATAGTTTGAAAATGATATTCCTAAATCTAACGTTTAAGACATTTATTCTGCTTTCTGTTCTTTGGGCTTTCTGGATCTGTGGTTTGGTGTCTGACATTAATTTGGGTAAAATTTTCACTATTATTTCAAATGTTTCTTCTGTTGTTTTTTTCTTCTTCTTGTATTCCCATTACACATATTTTACACCTTTTCTAGTGGTTCCATGGTTCTGTGATAATTCTGTTCTGATGTTTTCAGTCTTCCCTCTACATGCTTTCAGTTTTGGGTGTACCTATTGATATATCCTGAAACTTAGAGATATTTTATCAACCTTGTTCAGTCTAGCAATAAGTCTATCAAAGGCACTTTTCATTTCTGTTAAAAGTGTTTTTGATCTCTAGAATTTATTTTCACTTGTTCCTTAGGATTTCTATCTCTCTACTCACATCACCACTCTATTCATGCATGCTATTTTATCCATTAGCATATTAATCAAAGTTCTTTTAAATTGCTGGTTTGATAATTTTAGTGTTCCTACCATGTTTGCTTCTAATGCTTACTGTCTCTTCAAAATCTTTTTTCCTGCCTTTTAGTATGCTTTGTAATTTTTCCTTGATAGCGGGACATGATGCATTGAGTAAAAGGAACTTCTGTAAATAGGTCTTTAGTAATATAAGGTGTAGAGTGAGGCAATGTTTCCTATAGTTTTAGGTTCTACAATCTTGTGGGCAGTGTTCTATAGTCTTATGATTAGGTCTCAGCGAATCCTTATGCCTCTATACTGTGAACTTTAAATGTGCTTCTGAGTCATAGGATGGCTAGTGTGGGCTGGAGTTGTGTATTAACCTTCCCCAAGTTCCATTATGCTCTGGTTACATCTGGAGGGCAGGCCTTGTTAAGAAGCAAATGCTGTGGCATATTTCAAAATGTTCCTTTCCCTTTAATCTTCTTGGAAGCATGAGGAGATTTTTCTCCAATATTCACTGTGAGACTCTGGTTGAGCTCTTGGATATAAAATCTGTAAAGGTGTGGGGGCTCACCTATAACTGGGTCCCCTGCAAGTTTTTAATTGTCTGACTTGACCACCACTTAGCCCCCAGCAATTTGTCAGTTACAGCTCAGGTTTTCCTACCTCAGCACTGGTTCTCGTGGCAATTTCTGCTTATGAATCCTGGATCTTATAGCCATGGCTATTTGTTTGTCTCTCTAGTTTGGGGTCAGTGGTTTGTTTGGTGTCCTCACCTGTCTTTTGGATCCCGGAAGCACTGTTGGTTTTTCAGTCTCTTCAGCATTTTATTTGTTGTTAGGATGGATGGTGATTTCCAAGCTCCTTACTTGTGCAACCAGAAACCTGTTGCCCTGTTTTAAAGGGCATATTGATAGGATATACTCAAGGGGTATGGTGCTCTGGGAACTTGAAACAATGCCATCTGAGGTTGAAAGGACTGAAAGGTTCGGGGCTGGGCGCGGTGGCTCACGCCTGTAATCCCAGCACTTTGGGAGGCAGAGGCGGGCGGATCACAAGGTCAGGAGATCGAGACCATCCTGGCTAACACGGTGAAACCCCGTCTCTACTAAAAAAATTAGCCGGGCGTGGTGGCGGGCACCTGTAGTCCCAGCTACTCGGGAGGCTGAGGCAGGAGAATGGCGTGAACCCGACAGGCGGAGCTTGCAGTGAGCAGAGATCACACCACTGCACTCCAGCCTGGGAGACAGAACGAGACTCCATCTCAAAAAAAAAAAAAAAAAGTAGAATTGAAAGGTTCATTTGGAGCAGATCTGAGGAAAGGACTGCCTTGGAAAGTGACAAAGCTTTGTTATTGTTTGACTGGGTTTTTTGGTTGTTGTGTTTTCCCTAAACTGACAGGAAAGTTAAGACATTAACAGATAAACAAAAATTAAGGGAGCTTGTTACCAGTAGACCTGACCTGCAAGAAATGGTCAATGAAGTCCTACAGGGTGAAATGAAAACACACTGTTTAAACAGTAAGTTGAAGTCATGTGAAGAAATAAAAATCTCAATAAAGGTAAATACACACACAATTATAAAGTCCAGTATTACTGTAATAATGGATTATAATTGCACTTTTTGCTTTCTACATGATTTAAAAGGCCAATACATATTTTTAAATTATTAATCTAAAAGCTAGTATTATTGAAACTTTGTTTCATAAACCCATTTTGTTCTATATAAAAAATTGATGCATTTAAAGTGATTAGTTTATGGTTTGGGGCACATAATGAATAAGGAGGTAATTCTGTGACAGCAACTGGAAAGGGTGAGGGCAGAGCTGTTAAAGAAGCAGAGCTGGCCGGCTGCAGTGGTTCACGCCTATAACCCTAGCACTTTGGGAGGCCGAGGCAGGTGGATCATTTGAGGTCAGGAGTTTGAGACCAGCCTTGCCAACATGGTCTCCACTAAAAATACCAAAATTAGCCAGGCACGGTGATGGGCACCTGTAACCCCAGCTACTCGGGAGGCTGAGGCAGGGAAATCACTTGAACACGGGAGACAGAGGTTACAGTGAGCCAAGATGGTGCCACTGCACTCCAGCCTGGGCGACAGAGCAAGACTCTGTCTCAAAAAAAAAAAAAAAAAAGAGCAAGAGTTACTGTATATTCTTGAAGCTAAGCTGGTATAAATTGACATCTGAATTTTTATAAGTTTAGGATGTTAAATGTAATGCCTATGGTATCTACAAAGAAAACAGAATACATACTAAACAAATTGAGAAAGAATGTAAACATACCACTATAAGAAAATGAACTGAACACAAAAGCCAAGAGAAATGCAGGAAATAAGGGTCAAAAAAAAAAAAAAAAAAAAAGCTTTACAACATATAGAAAACAAATAGCAAAATAACAGAAATAAATTCTTCTTCCCAGTAATGACATTCAATGTAAGTGAGTTAAACTCTCCAATCAAAAGACAGAGATTGGCAGAATGAATTAAAAAAAAGATCCATCTATGCATTGTCCATAAGATAATCACTTTAGATCCAAAGACACAAACTGATTGATAGTGGAAGGATGGAAATAGTAACCAAAAGAGAGCAGAAGTGGCTATACTAATATCAGACCAAATACACTTTAAATCAATAAAGGTTACAGGAAACAAAAAAAAACATTATATCTTAATAAAAGTTTCAACACAGTAAGAAGACACAGCAATTACAAACATTTATAGACCTAGTAACAGACCATCAAAATATATGATGCAAAAACAGAACTGAGGGAGAAATAGACAGCTCTATAATAATAGTTGGAGACTTTCATTCTCTATTATCACTTAATAGAATGGAGTATGGAAATACAGTAAAGAAACAGAGGACTTAACACAATAAACTAACTAGATCTTAGGGATATATACAGAACACATAATAACATATATAATATTCTCAAGTGCACATGGGACATTTTCCAAAACAGATCATATGTCAGGCCACAGACTAAGTCTCAAAAGATTTAAAAAGATAGACATACAAAGTATATTTTCCAACCACAATGGGATGAAGTCAGAAATCGATAAAAGACAGGAGGCTGAGGCAGGAGAATGGCGTGAACCCGGGAGGTGGAGCTGGCAGTGAGCCGAGGTTGCGCCACTGCACTCTAACCTGGGTGACAGAGCAAGACTCCATCTCAAAAAAAAAAAAAAAGACTTCGATAAAATAACTACAATGAGAAAATCCACAAAAACATGGAAATTAAACAACACACAAATAACCAACGAATCATATAAGAAATCAGAAGGGAAATTAGGAAATACTCCAGAGACAAATGAAAACAACACAACAAAAAACTTAACGGAATACAGCAAAAGTAGTATATGGGAGAAATTTATAGCTATAAATGCTTACATTAAAAAAACGAGAATGATCTGAAATTAAAAACGAAACTTTACAATTTAAGAAACTAGAAAGAGAAAAACAAACTAAACCCAAAGCCATCAGAAGCAAGGAAATAATAAAGATTAGAGCAAAGATAAAACAGAGAACACAACAACAACAACAACAACAACAAAATCAATGAAACCAAAAGTTGGTTCTTTGAAACAATCCAAAAGAGTCACAAACCTCTGGCTAGATGGACTAATTAAAAAAACAGAGAATGCTCAAATTATTAAAATCAGAAATAAAAGTGGGGACATTACTACCCACTTTACGAAAATTAAAATGATTAAGAGAGTACTCTGACCAATTCTATGTTAACAAATAGAATAACTTAGATAAAACAGACAAATTCCTAGAAACACAAAATCTACCAAGACTAACTCACACAAAAAACCAGAAAATATAAATAGACCTACAATTAGTAAAGAGATTGATTCAGTAACCAAAACTTTCCTGACATAGAAAAGCTCTTTACCTAATGGCTTCACTGGTGAGTTCTACCAAATATTTCAATAACATCAATCATTCTCATACTTCTCTAGAAAACTGAAGAGGAAGGAACACCTCCTAACTCATTCTATGAGGCCAGCATTACCCTGATACCAAGGACAGATAAAGACATCACGGTAGTCCCCTCTTATCCTCAGGAAATACATTCCAAGACCCCAGTGGTTACCTGAAACCATGGAGAGTACTGAATCCTATATATATATTATGTTTTTTCCTATACATACATATCTATGATAAAGTTCAATTTATAAACTAAGCAACAGTAAAAATTAAGAATAATAAGAACAGGCCGGGAGCAGTGGCTCATGCCTGTAATCCCAGCACTTTGGGAGGCCAAGGCGGGCAGATCCCCTGAGGTCAGGAGGTCGAGACCAGCCTGGCCAACATGGTGAATCCCCATCTCTACTAAAAATACAAAAATTAGCCAGGCGTGGCGGCAGGCACCTGTAATCCCAGCTATTCGGGAGGCTAAGGCAGGAGAATCGCTTGAACCCGGGAGGCAGAGGTTGCAGTGAGCCGTAATCGTGCCATTGCACTCCAGCCTGGGGGACAACAGCGAGACTTCATGTCAAAAAAAAAAAAAAAAGAATTATAAGAACAATTATACAATATACTTTAATAGAAGCTATATGAATATGGTCTCTCTCTCTCTTTCAAAATACCTTATTGTATGTAATATTTTCAGACCCTGGTTGACTGCGGGCAACTGAAATTGTAGAAAGCAAAACTACAGGTAAGGGCAGGTGACTGTACGAGAAAACAACTATCAACCAGTTTCACTTCTGAAAATTAACAGAAAGATTCTCAACAAATTACTAGCAAACTGAAATCAGCAGTATATTAAAAGGTTTCCACATCATGACCAAGTATGATTTATTCCTAGAATCCAAGGATGGTAAAACATGTGCAAATCAATCGCTGTATTAAACCACATTAACAGAATAAAGGTAAGCAACACATAATCATTTCAATTGAGGGAGAAAACACATTTCACAAAATTCAACAATCTTTTTTTTTTTTTTTTTTTTTTGAGACAAAGTCTTGCTCTGTCACCCAGGCTGGAGTACAGTGGTGCAATCTCAGCTCACTGCAACCTCCACCTCCCGGATTCAACAGATTCTCCTGCCTCAGCCTCCCTAGCAGCTGGGATTACAGCTGCCTGCCACCACACTCGGCTAATTTTTGTATTTTTAGAAGAGATGGGGTTTCACCATGTTGACCTGGCTGGTCACAAATTCCTGACCTCAGGTGATCCGCCCACCTCAGCCTCCCAAAGTGCTGGGATTATAGGCGTGAGCCACCGTGCCCTGCCTCAACACTCTTTCATGATTTACAAAAAGAAAACACTGAACAAACCAGGAGTAAAAGAAAACCACCTCAACGTAATAAACTACATATGTGAAACACCCACGTGAATATCATACTCAATAGTGAAAGTCTAAAAGTTTTTCCGCTAAGATAAAGAACAAGAAAAGGCTTGTGCCACTTCTAGTCAACATAGCACTGGAAGTTCTAGCCAGAGAAATTAGATAATAAAAAATAAATAAAACTATCTTTGTCCATAAGTGATTTATGATCTTTTATGTAGACAATCCTAAAGATCCCACCTCCCAAAAAATGTATTAGAATAAGTTAGGCAAAATTGCGGCATACAAAGTCAACACTCAAAAGTCAATTATATTTCTATACACTAAAAATAAACAATCTAAAATGAAAATTACAAAAACAATTCCATTTACAATAACATCAAAAAGAACATTTAGGAATTAACTTAATTGAAAGAGACATCTAATAAAAACTACAAAACACTGCTAAAAGGAATTAAAGAAGACATAAGTAAATGGAACCCAGTCCCTTGTTATTAGACTGGAAGACTTAGTATTGTTAAAATGACCATTACCCAAAACAACCTAGAGTCAATGCAAACCCTGTAACTCCAATGATGTTTCTTGCAAAAATAGAAATAGAGGAAATAAGTGAAAGTAAAACAAAAACTGTTATTTTCATGTTCTTAACTGATCTAACAAATAAATTTGTTCAAAATAATAACAGCAACAATATATTCAGTAACATATGCTTGTCTGTATGTGTACTGGTGTGTGTGTATGTATACATATATATGCACAAAATGAATAACAGCAATGATAGACGTAACAGGAGGAAGGAATTAGGATTATTTTGTTATTATAAGGTATTTTACACCCCCCGTGAAGTGGTATGCTGTGATTTGAAAGGGGACTTGGATAAACTGTGAGTATATTTCTTTTTTCATGTTTTTATTAATAGACTTTATTTTTTAGAACAGTTTTAGGTTTACAGAAAAACCGAATAGGGTACACAAATTTACTATATACTCCCTGTCCCCTTCTCTTTTTCAGTTTCCTCTAATATTAACATATTACAGGAATGCATTAGTGTGGTACATTTGTTACAACTGATAAAGCAATATTCATACATTACTATTAACGAAGTCCAGAGTTCACATTAGGGTTCACTGTTTGTGCTATACAATTCTATGGCCTTAGCAGATAAAATGTTATGTATCCACCAATATGGTAACAGACAGAATAGGTTCACTGCCCCACAAATCCGCTGTGCTCCACCCATTCACCCCTTCACAACCTTCTGGCAACCACCAATCTTTTTTTCCCCCATAGGTTATAGGTTATTGGGGTACAGGTGGTGTTTAGTTACATGAGTAAGCTCTTTGATGGTGATGTGTAAGATTTTGGTGCACCCATCCCCCAAGAGTATACACTGCACCCTATTTGTAGTCTTTTATCCCTTGCACCCCTCCAATCATTCCCCTCAAGTCCCCAAAGTCCACTGTATCATTCTTATGCCTTTGCGTACTCATAGTTTGGCTCCCACATATCAGTGAGAACATACGATATTTGGTTTTGCATTCCTGAGTTACTTCACTTCGAGTAATAGTCTCCAATCTCATCTAGGTCACTATGAATGCCGTTAATTCATTCCTTTTTATGGCTGAGTAGTATTCCATCATATATACATAGCACAATTTCTTTATCCACTCGTTGACTGATGGGCATTTGGGTTGGTCCCAAGATTTTGCAATTGTGAATGGTGCTGCTATAAACGTGTGTGCAAGTATCTTTTTCGTATGACTTCTTTTCCTCTGGGTAGCAAGCACTAATCTTTACTGCTTCCAAAGTTGTCTTTTTCCAGAATGTCTTATGGAATCATAGAGCATGATTTACAGGCAGGATTCCTCATTTAGCATTTGAAGTTCCTTTCATAAAAATTTTATTTTTTAATTGACAAAAACTGCATATATTTATGGTGTTCAACATGGTGTTTTGAAGTAAGTATATGCTGTAGAATGGCTAAAACCAGCTAATTAACATATAAGCATTACCTCACATACTTTTAATTTTCTGTGTTGAGAACAGTTAAAATCTATTCTTTTAGAGATTTTTTGAAAATACATTATTAACTACAGTCACTATGTTGTACCATAAATCTCTTTAACTTATTCCTCCCATCTAACTGAAATGTTGTATCCTTTGACAAAGATCTCCCTAGCTGCTGGTAACCACCATTCTATTCTCTACTTCCATGCACTCAGCTTTTCTGGATTCCACATATAAGTGATATCATGTGGTATTCTTTCTGTGCCTGGGCTAATTTCACTTAATACAAGATCCTCCAACCATCAATTATCTATGTTGTTCCAAATGACAGGATTTCTTCCTTTTGTAAGGCTAAATAGTATTCCATTGTTTATACATACCATATTATCTTTCTTTATCCATTGTTAGACACTTAGGTTGATTCCATATCTTGGCTCTTATGAATAATGCTGCAATGAACATGAGAATGCAGATACCTCTACTAAATAATGATTTCACTTCCTTTAGATATATACCTACTAGTGGAATTGCTGGATTGTAAAGGTAGTTTTATTTTATTTTGGTTTCTTAAGACAGAGTCTCACTCTGTCGCCCAGCCTGAACTGCAATGGTGCGATCTTGGCTCACTGCAACCTCTGCCTCCTGGGTTCAAGCGATTCTCCCACCTCAGCCTCCCAAGTAGCTGGGATTACAGGTGCCTGCCGCCACGCCTGGCTAATTTTTTGCATTTTTAGTAGAGACGGGGTTTTGCCATGTTCGCCAGGCTGGTCTCGAATTCCTGACCTCAGTTGATCCACCCGCCTTGGCCTCTCAAAGTGCTGAGATTATAGGCATTAGCCACCGTGCCCAGCTGGTGGTTTTATTTTTAATTTTCTCAGAAATGTAAATAAATATTTAAAACTCTAGGGCAAACACTAAAAAAAAGGAAAAAAGTAGACAAACACTATAAAAAGCAAAAAAAAAAGTATAAACAATCTGCTAAGAAAGGAGAGAAAATGAAATCACATTAAATGATCAGTTAAAACCAAAAAAGACAGAAAAAGAATGGAAGACAAAAATAGGAACAAGAATATAGGCAACAAAAGAAAACAACAACAAATATGGTAATATTAATTCAGCTATATCAACAATCACTTTGAATGTCACAAGTCTAAATGGACCAATTTAAAAACAGAGATTGAGTGAATCAAGAAAAAAGACCCAACTATATTTTTTCTATAAGAAACTCACATTAAATATAAAGACACATATAGATGAAAAGTAGATGGATGGAAAAAAATATACCATAACAATAATCAAAAGAAAGCAGAAGTAGCTATATTAATTTCAGACGAGCAAACTTCAAAGCAAGGAAAGTTACCAGCGATAAAAAAGGGCATTACATAACTGATAAAAGGATCAATTCTCCAAGAGGACATAACAATCATCAATGTGTTATATGTCTATCAACAGAGTGTCAAATTACATGAGGCAAAAGCTGATAGAACAGCAAGAAGAAAGAGATAAATTCACTATCATAACTGGAGACTTTGACACTGCTCTATCAGAAATGGACAGATCCAGCAGGCAGAAAACCAGTTAAGAATATAGTGGAACTCAACAATACCATCAATCAACTGGATATAACTGACATCTATAGACTACTTTATCCAACAACAGCAGAATACACATTTTTCTCAAACTCTCATGGAACGTTCACCAAGATAAATCACATTCTGGGCCACGAAACACACCGTAACAAACTTCAAATAGAAATCATACTGTGTCTATTCTCAGATCACTATGGATTTAAACCAGAAACTGGTAACAGAAAGATAACTAGAAAATCCCAAAATATGTGGAGATTAAACAACATAATTCTAAATAACTCTTGGGTCAAAGAAGGAATCTCATGAGAAATTAAAATATATTTTGAAATAAATGAAAATAAAAACAAAACTTTTCAAAATTGGTGGGATACAGTGAAAGCAGTGCTTAATGCACATATCTAAAATCAATAATCTGAGTTTCCAACTTAGGAAACTAGAAACAGAAGAAACAAATTAAATTCCAAGTAGGCAAAAGAAAATAAATAATAAAAATTAGAGCAGAAACCAAGGAATAGAAAACAAGAATACACAAAAATCAATGAAACTAAAAGCTGGTTCTTTGAAAAGACCAATAATATTGATAAGGCTCTAGCCAGGTTGGCTAGAAGAGAGAGAATAAAAACTGCCAATATCAGAAATGAAGGAGGGAAAACCACTAAGGATTCCACAGACATTAATAAGGATAATAAGGGTCCGGGTGCAGTGACTCATGCCTGAAATCCCAGCACTTTGGGAGGCCGAGGCGGGCGGATCACCTGAGTTCAGGAGTTCTAGACCAGCCTGGGCAACATGGTGAAACCCCATCTCTACAGAAAAAAAAAAAAAAAAAATTGAGCCATTCATGGTGGTGCACACCTGTAGTCTCAGCTACTAGGAGGCTGGGGTGGGAGGATCACTTGAGCCCAGGAGGCGGAGGTTACAGTGAGCTGAGATTACACTACTGCACTCCAGCCTGGGCAATAGAGCAAGAACTTGTCTCAGTGAATGAATGAATGATAACTCTATGCCCACAAATTTAATAATTTAGATGAAATGGACCAATTCCTTCAAAGACATAATATGCCAAAACTCATACAAGAAGAAACAGACTTACTGTTATTAAATAAATTAAATCAATAGTTATTAACCTTCCAAAACAGAAAGCATGAGGTCCAGATGGATTCAGTGGTGAAATGTACCAACTATTAAAGGAAGAAATTATCTATAATGTATTTTAGAGGACAGATGTAGAGGGAATATTTCCAGAATCATTCTACGAGGTCAGCAAAAAACTTGACAAAGATATTACAAGAAAACTACAAACCATTATCTCTAATGAACACAGATGCAAAAATCCTCAACAAAATATTAGCCAATCAAATCCAACAATGTATTATGCGGTGTAAAAGAATTATACGCCACAACCAAGTGGGATTTATTACAGGTATACAAGACTGGTTCAACATTTCAAAATCAATTATTGTAATCCATCACACCAACAGGCTAAAAAAGAAAGACAGATGATCATATCATAGATGCAGAAAAAGCATCTGACAAATCCAACACCCACTCATTATTTAAAAAAAAAAAAAAAAAAAAAAACCTCAGTACATGAAGAATAGAGGAACTTCAACTTGAATATCTATAAAAAATCCACAGCTCACTTCATGTTTACTGGTAAGAAACTAGCTTTCCCACTAAGATCAAGAACAAAAGCAAGGACATTTCCTCTCACCAATCCTTTCCATCACTGTACTGAAAGTCCGAGGTAATGCAATAACACAGGAAAAGGAAGTAAAGCGTATACAGATTGGGAAGGATCTATGTGATCATCTATGTAGAGGATTCGAAAGTTTCCTGGAACAAGTCATTATACCAAGTTGCAAGACAGAAGGTTAATACACAAAAGTTCATTGCTTTCCTGTAGATGAGCAATGAAAAAGTGGAATTTGAAATTAAATTCTGTATATGAGCAATACATATGAAATTAAATTCCTCTATATGAGCAATGAAAAAGTGGAATTTGAAATTAAATTCTGTATATGAGCAATGTATATGAAATTAAATTCCTGTATATGAGCAATGAAAAAGTGGAATTTGAAATTAAAAACACAGTACCATTTACATTAAAGCACCTACAAAAATAAAACAGGCATAAATCTAACTAAACATGTATAAGATCTATATGAGGAAAACTACAAAACTCTGATGACAGAAATCAAAGAACTAAGCAAATGGAGAGACAGTCCATGTTCTTGGATGTGAAGACTCAATGTTGTCAAGATACCGGTTCTTCAAATATAGACCAAGTTGGTCTATATTTTCAATCCAATCACAAAAAAAACCCCAGTAAGTTATTTCACGGATATTGACAAACTGATTCTAAAGTTTATATGGAGAAGCAAAAGACCCAGAATAGCCAACAAAATATTAAAGAACAGTCAGGTGCAGTGGCTCGCACCTGTAATCCTAGCACTTTGGAAAGCCAAGGCAGGTAGATCGCTTGAGCCCAGGAATTTGAGACCAGCCTGGGCAGCATAGCAAAACCCCATCTTTACTAAAAATACAAAAATTAGCCAGGAGTGGTGGCACACGCTTGTAGTCCCAGCTACTCGAGAGGCTGGGGCAGCAGGATCACCTGGGCCCAGGAGGCAGAGGTTGCAGTGAGCCAGGATCACACCCCTGCACTCCAGCCTGCGCAACAGAGGAAGATGCCGTCTCAAAAAATAATAATTAAAAATAAATAAGGAAGAACAAAATGGGAGGGATGAAACTATCCAACCTATAGACTTACTATAAAGCTACAGTAATCAAGACAATGTGATATTGGTGAAAGAAAAGACAAATAGATCAATGAAACAGAATAGAGAGCCCAGAAATAGACCCACATAAATATAGTCAACTGATCTTTGACAAAGGAGCAGAGGCAATACGATGGATTGAACAAATGTTGCTGGAATAACTGAATATCTACATGCAAAAAAAAAAAAAAGAATCAAGACCAGACCTTATATCTTCTAGAGGATAGCATAGGAGAAAACCTAAATTATCTTGATTAGAGCAATGGTTTTTTAGATATAGCACCAAAGACATAACCCAAGAAAGAAAGAACTGATAACCTGAACTTCACTAAAATTCAAATTGTCTACTACTCAAAGACAATGTCAAGAGGATGAGAAGAAAAACCAAAGACTGGGGGAAAATATTTGAAAAACACCCACCTGACAAAGGTCTATTATCCAAAAGAATTTGTTATACAAAGAACTCTCAAAACTAAACAATAAAAAAAAATAAACAACCCAATCAAAAAATGGGCCAAAGACCTGAACAGACACTTCATCAAAGAAGATATACAGGCTAGGCGTGGTGGCTCATGCCTATAATCCCAGCACTTTAGGAGGCCAAGGTGGGCAGATTGCCTGAGGTCAGGAGTTTGAGACCAGCCTGGCCAACATGGTGAAACCCCATCTCTACTAAAAATACAAAAAATAGCCGGGCATACTGGCAAGTGCCTGTAATCCCAGCTACTTGGGAGGCTGAGGCAGGAAGAATCACTGGAACTCAGGAGGCGGAGGTTGCAGTAAGCCTAGATAGCGCCATTGCACTCCAGCCTGGCGACAGAGACTCCGTCTCAAAAAAAAAAAAAAGAGGCTGGGCGCAGTGGCTCACGCCTGTAATCCCAGCACTTTGGGAGGCCGAGGCGGGTGGATCATGAGGTCAGGAGATCGAGACCATCCTGGCTAACAAGGTGAAACCCCGTCTCTACTAAAAATACAAAAAAATTAGCCGGGCGCGGTGGCGGGCGCCTGTAGTCCCAGCTACTCGGGAGGCTGAGGCAGGAGAATGGCGTGAACCCGGGAAGCGGAGCTTGCAGTGAGCCGAGATTGCGCCACTGCAGTCCGCAGTCCGGCCTGGGCGACAGAGCGAGACTCCGTCTCAAAAAAAAAAAAAAAAAAGCAAGAAAGAAAAGAAAAAAAGGAAAAGATATACAGATGGCAAATAAGTATATGAAAAGATGTTCCACATCATATGTCATCAGGGAAATGTCAAATTAATAAGGAGATACTGTTAAACACCTAATCAAATAACCAAAACACTTGTTTTTTGTCAGTTATAACAGCGACAAGACCAAATGCCAGGGAGGATGTGAAGCAAGAAGAATCTTCATTCATTGCTGGTAGGAATGCAAAGTGGTACAACCACTTTAGAAAACAGTTTGGCAGTTTTTTAGAAAACCAAATACACTCTTATCCTATGATCCAGCAATCAAGATCCTTGGTATTTAACCAAATGAACTGAAAATTTATGTCTACACAAAAGCCTGCATATGGATGTCTATAGTGCTTTACTCATAATTGTCAAAACCTGGAGGCAATCAATATGCCCTTCAGTAGGTGAATGGATAAACTTTGGTACAGCCAGACAACAGAATATTGTTTAGTAAAAAGTAATAAGCTAAAGGATCACAAAAAGACATGGAGAAACCTTAAATGCATATTACTCAGTGAAAGATGACAATCTGAAAAGGTTGCATACTGTATGATTCCAATTACATGACATTCTGGAAAAGGCAAAACTATGAAAACAGTAAAAAGAGTGACTGCCAGAGACTTGGGGCTGGGAGATGAATAGGCACAGCACAGAGGATTTTTGGGGCAATGAAAATACTATGTATAATAGTATAACGATGGGCATATATCATTGTGCACTTGGCCAAACCTATAGGATGTACACCACCATGAGCAAGCCCTAATGTAAACTATGACAATGGGTGAGTATAATGTGTCAATGTAAGCATCAGTTGTAACAAATGTACTCTAATGAGGGATGCTGACAATGGAAGTGTCTATGCACACGTTGGGGCAAGGGGTATATGGGACATCTCTATACCTTCCTCTCGATTTTACTGTGAACCTAAAAGTGCTCTTAAAAAAACTAAAGTCTTTTTTTAAAAAAACAGGCCAACAGGGCATCTAGAATAAATAAAATATTACAGGTATGGTCCATCAATTTCTATCAATTTAGAAATTATATTAAAGCAGCCCCAAATTTCTTTACTACTTTAGGTAGTCTGATCATTAATGACTCTTGCCTGCTTACAATCCAAGGAAAATGGTTCTTTAATTAAGACAGTACTGTTAAGCAACTATTCCCTGTGTTCTTCACATCCAAGTACTATATTCTGGTTCAATTTCACTTCTATCTGGCCAATGTTCTTTCCCATTGATGATTTCTGAATTTTGGCTCATCACCTAAAATCATCCTCATTATACTTCAGGTTTAACTCATTTGCAAAATTATTCAACGTGCTACCATTGCTCCCAAACAAGTCATTAAAATGTTTAATAGGAGGCTGGGTGCAGTGGCTCACGCCTGTAATCCCAGCATTTTGGGAGGCCGAGGCAGGCGGATCACCTGAGGTCGGGAGTTCAAGACCAGACTGACCAACATGGAGAAACCCTGTCTCTACTAAAAATACAAAATTGGCCAGGCGTGGTGGTGCATGCCTGTAATCCCAACTACTTAGAAGACTGAGGCAGGAGAATTGCTTGAACCCGGGGGGTGGAGGTTACGGTGAGCCGAGATCGCGCCATTGCACTCCAGCCTGGGCAACAAGAGTGAAACTCTGTCTAAAAAAAAAAAAAAAAAAAAATGTTTAATAGGAGAAGAGGGACCCTGAAACCTTTCTTGGAGGTCTCTGTCCCATGTACCATCCATGCTTTCACCAGCCTCCTTGGAATAAAACTAGTACATTAGTTATAAAGCTTGCCTACCCATACAATTATTACTGTGCCATTTCATCATATTATCCTCAAGTGTGTCAGACTTCTTCAGAAGAATAATATTCTTCTTATGGATATGTATTACATAAATTGCACTACCCTGATCTACAAGTCCAATAAACCTATCAAGAAAGGCACAGTGAGGTGTCTCATGCTTGTACTCCCAGCACTCTGGGAGGCCGAGCAGGTAGATCCCTTGAGTCCAGAAATTCAAGATCAGCCTCGGCAACATGGTGAAACCCCATCTCTACATAAAATACAAAAAATGAGCTGGGTGTGTGGCACATGCCTATAGTCCCAGCTTCTTGGAGGGCTGAGGTAGGAGAACTGCTTGAGCTTGAGAAGTCAAGACTGCAGTGAGCCAAGATTGTGCCACTGCACTCCAGCCTCAGTGACAAAGCAAGACCCTGTCTCAAAAAGGAACAAAAAGAAACAAAAAACCCAAAGAAAGAAGCAATGAAAGGAAAAAAAAGTCTATCATGACTTGTTCTTAACAAAATCCATGCTGGCTTATAATGATCACTACTTTTCTTAGTGCTCCATCAAGAGGGGTAAACGCTGTAGTGTGAAGAAGAGAATTTGACTCTAATTTAACTATAAGGACAATAATAGAGGAGTTTCATATACTCAGGTGATGAAAACAGGAATACGAGATTAGGAAGAGTTCCAAAGCCAATAATATAAAGGTAATAGTTATTGTCAACATTTCTTATAATTCCAATTGGTACCAGTATGGCCTGCGAAAATAAATTTCAGATTTAATTTCAGTTATTAAAATTTATCTGTTAGGTTTCTTATACATCTAAATAAATCTCAGTTCCTTAAGCAGATGTTTTTAATCTGAACATTCTAAATAAAAATACAACAGTTCTGGTGGAATAGTAACTGCTAGGCAGATCACATGTGAAGCTATATTGGCCTTATTTTCTACAATGTGTTTCAGAGCTGGAAGAGACCCAGAGTAGACAACAAAGGCTTCCTTTTATAGATGAGGACACTGACCAAGATCACAAAGCCACCTTCTGGCATGGGTGGGCATAGAAATTAGATCTACTCAGCTGCTATTGATAATGCTTCACAAAACCATGATGTCATAGAGAACAATAAGAACAAAACACTTTCTTACCAACTGCACTTCACCAAAAGCACCTCTTCCAATAACTTTTACAACATCATAGTCTTCTGCCTTCATCTGTAGACCTCTGATTTTTTTCACAATTTTCTCATCTACCATAAAAAGATCACCATACTTATAATATCAATCATATTTATATTTTTACATAATCAACATTTATAAATATATTTTTGTTTCAAGAAAAGACAGTTTTTAGCTAAACTTGCCAGTTTTTAAAGGCTGTTAGTTAAAAATCTAAGATATACATTAACGTTAAAGAACCAAAACTCTCTATGGTTTATTAACACATATAAATGAACACCACTGACTGCCAAAAAGTAGCAGTTACAGCTATTCTGTTTCTGATTCTGTTGCTTAGCAAGTTAGATGATAGCTGACACAGTGATGACCCAAGCAATCCTGGTGTGCACTCTGAATCATGGCAGAAAGTTGCCATGAAATTACTTGCAAGGCTAATCTTAGTAATGAATTTTGATGGCCTACTTCTCTGAAAAGTGGTAATCATACTATATAAATAGTAACTATAGATAAGATTGTTTAATTGGGAAAATACCTCAGTCTCTGCCAATTTCAAAGTAAAGAGCTTACTGTGATGATACAATGTATACATTAATTGTTTTGAGAATTTCTTATTCTTGGAATTCAATTTCACTTACTTCTGCATTGCAACATTAATAATGGCAAAGATTAAGGGTTACCACACATATGGTAATAATAGTTACATTATTTATTATTAACTAGTCTGAAATGTCCACAATTACAGAAGTATAAAGCTTATTAATTCTCTGGGCAATATTAAGTCTTGGAATTGTAAATATTAATTTAAAACTTCTCTTCAAACTGCTATAAATAACCTGTCCTAAAATAGTCTTAATAATGTATTTCAAAATTTAGAACTTTATCTGCTTTGCATATTGTAATTCGGTTCTGCAATTGCTTTAAAAATAAAAGTAACAATTTTTGAATAAATCAAATGGTAAGCAAAAGACTTAAGTTTAATAAATAAGTTGATTAAATTAATAAATTTATAGGCTGATAATAACCAAACAAAAATCTCTTATCAAAAGTAGAGTTATAAGATCAAATATGAAGTTTAAACATACTTACATCTATTTAAGAAATTATCTATGTTCTTGTTTTTCCTCAAAGCAGGAAAATCTAAATCAAGGACCAAGGAATTTAAGCCATCCTGTTAAGAAATAAAAAGAGGAAATGACAGTTTTTACAATTTCCAAGCATTCATTTAAAAAAGTCTTTTAATTTTATTTATGTCATTTTCACCAGGAAAATGCCAACCCACTTTGATATGATAGTGTCCATAAGTTCCATATCCAACAGCTTTAACTGGTTTCCTAACCTCTGTCAGAGAATATTAGGACTGCCCCTATCATGTTTTCCTGTGTTCTTTCGGCCAATGGAAAAATGTAATTTCAAAACATGTATCTATTATTATTTTTGCTAGACAGATGTCTTCTTTTCTCTCTTCAAATGGCCAAATTTCATCAGGTTTTGACTTCAAGAAATACAGCTACACTAAGTTCCCTCTCATTAAACCTGCATTAATGTTGTGCCTAGTGCAGATTAAGAAGAGAAAATCCAAAAATAAATAACACCATCCTTACCCTCTGGGAGCTCAGTCTCAAAACTAAATTTCCTCTTAAAACAACAACAAAAGGATGATGCATTGTCTGGATTTCTATTTTTTCTTTACATTTCTGTATTTCCCATATTTTCTACAGTGAACATGCATTAAAACAGAAAAAAACTATATACACATAATGGTGGAGGTGAAAAAAACTCACCAGAAAGTAATTAAGTCTCAGATTACTCAATGGAAATGCTTGTGAAGGTAGCACGATTTCTAAAACACTATCACATACATTGTCTCAACGCCAAGTAACTCTGTGGAAGGTAGGAGGAAACATCCTCAATTTAAAGACGAAGAAACAAATTAAGGCACAGAGAAATTACATGACTTTGATTTCCTCAGGGTCATGATGTTAGGAAATGACAGTAGCAGCATACAACCTAAATCTTAGGAGGTCCAATAGACTTAACTCATCCCTCTAGTCTCAATGATCAGACTGACACCCTGCTAAAAGAAACAATGGGAGCCTGGGAGGGTAAACAGGGAAGCTAGAGGATTGCAGAAAACGAAACAGCAGTAAAAATAAACCTTTAGGGGACTTGGATAGGGGGAAAACATGGGGAAAATTACACAGAAAATTTAGAAAGGTAATCCAGGTGGGTGTGGCAGCACACACCTGTAATCCCAGCTACTTGGGAGGCTAAGGCAGGAGGATCACTTGAGCCCAGGAGTTCCAGACCAACGTGGGCAACACAGTGACACCCTGTCTCTGAAAAAAAATTTTTCTTTAGAAAGGTAATTAATCTACTAATCCTAGAATAACTGTACATACTATGCTTGCCACTCAGTTATAGTTCATATTTTTAATTTTCATTCACTAAAAAATGTTAACACTTTGTGAAAATATTATTTAATAACAGAAAGGGGCAAAGGTGTTAAGAGTAAACTATTAACATTTTTAATAACAAAATGATTTATATCCCACTGATATCTAATACAGATACAAAGCAATCTTCATTCTCTTCAACTAAAAGAAAAAAATACATTTTAAAAAATCCAACTTCCAGGTAAGCTGGGATTGTTAAATTCACACATTGAGACATACCCTCCCACACACATACACATAAACAACATCACACACACACTCCTCCAAAACAGCTGGACTACTTTTCAAGGATTCTAACATTTGAGCATATTAGGCTATTTTTAAGTACCAAATCAATGTATCTTTATTAGTATAATTTTGATATTTCAGTAAGTTTAAAATGTAAAATCTGAATCATTTATATTTTAGATGTATCTAGACTTATACTCTGTATTACAATTTCAAATCAAAGAAAAGTATATTCATATGGAAAGCATTCTTCCATGCTTCCATTTACCTCCACGAGAAGAAAAAGAAGAAAAATATAAATTGACAAGGAAAAGGCTTCTATTGCAACAGTAAATCTTCCTCAGAGATTTTTCAAACAGATAGAATATTAACACTTCATACTGAAATAAAAGTAACTCTGCATTAAAATCTCCATTTACACATAAGACAAGAGAAGCCTTTCTTTGAAGCAACACTACAACTTGACATTAATAAAAGAATGAAATCCTTGCTCCCCCGTATCTTCCCCAAAAGTTCTCTCCAAGAGATGGGATTATGTGAAGATTAACTAATCTGGAAAGTTTATAAATATTTTCCCATAAGATTCCCCAGTAGAATAGGGTCAGAGAGCTTTTTCAGCATTTGGAACATCTGAACATTTGCTCAACTCAACCATCTTGTTTATAAAACCATTTTTTAAAGACCAAACACTATCACAATTAGGCACTATTATTTTTACGTAGCATCAATTTTTAATGATACTATGATACTTTAATGTAGGTTGATAACATATACATTTATAAACTTACATTCTTACTTGAGGCCTTTACGTTTATAATTTTTACAATCAAAATTTATTCTACTTAGTATCACCTTTTAAGAAAAAAATTCTGAATTGTTTTCAGATAACAGTGTTTTAAGTATATGAAATTAATACTGAGATCCAGTCACTGGGCAAGCTGAGTTAGCTCAGGACTTGATTGAAAGCCCATGTCTGTGACCTTCCTTGTTATGCAGTTTCAAATAAACTTTCATAAGTTTTAAGTGTCAGTGATTTCAACTGTGATTATTTTCTTTAAGTGACCCTAAACCAGACACAGTGGCACACCCCTGTAATCCCAGCTACTCGGGAAGCTGAAGTGGGAGGACTGCTTGAGCCCAGGAGTTCAAGAGCAGCCTGGGCAACACAGCAAGACCCCATCTCATTTTTTTTAAAAATGATACTAAAACTGAGATAAAGAAATGCTAAAAAGAAATACAAATAAATTCAGGAAAAGACTACAACCAAAATTTTAAAGCAATGAAGAAAACGATCTGCCTGTTTCCAACCGTACAGAAATGACAGGAGAACATTTGAAAATGACAGCCCCACTGAGACTAAACAAAACACTACCACCAATAACTGACCAGAAAGAAAAATGCCAAGCAATGGGTACGTGCTAAAAGTCACAGAGGTCTATTGGATTTCAGGTCAGAAAGCAGCAAGATCAATGACTGATAATTAAAAGGGCCTAAATGAGGTGAGGAGTTAAAACCAGACTGATTACGAGAAAATCAGTACCCGGAGTGAAAATCCCCACTCCTAAAATAAGACACTGGAGGGAAAAACAACAACAACATCTTATTGCCCAAGTTTCATATGAATCTGCATCACTAGATAGGTCAGACACAGCTTTCAATCAAGCCTTGGTCTATGCCCCCGGCTAGCCCAGTTACATCTCTAAGGTTACCAGCTGAGAAACGTGAATTAGCTCCAATGCAGAAACTAACTTAGGTTGTCTATATGCAAAAAGCATGAGAGAAAGGCAGGGAGAAAAATGTGTTATCCTACTGTATTTTTTAAAAAAACATGTATAAGCCAAACACCCAGTTTCCCCTACTATAATTATTATGAGGGAAAAAATACATATACATAAAATGGTCTATTTTTCTAACTTTTCCTGAACACAGAGCCTTTTATACTTCAGTTGTCAAGAAATGAAGTATTGAACTTGATTTCACTTTCACTGTACACTGCTTCTTAGTATCTTATTGTTGTTGGCCAGGTGCAGTGGCTCATGCCTGTAATCCCAGCACTTTGGGAGGCCGAGGCGGGCGCATCGCCTGAGGCCACGAGTTCGAGACCATCCTGGCTAACACGGTGAAACCCCATCTCTACCAAAAATACAAAAATTAGCCGCGCGTGGTGGCGCAAGCCTGTGATCCCAGCTACTCGAGAGGCTGAGACAGGAGAATCGCTTGAACCCAGGGGGCGGAAGTTGCAGCGAGCGGAGGATCGCGCCACTGCACTCCAGCCTGAGCGACAGACCAAGACTCTGTCTTAAAAAAAAAACTAATTGTTGTTAAACATCCAAATAAAATGCTTCAAAAAAATAAAAATAAAAGGAGATTGGAAATACTCTGCCAACCTGGAAAGTCTAAATTGATAAGCAATATGATGGAGATACCCTCTTAGGAATTTCAATTGCTAAATGAGGCACAAATTATCCTTTAGCTGAAAATTTTATACATTTATGAGTTGTCAGCACATATGTAGTATTTAAAGCTATAAAACTGGGTAAGATCACCAGAGGACTGATTATAGATAAACAGAAAAGAATCAAGTACAGAGTCCTGGGATGCATCAATATTAAGAAACAAGGGAGAAGAGGGGACTAAAAAGGAACAACCATTTTTTTGAGGAGGGAAATCAAGACCATCATGGCATCTTAGAAGCCAGATGAAGAGTGCAGGAAGAGGGACAGAATGATAGACAAATGACAGACTATGATAGTTAATCTGACTGGTAAATCAACCTTATTGAGGACTGTGAATTTAGTAACTCAGAGGTTAGCAGTAACTTTTCTAAAGGCTATTTGGATTACAAGTTTATTATTTCTAAATCACTGTTCACCACTTTCTTAGTACTACTATTTTAAATACCGTATTAAAAAAAAAGTCCATATTCATAGACTGTAAATAATACCTAGCATTCAGCATGACCACAAATTATGTCTTATTCTTTACAGCCTACCTACCAAAAACTTTAACTACATTATACAGGTTAATACAGCATATATTATTAACAGGGACCTTTCTTGATTACTTTGCACCATGTATTGTGCAAAGCACTATACATGCATTTAACATTTTATTCCTCACAGCATATAAGTTAATACTATTGTCATACCTACATTAGTAGGCACAGAAACTGAAGCTTAAAGGTTAAAAGGTTAAAAAATGTGTCCAAGCCAGAATAGCTTATATGTAACAGAATTAAAATTTTATGATGCTCTTATAAACAATATTGAACTTAAAAGTTAATAAAATAATAAACTTAATTAGTAAAATTATTCCTCTAAAAGAATACTAAATAACAAACAAGTTTTAAAGTCAAGACAACCAAAGAAACAGTTAGTTACAGAGCATAGGAAGCATATTTCTGTGTATCTGCTGTACAGATTAGTGACCAGGAAATGTTATTTAAATGAATTTGTAACACATTTCCTCTGTTTGCTATTTCAACTCCAAACACAAATACATAACTAAAATAGTTGATATGGTTTGGATTTTTGTGTCCCTGTCCAAATCTCATGTCAAATTGTAATCCCCAATGTTGGAGGAGGGGCTTGGTGGGAGGTGATTGGATCACAGGGTAAGACTTTTCCCTGTTGTCATGATAGTGAGTGAGTACTCAGGAGATCTGGTTTAGAAGTGTGTAGCACCTCCCCCTTCTCCCTCTTCCTCCTTTCCCAGCCATGTAAGATATGCCTGCTTCCCTTTGCTTTCTGTCATGATTATAAGTTTCCTGAGGCCTCTCCAGCCACGCTTCCTGTACAGCCTAGGGAACTGTGAGTCAGTTAAACCTCTTTTCTTTATAAATTACCCAGTCTCAGGGTAATGAGCCAACAAATACACAGATGTGTTTTATAAAGAGATAATAAAGTAAAGGAAGTCTAGAAGTTAAGAAACCTGGGTTACATCATCACGGTTCTGCCATTTAGTGGCAACTTAAATTGAGGACGGCTAAGTCAACTTAATTGAGGACTGAGAATTTAGCAACTCAGAGGTTAGCAGTAACTTTGAGGAGAAAAACTTAATAGAGGAAAAGATAAAATTGTGTGACCCTACACAAGTAATTTCACCCAACTTCTAGGGCCCTCGTTTGTAAAAAAGAGTTCATAGCCTATAAAATCATTCTGGTGAGCAGTTCTTTAAAAATTGGCTATTTAAATAGTTAAAGCAAGGCCTGGCATAGGGAAAGAAACTTTCCTAGGGCAAAAGACAGGAGCAATAGGAATGTTTTTATGACTTTTCCTTGAGCCTCAGGCTCTAACATGGCTCAGCATGGCAAGATAGGACCAGTATTATTAATTTTTCCTTTTTGCCTCACATGCCAATATGGCTTGGCACAGTACTCTTCCTGATTTTGCCTTTCTTTAAAATTTTGAGTTTGATATTCTGTTCATAGTGAGTCTTTGCATTAATTTTTAAAATATTACATTAAAATATCTTGATTACTGTGGCTTTTTAGGGTTCTCCCTCAAATTTTGTTCCAAGTGCCTGAATGGCTTCACCCTAACCTCAGCCGTGGTCCTAAAAAGAGAATGAACCTTTACAATGAGAGAGGCATTAACGATAGCATATTCTGATTTTAAAAGAACGTACGGGCCAGGCGCGGTGGCTCACACCTGTAATCCCAGCACTCTGGGAGGCCGAGGCGGGAGGATCGTGAGGTCAGGAGATCGAGACCATCCTGGCTAACACAGTGAAACTTGTCTCTACTAAAAATACAAAAAATTAGCCAGGCATGGTGGCGGGCGCCTGTAGTCCCAGCTACTTGGAAGGCTGAGGCAGGAGAATGGCGTGAACCCGGGAGGTGGAGCTTGCAGTGAGCCGAGATCGTGCCACTGCACTCCAGCCTGGGTGACAGAGTGAGACTCCCGTCTCAAAAAAAAATTTAAAAAAAAGTAAGACAAAGAGAGAGAGAAAGAAAAGAAAGGAAAGAAAGGAAAGAGCAAAAAATCACATTATTGATTTGATCAAGGTTTTAGAAGAATTAAATGTAAAGTTGGTAATTGTTCTAATGGTGATAGTGCTCTGTGCTGATAATAAAGCAGCTGCTATTGCAGAGTTCTTGGATAGACATGATGCCAAACACTTTATATAACATCTCCTTATTTAATTTTCCTAACAGACTGTGGAATTATATGGTGTTAATTATATGGTGTTAATTATATGGTGGAATTATATGGTGTTAATTATACAGTCTTAATATCACCATATTTTTTAGTTGAAATTTGGCTTGGAGAACTTAAACCATTTCCCAGAACTGCACAGCTTAGAAGCATTAAGGTTGGTATTGGGCCCAATGCTGCTTTGAATAATTATTGGTATTTTTTAAATTAAATTCTGATTTTTTTCTTCTAAAATATTAAGTTGATGGGAAGATATGAATCAAATTGCATTCATAATGTAATACATTGTTTTATTATTTTATTTGTGTAATACATAATGTAACATATTGTTTAGAAACACATGAATAAAATTAAGATCAAATTATATTTGTATTACTATTTTTCTTTTTTGAGACAGAGCCTTGCTCTGTTGCCCAGGCTGGAGTGCAGTGCCATGATGTCAGCTCACCGCAACCTCCACCTCCACCTCCTCCTCCACCTCAAGTGATTCTTGTGTCTCAGCCTCCAGAGGAGCTGGGACTACAGGCGCATACCACTATGCCCGGCTACTTTTTTGTATTTTTAGTAGAGACGGGGTTTCATCATGTTGCCCAGGTTGGTCTCGAACTCCTGAACTCAGGTGATCCACCCGCCTTGGCCTCCCAAAGTGCTAGGATTACAGGTGTGAGCCACTGTGCCCAGCCTGCATTACTAGATTTCTTATGGCTTATAAATCAACAATTTTATCTTTTCCTCTATTAAAAAAAGCTTCTCTCCTCAAAAATTACATACAATGTTACCTGAAACTCCCTATAAAACAGAAAACAGGCAATTTACACACCTATTATAAAATATTAGAAAAAGTAATGCATCATCTGACTGAATCCTATTCTTAATTTAATATTGGTATTCAACTGAGAAACTACTGGCCAGATAAAATTAGAGTTGTTATTCTGATTGTAGGCAAGTTAGACTTTTTAAAAAGTATTTTCCATATTTGAAACTTGTACAGTTAAGTATCACAGATAGACTTTAGGGCAAAAAAAAAAAATCTCATCCAGGATATAACACATACATGCAAGAAAAATACCCCCAAAAGGCCTGCTGGTTTTATGTTTTATTAATTTTCCTATTTGGTGCTCACAGTACACAGAATAATTATATGGCTTCAATATTTTGATATTCATAATATCGTTCAGCAGCAGTACTTTAAATACACTGATGGCAGGATCTGTTTATATAGTGCTCCATTACAGATACTCCAGGGAAGACCAGACTACCTTAAGAGAAGGCCTGGCATGATGGCTCACGCCTGTAATCCCAACTATTTGGGAGGCCAAGGAGGGTGGATCACCTGAGGTCAGGAGTTTGACACCTGCCTGGCCAACATGGTGAAACCCCGTCTCTACTAAAAATACAAAGATTAGCCAGGCGTGGTGGTACACGCCTGTAATCCCAGCTACTTGGAAGGCCGAGGCAGGACAATCACTTAAACCCAAGAGGCGGAGCTTGCAGTGAGCCGAGATCGCGCCACTGCACTCCAGCCTGGGTGACAGAGCGAGATTCCATCTCAAAAAACAAAAGAGAGAGAGAGAGAGAGAGAGAGGAGAGAGAGAGAGAGGAGAGAGAGAGAGAGAGAGAGAGAGAGAGAGAGAGAGAGAGAGAGAAAACAAAGGGTCTCAAAGCAGAATAACCTACACTTCATGGACATTTTGGAGCTGAAGGGGCAAGATGGTGGAGGAACAACTTTTCCTATAAAGTCTATCTAGTAACTAAGAATGCTGGAGATGACAATGGCCAACTAAATTACAAAGCAACATTTGTCTGTAAAATATTTGTGGATATACAGTTAAGTAGATAGATAGCTAAGCTACTCTGAATATAGAGCTATTCCAGTATTTCTTAAATTTTGAAAAGATACAACAAACAGATAAAGTTTTGTTTATTAGAAGGTAAAACAGTTTGGTCATATTCACACTTAATGACAAGAAACAGTCTTCCCAGCCTGTTTCTAGTCAATTGTCAATTAAATAAACAGAACCTTCTTTTTCATTTATAACAAGAAGTTTGTCTATATGGTTTCCACCCCTAAGAACCTAAATATAGAAAATTATTTTTCTACAATTGTGAAGTTAAATTTCTGCTTCATCTCCAAACAATATCACTCAATAAATGTTAGCTATTATTACCACTATTTTCAATATCACCTAAATACACACTATGCATTTAAAGATTACGTAATTTAGGATATGGAGAGTTGGAAGGTTTTTACACTTTAACGTCTAAACCTATTAGCACATTTTTTATACTAACAGAACCAAAAACAGTTCCATCACTAACATAATGTGTTCCATAAAGAAAATTATTTTACTCCTTTAAATCTCATTTTTGACATCTATGCAATACAACATTTAAGTCTCAGGGCTAGTGTGACAACTAATGAAAGACTGTGATGCCAAATGAAACAAAGGTTAGGTACTAGTCACTGTAACTCCTTTTGTTATGAATGTACTTATGTTTTAATCAATTTTAAAAGCTCTTTCACTGCCAAGTAATTTTCAGTCTTATTTTAAGTTTATACAGCTTAACATTTTATTTAAGACAGTTAAAATCTGGGAAAGATTAGATATAACACAAAAGTGCTTGGAGCAACATTATTTATAATAGCAAGAAACTCAAAGCAACCTAAAAATCTGGAACAGAAAAACTAAGTAAATTTTACTAAAGCTTGTCAAAGTTATATTAACCAATCATTAAAAATAGTTGTTACAAAGACTAGGTAGGAATTAGTATTTTTAAAAAATTAATGTTTAAAAAGTGCAGAATAAAAATTAAATGTATAATAATTCTACTTAAGGGAATTATGTATATGAAATTTTTGAATGGAAAGCAAAAAATACAATAACTATCATACCATGATGAAATTATATCATTTTATTCTTTTCCTAAGTTTTTTGTGGTGAAATTTGTATTAATAACTCATAATAAAATATAGCAAATCTAAGTAAACAAGATCTAAGGTATTACAGAAGACAGTCTTAATACATTTAGACCTTTTAAAAAATTACTCATTTATTATCTATAGCTCCATATCTCTACTAAAACAGATGCTATTTTAAATCCCAATGCATTTCACTATTCGCCGCCTCCTATAAGTCATATGTTGTTTTTTTTTCTCTCTCTTCTCTGAACTGGGATCTTAACAGGGATTAATAGGTTAATTTGAGAAAAACTAACTTTTTTTTCCCATCCAAGAACAAGGTAGGTCTCTCCATCTATTTCTTTCAGCAAAGTGATAAACACATCTATTCTAAATACATGTTGTTAAGTCTATATGCTAAGTATTTTACCTTTTTGTGGCTATTACCACATTATATTAGGTCAGCCATGTGGAGGACACAGAGCTCTCTGAGTACCTTTATGAACAAAATTTTTTCAAGTTTCTGATAGAAATGTTCAAAATATCCCATTTCTTTCTAATTAATGATGTTTAAACATACATTAGGTAATTAAAAGCAAATGTAATTTCCCTAAAACTGTTAAAAACTTGTACATAAAAATAAAAATTTCATGAAAAACATAGGTGGGGTGGTGATTAGAAGGTCAGGATAAGGGGACATTCTGGAAAATTCTGTTTCTTGACCTAGCTGCTGATTATATGGGTTCTCAGATTGTAAAAATTTATCAAGCTGTATACATACAATGTACATACTTTTCTGTGAGGGTATATATAGACATATATTTACAAAGAATGTTTTGGGTGCATTGGATAATAATGAACTTACTGACAACATAAAAATAGCACAGGAGGCCAGGCACAGTGGCCTGTAATCCCAACACTTTGGGAGGCCGTGGCAGGCAAATTACCTGAGGTCAGGAGTTCGAGACCAGCCTGACCAACATTGTGAAACCCTGTCTCCACTAAAAATACAAAAATTAGCCGGGCATGGTGGTGCTAGCCTATAGTCCCAGCTACTTGGGAGGCTGAGGCAGGAGCATCACTTGAGCCTGGGAGGCAGAGGCTGCAGTGAGCCAAGATCGTGCCACTCCACTCCAGCCTGAACAACAGAGTGAGACTCCATCTCAAAAAAAAAAAAAAAAAAAAAAACCACACACAGGGGCAAATGAACTTTAAAACCTGTTTGCCATCATTGTGCTTAGACATTTTCACATACCTTTTCTAATATATTGTATCTTCTCAATCAGGGAGGACATATGAGTAGGAAACTCATCCTCAAGTCTGCTACATTTCAATGAAAACTTTTTATTACAGAGACTTATCCTCCAAACACTTTCAAAGCTTATTTGTGTTCAAAGTGCTGGGAGGGAGCAGGTTATGAGAAGTCACACGACTTTATACTTTGGATCCCATCTTCCAAAAGATGTTTCTCATAACCCTTAAAAACAAGTCAGCAATTTTGAGTGAGAAGAGGAGAGCTGCCCTGCTGGAGAATCTGAGATGGAATTAAAGGAATTTCAAACACAAAACTATCTTTCCCTATTGTCAGAATTTGATATATCACTATAGTTATTATAAATATGTTTTAAAACTACAGAGATTTAAAAATCTCATTTTATATTCCACATTAAAAAATCGCTGGAGGCCGGGCACGGTGGCTCACACCTGTAATCACAGCACTTTGGGAGACCCAGGCGGGCAGATCATGAAGTCAGGAGTTTGAGGCCAGCCTGACCAACATGGCTAAACTCTGTCTCTACTAAAAAAAAAAAATACAAAAATTAGCCGGGTGTGGTGGCACGCACCTGTAATCCCAGCTACTCAGGAGGCTGAGGCAGGAGAATCGCTTGAACCTGGGAGGCGGAGGTTGCAGTGAGCCGAGATTGCACCACTGCACTCCAGCCTGGGCGACAGAGCAAGACTCCATCTCAAAAAAAAAAAAAAATCACTGGAAATACCCCAAGATCAAATCATTATACCCACAGACATCATCTTCAATTTTCCAGTCAAATATTAATCAAATCTAAACAATGAACTTTTTAAGGCACAACCAAGTACTTTTATAAAAAACCAAGTTCACATGAAAAATCAAAGGGCAAAAATGTGTGCCCACAGATCACATTAGGAAATTAACATTTACTGAGTTCATACTATGTGCAAAAGAAAGTCACTCGCTCATTCAATTCTCGTAAAAGTTCCACTAGAAAAAAAAAAATGGAGAAGTGTTTTGAGGCAGAGCCACTTAGGGATACAGCAGAGGCAGAAGCTGCAACCAGGAGCAGGTCTTTCTGCTATTCATATAACTACCACTAAGAACCACGAAAGAACACAGCAAGAAGAAAATAGTTGTTGATGGTTGTTTTAAAGGACGCACGCTTCTCTTTTCTTCTTCTAACTACATTTGTAACTATGCAGAACGAGTAGCCAACCTAATTTTCATGGAAAAGTAAAAATGTTCTTCTCAACAGAAACCAGAGAAGCAAGGCACAACTCATCCTTACCCAGGAGGCAACAGTTCTTTCATACCTCTCAGGAAACTTTTTTAAGTAAACACTTTTTAAAAATCAGAAAACATTTTAACAACCTTTTAAATATCTATCCTGTCTCTCTTTTGTCCACTCTATGTGCCCTCCCCTATAAAGAATGATGAGCAAGTCTCGGAAAGCGAATCTAATTCACAGTTTTTGGGGTCTATTTCATATTTTGGTAGCCTATAAATCCTTATTTGTCAGAGAAAAGGTCCCATTGATGAAACAATTTGATAACTAATAGGTAAATCTACAGTTTCTAAAGGCTAATTACCAACTAGACCATTTCATCCATAAATCTGCATATTGCTCCTTCATTTCTGGCAATAACAGCACCTTAAGTAGGAATAATAATTTATCAACCAATTTAGATACACATTAGCAACTATGGTTTTTTTGGGTTTTTCTGAGACGGAGTTTCGCTCTTGTTGCCCAGGCTAGAGTGCAATGACGTGATCTCAGCTCAATGCAATCTCCGCCCTCCCAGGTTCAAGAGATTCTCCTGCCTCAGCCTCCCAACTAGCTGGGATTACAGGCACCCGCCACCACGCCTGGCTTATTTTTGTACTTTTAGTAGAGATGGGTTTTCACCATGTTGACTAGGCTGGTCTCGAACTCCAGACCTCAGGTGATCCACCTGCCTTGGCCTCCCAAAGTGCTGGGATTACAGGCATGAGCCACCACACCCGGCCAACAACTATGGTTTAAAAGAAATACAAAATTACTCAAAGACACAACCTAAATTGCCACAAATAGCCATAATTTTTCTTACACTCAAAATGGAAAGGCAATAAAGTCAACAAAAATCTAGACTTTATTCTTTGAACCATCTTGTAGGCTTAATAACCCTGTTTCTACAAAATAGTACACTGTGATCCAGTACCCTTATTTCCAAGTATCCACCAGATACCCAAAAGACCCAAGAAGTCTCCTAAGTTGAGTGGACCTACTCAATGAGAGTGTAAAATGATCTACTAAGGTGCAAAAAAAAAAGTTGTATCATTGGTGAGCAGAATTAGAAAGTGAGTATTGTGATTTAGTAACTACAGCCACTAACGTATTATGCTTCTTCCATTTGTATCTATACCTCCTTGTGAAATTTCAGGAGGAAAAAAAACTTATGATAGTTCTCAAAACCTGGTAGCAAAATAAACTGAACTTAGAACCTAATCTTCAAATCACTGCAACAACATTAAACAAAAATTGTAAAAAGCAATAAAGCATATGTCATTTAGTGGGGAAAGAAAAAGTTTGTACCATTAATAAAGTAATATTTATAACAATCTTATGTTTATAAAATTATACTTTAAAAACTCCTCTTTTATGTATATTTTGTAATTTACATGTTTTAATACTATAGTCCATGTATACAAATTATAAATAAAATATATTTGGAGATATTCTCAAAAATTTTTCAATGATGGGATACAAGATTAAAACTTCAGAGGTCATAAATTCCTTAAAGGTAAGGAATTTTTTATCTTCCTTAAAGGTAAAAACTTATTTTCTATATTCCAGTCATAGTGTATATACTCAAAAAACTGTTGTGTAAATAGCCAGCATCTTAGTATCAACATAACCAAAATTAAATTAGGCATCTTCTCATTCAAATCTTACCTACTCTGCTGGGCGCGGTGGCTCATGGCTGTAATCCCAGCACTTTGGGAGGCTGAGGCAGGCAGATCACCTGATGTCAGGGGTTTGAGACTAGCCTGGCCTACATGGTGAAACCCCATCTCTACTAAAAATACAAAAAATTAGCCAAGCGTGGTGGCAGGTGCCTGTAATTTCAGCTACTTGGGAGGCTGAGGGAGGAGAATCGCTTGAACCTGGGAGGTAGAGGTTGCAGTGGGCCAAGATCGCGCCATTGCACTCCAGCCTGGGCAACAAGAGTGAAACGCCGCCTCAAAAAAAAAAAAAAAAAAATCTTACCTACTCTACATCTAATAAGCAACGCCATTCTATGTAAGTCAGGTTTAGAATTCCTTTCCCTTGCCCCTTACTTCAAGTCATTCCCTCTGTATAAGTCATTCTGAGACGGAGTTTCGCTCAGCCTCCCAACTAGCTGGGATTACAGGCACCCACCACCACGCCCTGCTTATTTTTGTACTTTTAGTAGAGATGGGTTTTCACCATGTTGACTAGGCTGGTCTCGAATTCCAGACCACAGGTGATCCACCTGCCTTGGCCTCCCAAAGTGCTGGGATTACAGGCGTGAGCCACCACGCCCGGCCAGCAACTATGGTTTAAAAGAAATAACAAAATTTCTCCATTATGGTTTCAGATTCACATTATTTCTTACCTACTAACTTGTTTCCCTGCCTCTAATCTCCCTCTGCTCCAGTACATCTCCATTCTACTGCTGAGTAATCTTTCTGAAACATAAAGCTATACATTTCATGCTCTTCTTAATATTCAAATTTGTTGGGGTGGGGTGTTTTTTTGTTGTTGTTTTTTTTTTCTTTTGAGACGGAGTCTCACTCTGTCGCCCAGGCTGGAGTGCAGTGGTATGGTCTGGCTCATTGCAACCTCCGCAAGTGATTCTCTTCCCTCAGCCTCCCAAGTAGCTGGGATTACAGGCACCCCTAACATTATTCCATACCTTCCAAATGCCTAGAAAATCAAGTCTAAACTAGCATTTGGAATACTTTGCCCCATCGACCTTCTCCAATCTGACTTCCCACTATTTACGACCCTTCTTTCACATTTGCTCTAGATTTGTATTGTCCCATAGAGAAGGCACTAGTTACATCTGGCTACCAAGCACCTGAAATGTGGTTAGCTTGAACTGAGATGCTCTGGTAAATGTAAAATACACATTGGATTTCAAAGACTTAGTACTAATAAGAATATGAAATAACTGTTTTAATAACTCGTTAATAATTTTAAAATATTGATTACATGTTAAAATAATACTTTGTTATACTGGGTTAAATGAAATATTTATTGAAATTAATTTCATCTGTTTCCCTCCACCTTTTAAAATGAGGCTCCTGGGAAATTTTAAATTATATATGTGGCTCACATTATATATCTATTGAACAGTATCCACTGGAAAGTTTGGACCACCCAAACTTTCACCTTTCACCTTGGTCTTTCTACTTCCATCACTTTCCTCACAGTCTTTCACCACAGAACATTCAACACTCATTCATTTGCTGAGGGGTAGCCATGTACCAAGGCTGAGTGCTAAGCATTAAAATAAAAAAATTAAAAAGTTAAAGTTCTTCAGTCATGTCTACTTGTTCAAATTTTTATCTATTCTTCAAAGATTAGTTCAGATAAAACTTATTTCTGTGAAATCTTCAGGATCCTCCAGGATAAAAATCTCTCCTTCCTAACTCCTACACATTACATGTTCTTCAAAGAAGATGTCACTTTGTCCTTATAAAAGTTATTTTTGTACACAGCTTATCTCACATCTATTAGCTGTAAATTCCTCAAGTGCAGAATTCTTCAAATCTTGCTTCTTACCTCACTGAGAACTTGTACAAGCCTTCATCACCAAATCTATCCACGTTCCTGCATCTGTGCCCACACATTTTACTTTCTTTCCTGCTATTATGGATGTACAGTCCTAGCTACAGCTAATCCCTCCACCTACACACTAAATCTCCCATTCCCTCTTGCTCATTAACACCACAACAGCAATTCTCCCATGATCTCTTCATTTCTTCTCGCCGCCTTCTCTACTTGATTACTGCCATTGGCATGGAAACATGTTGTTATTTCTCTTACCCTTAAGAAAAAATCCCTTGACCCTACCTCCCATACAGCTGCCATTTCAATCTTTTTCTTTACAGAAAAATTTCTTGGAAGAAATACCTATTCTAGCTGTCTTAAGTTTTTCTCCTCCCATTCCCTTTACAATTCACTACAATCAGATCTCCCCCGACTAACAGCCATCATCACACTCCTAAACTTTTCTTTTCAAGCTTATCAGTGACCTACATGTTGCTAATCCAATGATCATGTCTCAGTTCACATCTTACTTGACCTATAAACATCTTTAGACAGTCCTTCACTATTTTTTTCAAAATAACAGGTCAAAGTTTGGTCAGGACTGCCTTGCCCTATTATTTTCAAAAACTTGAAAACTTTTTCTACTTTGCTTTGATGAAAACCCATTTAAATCGTTTATCACATATTTCTCTGGTTGCCCTTTCTTAGTATACTTTATTGGTTTTCTCCTGTCTTTGGGCCTCCTCTCTCAAATTCACTCACTCCCTCGAACTCCATCTTGTCTTGCGTCTTTAAATATGTGCTGATGGCTCCTAAATTCATTATCTCTATTCCAACTAAAATCCTGAATTCAAGACCCATATATCTATTTGCTATTCATCAGCTTTTTCTGAATGTCTAGTAAGTATTTCAAACAATAATGTCCAAAACTATGCCCTACCCCTTCCTTTTCCTACTACAACCACTTCCCTCCTTCAGTCTTTCACATCTCCATTCATGCCAATTCCATCCTTGCAAATACTGAGGCCAATAATGTTAATATTCAAATCTGACTGCTTTTTCTCTCAAGAGCCCAAATCCTAACACTTACAAATCTGGTCAAGACTGCCTTCAAAATGAATCCAGAACTCCACCAGATTTCACCACCTTTACAAATCACCAACATTTTGCTGGAATCATTGCAAATGTCTACCATTAGGTCTTCTTGCTTCCAACTTTGCCTTCTCTCTCTTCTTAGAATATTTTCAATGGAACTCAGAGAATGATGCTGTCACTCCTCTGTTCAAAACCTCCAACGGCTTCCCATTTCATTGAGAGTAAAGCACAATTCCCAGCCTTTGAGTCTATCATCTGCTCGCATCCACCTAGTTATTAACTCTCAAACCTCACCTCCCATTACTTTCTGTCTCACTCACTGTGCTTCTGCCACACTGGCCTTCTAAACGTTTCGAAATCACAACCGGTACCCTACACAAGAAGTAGGAATGGTGTAGGAAGGTAGCTCAGTGGCAGACAGGGCACTAACAAGTAGGGAAAACTGAGCAGCACCACAGTTTTACAGGGTTGGGAGACTGACTAAATATGAGGAATTCAGCCAATTAGTTACTATGTAATAACCGAACTAGGCTCATACTAATGATAGAATAAATACAAATATGGGGGAGGAGGGTTGGGCACACTACAATGAACTCATGGTGTTGAGCTGGAACTAGATTGTATCAATATGAATTAACAGATTTCATTATATAAAAGATACAGGGGGCCAGGTGTGGTGGCTCATGCCTGTAATCCCAACACTTTGGGAGGCTGAGGAGGGTGGAACAACTGAGGTCAGGAGTTCGAGACCAGCCTGGCCAGCATGGCGAAACCCTGTCTTTACTAAAAATACAAAAATTAGCTGGGCATGGTGGCGCACGCCTGTAGTCCCAACTACTCGGGAGGCTGAGACAAGAGAATTGCTTGAACCCGGGAGGCAGAAGTTGCAGTGAGCAGAGATCATGCCACTACACTCCAGCCCGGACAACAGAGCGAGACTCCGTCTCAAAAATAAAGTTAAAAAAAATAAAGATGGATATAGAAATATAGATGTAGATAAATGTCTGTGTGGGTGTACACACACACACACACACACACACACACACACACTTACGTGCATGCACATGCTTCCTGGATGTGACCACTGAAAGGGCCTGGTGTACAATAGATACTCCCATAGCAATGAGCTCATCTAGCACTCAGATCTTGGTTTTAAAATACTACTCTTCACTAAAAGGAACTAGGGCTCCTTGCAGAAATAGCTGATTCTAAGGCTGGAGTAGGAAAATGATAAGATGAGCTTGTAGCATCTTGTGCCAAAAAGGAAGGAAGTGCACAGGTGATAAAATGGCATAGAGCTATACATACACAATGTATCAATGTCAATGTCCTCGTTTTGAGAATAAACTATAGTTATGTAAGATATAAACACTATGGGAAATGGGGTACACAGGACCATTCTGTACTATTTTTGCAAAGTTACTGTGAATTTATAATTATTTCAAGAAAAAAGTTTAAAAATAAGTAAAGAAGTGTACAAGGACTGATGGTGACTTGTCAAGAGGACACATAAGCCAGTATGAAAGGGCTCCCAGTGGCAAATCTGGAACAATTTCTACAAAATAAATGGCTTGTAATCATCAAAACTGTCAAGAGCATGAGAGTCAAGACTGGGGAACTGTTCCAGATTGAAAGAGATTCGAGAGCCATGAGAGTTGGATGAATATATGATCCTGGGTCAGATTCTTTTGCTATGAAGAACATTATTTGGACAGTTGACAAATCAAATGTTTTGTGTATGCAGTAAGTTTATAAAATTGTTTCAAAATAAGAAGTTTTTTAAAAACCACAAAAGGCATGTTCCTGACTCAGGGACTTTGGACTCACTATTTCCTTCTGTCAGAAAAGCTCACACCCATATAACTGCACCAGTTGGTGGTAGCTCTCCACCAAGTCTTCACTTAAAAGTAACCTTTTCTGGGAGAACTTATTATAATATGTAAACTTTAAAAGTTCTATATTTCGCATTATCTTTGTTTTACCTTCTTTCTCCTTACCACTTATCACTATCCTACAAACAATTAAATTATTATCTAGCTCCTTATTAAAATGCAAACTGATAGGCAGGAATATTTTATCTGCTTTGTTCACTGCCTAAACCAGTGGTTGGCATGCCGTAGTTACTAAATATTCATTAAATGACTGAGTGTACATAAAATCCTTTAAACACAAGGGATTTAAGAATCAATTGCAAAATAAGTTCACTTTCTCAATCAAAGCAAAGGAATACAGAAACAGGTAAAAGAACTCCGCTGTTAACTTGATAGCTCCGGGATATCATTTCAACAAATATGTCTACAGCATAAATGGATGAGCTAATGTCCTTGCCCAAAGGAGCTTAGTGAACAAACCTATTTCCATCAGCAAGCAAAGCCATAATACTGCAGCCAGCTAATACAGCAAGAAAATACCTACCAACACCATGTGGGAAATACAGTATAAACAATCCAAATGCTGACAGAGAGGAATTAACTATAGCAGACCTGCTTGAAAAATATGGGAAGATACAGAAAGCAGGTTTTCTTGGGGGAAAAAAGAATGACGCCAAACTAATATTCTAATAAAGTCAGTGGTATAAACCAAAAGACATATGTAACTGAGGTCTCGATATTTCATTACCACGTTTCCTTGAAAAACTACCGAGGCTATAATTACACTAACAACAATGGTTTCAATTAATTTACAGTATTATAAAACGTACTGAATGGTTTGTACTTTAAAAAGTATAATTCAAAAATCTAAAGATGATCTTATGGTTTCTACACATGAAGTAGTCAAATCAGTAGCATCCCATTTTATAAATACTTTTTTCTCCTGTGTACCAGGTAATGAAGCTGACCTTCCTTTCTTGCATAATTGTCACCAAAATGACAGAAAACATTATCTTTTTGTTTATTTGTTTCTGAGACGGAGTCTCACTCTGTCACCAGGCTGGAGTGCAGTGGTGCGATCTCAGCTCACTGCAACCTCCGCCTCCCAGGTTCAAGCAATTCTCCTGCCTCAGCCTCCCGAGTAGCTGGGACTACAGGCGCATGCCACCACACCCAGCTAATTTTTGTATTTTTGGTAGAGATGGAGTTTCACCATGATGTCCAGGATGGTCTCGATCTCTTGACCTCGTGATCCGCCCGCCTCAGCCTCCCCAAGTGCTGGTATTACAGGCGTTAGCCACCGCACCCAGCCAGAAAACATTATCTTAAAGAGACTTCTAAATAACAAATATATCTGAATCTAAACCAACACTTCTGAAAATGAAACATACCAAAAAGACTGTATATAGTCAGCCCTCCATATCCACGGTTTCTGAATCCACTGATTCAACAATCAGAACTGAAAATATTCAGGAAAAAAACCAACAGATTGTTGCATATGTACTGAACATACACAGACTTTTTTCCTTGTCATTAGTCCCTAAACAATACAATATAACAACTATCGGCGAAAAATGGGCTTGGGCGGCTCCTCGGTGGGTGGCGGTGGTGGCCGTAGCGGTCCTCCTGGCCCTGTTAATGTCAGGGCCAGGCCTGGGAAGGATGGCGCCCTAGAACCCGGCCTTGCTGGGGTAGGGGCAGGAGGGGACGGGGTGGGGACCAGCCATGTCAGAGGTGACCCGGAGTCTGCTGCAGCGCTGGGGCGCCAGTTTTAGGAGAGGCGCCGACTGCGACTCTTGGGGCCAGCTGGTGGAGGCGATAGACAAGTATCAGATATTAGCAAGACATCTACAAAAAGAGGCCCAAGCTCAACACAATAATTCTGAATTCACAGAAGAAAGAAAACCACAGGCAAAATTGCAACATGCTTAGAATTGCGAAGTACAGCTTTACAGTCCACACAGTCTCAAGAAGAATTTAAATTGGAGAACCTGAAGAAGCTAGAACCAATCCTAAAGAATATTCTTACATATAATAAAGAATTCCCATTTGATGTTTAGCCTGTCCCATTAAGAAGAATTTTGGCACCTGGTGAAGAAGAGAATTTGGAATCTGAAGAAGATGAAGAAGAGGGTGGTGCTGGAGCAGGGTCTCCTGATTCTTTTCCTGCTAGAGTTCCCGGTACTTTCTTACCAAGGTTGCCACTGGAACCAGGAATGACATTACTCACTATCAGAATTGAGAAAACTGGTTTGAAAGATGCTGGGCAGTGCATCAATCCCTATATTACAGTTAGTGTAAAGGATCTGAATGGCATAGACTTAACTCCTGTGCAAGATACTCCTGTGGCTTCAAGAAAAGAAGATACATATGTTCATTTTAATGTGGACATTGAGCTCCAGAAGCATGTTGAAAAATTAACCAAAGGTGCAGCTATCTTCTTTGAATTCAAACACTACAAGCCTAAAAAAAGGTTTACCAGCACCAAGTGTTTTGCTTTCATGGAGATGGATGAAATTAAACTTGGGCCAAATGTAATAGAACTATACAAGAAACCCACTGACTTTAAAAGAAAGCAATTGCAATTATTGACCAAGAAACCACTTTATCTTCATCTACATCAAACTTTGCACAAGGAATGATCCTGACATGATGAACCTGGAACTTCTGTGAATTTTACCACTCAGTAGAAACCATCATAGCTCTGTGTAGCGTATTCACCCTTCAACAGGCAGGAAGCAAGCCGTACCCAGACCAGTAGGCCGGAGGGAGTCCAATGCAAAGCTGTACCACAAAATTCAAAGTCCAGCACATCACTGATGTATAGGACTCCTTTGGATACAGGTTTATTGTAGCTTTTGAAACATGTTTTACTTTCTATTAAAAAAAAAAAAACTACCGGCATAGTATTTACATTGTATTAGGCATTATAAGTAATCTAGAAATGATTTAAAGTATACAGGAGGATGGGCACACGTTATATGAAAACACTACACCATTTTATATAAGGGACTTGAGCAAGGATGGATTTTGGTATCCTCTAGAGGTCCTAGAACCAGTCTCCCACAGACTTCGAGGAATGACTGTATATGTACGCGTGTGTGCATATGCAGTATACACAAAATAAAGATGGTTTGATTTAATTGAGCTTATACACGACTCCCACCCATCTTACAACCTAACTGGTTCTTTGATAATGACTGAAATTTAAATTTGTAAATAAAATTTGAATTTCCAATAGAAACAGTATTGCAAATTAGGGTTCTATACCTAGAAAGTTATTTCAGTCCCCATCTCCACCAAAAAATTGTTTTAAAAATCACAAAAATGAGTATATGAAATATAAAAATGTAGTTTAATGTTCCTAATATGAAACCAATCAATTACTGTATTACATCAGCTGGACTTGGTGGCTCATGTCCGTAATCCCAGCACTTTGGGAAGCTAAGGCAGGAAGACCACTTGAGCTCAGGAGTTTGAGACCAGTCTGGGAAATGTGATGAAACCCTGTCTCTACAAAATATACAAAAATTAGCCGGGCATGGTGGCGTTATGCCTGTAGTCCCAGCTACTCAGGAGGCTGAGGTGGGAAGACGGTTTGAGCCCTGGAGGCAAAAGTTGGAGTGAGCCAAGATCATGCCACATCACTCCAGCCTGCCCTGTCTCCAAAAAAAACAAAAAAAAGAAAAGAAATGAAAGAAAAAAAAGAGCTATGTCAAAATTTTTCTTTGAGAGATTTCTATGAATGGACTGAACTAATTATAAAATTACGTAAAATAAAAGTCAAACCAACATGGCCTAAAGATACTTTCTTTTCCTGGTAAATATCCCTGTAATAAATACTGTGTATTTCATTTCTGTTTTTAATTTAGCCCATGTTATGGTAATCTGATCCTAAAGTTTGGTGAGTTTTTTTAAGGGAAGTAGCTTGACTGCATTTGTGTCACCTGGTGTTAGCACTGATTACAACCTCACGGAATACTAAATGAGTTCTGGCCATCACTGTAAAGTCTTATTTACAATTTTTAAAAAAAAGGTTAAAGCAGAGTTGGGTTCAAAGTCAAGCAGTTTTAAATGGGTGATTCCTACAATTAACATGCCTAATCACATGGCTTAGAATTGATGAAAGATATTGCCACATTATTGTGACATATACTGCAATACTGAGAGAATTCCTGGCGTACACAACTCATTGACTCGTAGATAAATTCCGAATATGAACAGCAAATAACCAGATTGCAGAACGGTTACCAAATGGCAAACAAAATCATCACAAAATATTCTATTTTTTGATAATTCCTGAGAATGCAAAATAATATTTTATATCCTGGCATGCTCAACATTACTTACTACAAATCCACGCTCTGCAAAATTCACAAAAATATAAGCTCAATTCATAAAATTCATAAAAATAAAAGCTCAATTGAAGAAAGAATCATAGGTTGTATATACAACCTATGTCTGTTATATAACACACACTGACCACAACAGTGATTTACAATTTTAAGTTACACTAAATTACTTAATTTTCCAGAATTTTGATCCATATAAATGATACACATTTATTCTCATCTACTCTTATTCTTGTAATAAAGCAAGGAAGATTTCACCTCTGTGAGAAAAATGTATCTATGACTCAAGTTTCATTTAGGACAACAGTTTTGTCCTGTCTCTGAGCCACAGCCTGCATCCTAGATTTCACCAGTAATATAGATGACATTCTGATCTCTAACTTACTTCTCCAACTCTCAACTAGCTATGAAATCAGCATGAGAGTAATTATAATATATCAAGCCCCTGAAATTCTACTATCTAGTACAGTGAAACACTTTTTAAAAAAACAAACAATTCTTAGACAATCTGGAGATTTCTATCTCTACCAATGATAGACTAATTTGATAGAGCCAATCTTATTAATGAGGAAAAGCTTTAAAGGCCAAACGAATTTATTTTTAAAAATCTACTCAAGTCCTGGAGAGCCCCCAAAGCAGTAAAGATTTGAAACCAAAATCCTTGAGGTGGCAGGGTGGTGGGTGGAGAAAGAAGTGAACCTAAAGTTGACTACAAAGTTGCAGCTCTGAAGTTGAGAAGCCTAAGAGAGCTTCTAGCATTCTTGCAGAGTAGGGAACACAAAAATTAGAGTTCTGGACTTACGAAGAAGAAAAAGTCCAGGGTTTTTAATGGAGTCTACTAAAGGGCTATATCCTAGAAGTAATAAGGAAAAATAAAAACTAGACCAACCCTCAAAAGATTAAAAATCTGCCTCAAATCAGTTCAATTACTGAATAGATTAAGGTAGTCTGCCTCAACAGTAACTGCCAGAAGAAAACGTAAATCCTCCTGAAGACAATGTTACCTAATTCTATGCAATTTTTTCACATGCAATGCCCAGCAGTCAAACATTAGCAGCCATACCAGATGATAAAACTAAAATATCATAAAATCGAGAGAAAGCGCACACGCGCGTGCACACACACACACACACACCCCTATAGGAGATCCAGAAACTTAACATAAACTTCAAAATCACTGCTATTAATATGTTTGAGATATCAAGACGGGGGATTTCAACAGAGAACTTGAAGAATATCCAGAATTATCTAGAAAGGCTATTACTATCCCCCTCCCTTTTCCAACTACAAATATGTACAATGATGATTTTTCCTCATTTACTTCAACAAATACAACATATCACAACTGATGACATGAAGAAGCAGATGAGAATCCAGCCGTCGTTTCATACTAAAGTCAGACACTAAAGATTTGCAAAATTACAGAGCAATGCCACTCTTCTCACTAAACTTTTTGTATTGAAAAACATATTTTTCATTAAGTACTACATAGGTGAAATTAAATGGCTTTATTACAGTTATTCTCAATAAATTAACAAATTCATATTTTAAAATTTTCTCAGTTTTTAGCATATACTTTATATTCTTTTAAACTCTAAGCTTCGTTTTAAAAAGGAGCTTTATTAAGGTAAAACTGACGTACAATAAAAGCACACATTTAAAGTGTACAATTTGATAAGTTTTGTCAATATGTATACATCCATAAAATCATCACCACAGTCACTATAATGAACATAGCCATCAACCCACAAAGTTTCCTGTACTCCTTAAAAATCCCCCTCTCCTGCCCCTCTTCAAAAGCCCCCACTTTCTCCAAGCAACGAATGATTTGTTTTCCTATCACTATAAATTACTTTGAAGTTTATATAATTAATGTAAATGAAATCAAATAGTATGTGCTCTTTATTGGACTGGTTCTTTCATTCAGTATAATTCTGAGATTCATCTTTTTTCCATGTATTAATAATGCATTTGTTATTGCTGAGAATAGATGTTCCTCAACTTATGTTGGGGTTTTGTCCCTAAAACCTGTATACAAATGTTTTTAGCAGCTTTATAATTGCCAAAAACTGGAGGGAACCAATATTGCTTCAATAGGTAAATGATAAACTGTGGTATATGGAATATTATTCAGCAATAAAAAGAAATGAATCATACAGCCACAAAAAAGACATGAACGAAACTTAAATGCATATTTCTACGTGAAAGAAACCATTCTGAAAAGCCTACGCACTGGACAATTCCATTTATATGACATTCTGGAAAAGGCAAAACTAGAGATAGCAAAAAGCTCAGTGGTTGGAGGCAACAAGAGGAAAAAGAAAGGAGGATGATGAAGTGGAGCACGGGGGAGTTTTAGGACAGTAAAACTCTTTTGTATGATACTGTAACTGTGGATACTTGATATTACACATCTGTCAAAACCCAAACAAATGTACAGCAAAGAATGAACCCTAAAGAAAACTATGTACTTCAGTTAATAATAATGTATCAACATTGGTTCATTAACTGTATGTAACAAGTGTACCACACTAAGGTACGATGTTAATAACAGAAACGGAAGGGGATGGAGTAGCTGTTACATGGGACCTCTGTACCATCTGCTTAATTTTCTGTAAACCTACAACTGTTCTAGTCTATTAACTATTAACTAAAGACAAATTAAAACTAACAAGAAAGACTCTGACCAGCAGTGAATAAATGGGACAAATTTACACTCTTCTACAGCAGATGCTACCATATTTAAAATATTTTTGGGTTTTATAAGAATAAAATTATCTCTTATTGATGTTTTAATTTTTATATTTTTAAATCCTGAGCATTATTTTTGTCGTTTGCATTTCTTTGGTGAATTGTCTAAATCCTGGTACCATGTTTCTATTGATATTTGAGGTTTTATGGTGAATTTGTATAACCTCTTTATGTTAAAAATAATAGTGCTGTGTCTGCCTTTTGGGGCATATGGTTTTCCTCAGTTTTTTTCTCTCTCTTTTAACTTCTCGTTTAGTTTTGTTCACTTTCAGTAAATAAAAACTACATTATGATTGTTTTCATATCTATTATGTTTAGATCAGACGGGAATTTGTACAGTTTCATTTTGTTTATGGTTTCTCACTTTACCTTTATCCTCTTTGATTATCTGGAGTTTATTTTGGTGCATGTTATAAAGAGAGAAAATAACCTAATTTTTCCTCTCAAATATTTAAACAACTTTTAAAAGCATTTTTTACAAATATAAATTTTTACTTTGTCCTTATTATAAAAACATTTAACACTAACTGAAGAAATGTCAGAAGTACAGGAAAAAATTACAGCATTTTTCCTAGAATCTGCATAAATATATATAAGAACACTCTTTGATACTCAGATGTAAAGAAAGTGACTCAAAAATCCTTTGGTAGGGGTAATGGATAAATAATTTATCCAAGCAATGGAATATTAAAAGCTATTAAAAATAAGGTAGATTTAAATGTATTACTATAGAACTATGATAAATGAATAAAGCATTTATAATGATACCAGAAAAACTATTTGCAGTCAACAATTTGTATTTCACAGTAATAGTAATGTTCTCCTCATAGTCTAATGTAGCATCTAAAAACATTACTATGAATGTTTTCTAATTTGCTGCTCTCTTTATACCAATTTTGACTGACATACGTCCTTTGTCTGTATGTTCTTTAAAGAAACTGACTGCATTGCACATGCTGTTTAGTTACTATTATTCACTAAAACACAGTACTGTTAAAGGTATTTAAAATAGTGTTTAGGAATAGTTTAGAACTTCATTTACATTTATTGGTACCAACATATTACAATTTCCAACATATACCATATTTACATGAATAAGGTTTCGTATCTGCCACATTTTACATGCAAAACCCAGTAAGTTTAGGAAAAAAACCCCAACTATACATATCCTCAAATTTGCTTTTCATAGTTCCTTTTAGAACACTGTTGAAATCAACTTATACAAGCTACAAAGCTGTATCATAACTAAATGTGGCCAGTATCTCAGCACCCATGATTCACTGTTTTGCATTTGCCACTAAAGATGTTCTTCAAATAGCTAAACCATATTGTGGTATGTGATAAAGCCAGGCAAATATGATGCTTAAATATAGATGTCCTTGAAAATTATTCATCTCTTTAAATAGCATATCCAAAAACTTTCTCCTGTGAAAAGAGCTGCAAAAAAGGAAAAATGTATATTACAAATGAGACTATAATCCCTAAAGGAATGTGTCCAAAAAGCTGAATTATTACTTTATTAAAATGTGCATATTCTTATCCATAAGCAAAACCTATGAAAATGAAAAATCCAATTATCTAAGTTCAATTTGTCAAACAAGTATCTATATATCAGACACAATGATATAAACTGAGGATAAAAATATCACTAAAATAACTTTATAACCTTTCTCAATGCAAAAAAGACCTAAGACAAGTAATCAAGGCATGGTCCTTGCACTCAAGTGGCTTATACTCTAGTATAAGACACAAACTTAACAAATAATTACCAAAAAAAGTAAAACAATTATTCTGAAGTTAGAGATGTACCCTTGTAATCTATGTTACAAAACAAAGAGCACCATTACACAGAACACAATGTCCAACAACAAGGAATGGTTAAGCAATTATAACCACTGAATTCAATACTGCAGTGTATGCTTCAGAGTGTTTTGTTGTTGTTGTTGTTTTACAGTATCATATAGAAACTCTTATGCTACAATGTTAGGGGAACAAAATGGAAATAAACTATGAGATGAATTCCCAACAGTTTAAAATTTTTTTAATTAAATTATGAATAAAACTAGTAAAAAAAAACAGTAAATTATCTGAGTCGGCATAATATAAGTTTTAATTGTTTACTCTTTACATTTTCCAGTTTTCTGTAATACATCTGTTACTCTTATAATCAGGAATATAATAAACTTCTAAAAACATATCCATAATTTTTTTCTGGCAAATCATTTAACAACAAGCAAAGTCCTATTTGTCTGTTAAATAGGCAGCACTGTAAAAGACTTCAAAACATAGTGAAAAAACTCATCAGAATGTAGACTGGTAAGCAAGGCAAGCTTCACAGGGATTAAAGATTTCACTTTTTTGAACAACCTCAGCCAGAAATTAAAGCCATAAGTACATTATTAAATTACATATATCTAAAATAGAGTTGTACCAGGGGCCTTCTTCAGTCCACATTCTGATTATTAAGTATACTCAACAGAACACTGCAAACGTTCTATAAAGCTGTGCTGTCCGAGATGGTAGCCACTAGCCACATGTAGCTACTAAGCACTTGAAACAAGGCTAGCACAACTGAGGAACGGAATTTATGTTGTTTTGATTAGTTTAATTAATTTAGCCATATGTAGCTAATGGCTATTATACTGGAAAGAGAAGTATTTGGATATACCCTAAGAAAGCTCTCTTTAAAAGAACTACTCAATACAACTACCCTCAACTGGTAGCACTCCAACTTGAGAAGTTGGAAAATGGGTAACTATTGTAAAGGCAAAAGAGGCAAAATAAATAAATAGATATAAATAAATACTACGTATATCCAGTATCAGAGGTGGGTGGAAGAGGAGGTGATGGATAGGCCTTAGAGACCAAGAAAATTCAGAATGTATACAACACTTGTATATGTAACATTACTAATTTTAAATGTTTTTCCTTGTTAAATTTACATCCATACTTTGTCAATTACTAAAGTCAAAAACCATGTCAGGTTTATATAACAATAAAGGTAGCATTAACAAGTTCTACAGCATAGAGAATATATTAACAGCTGAGAATGGCAAATTATTCCATAGTATTTAATTTCATGTACTCCAAAAAAGGAAAGACTCAACAAACTAAAAGGTTACATAAACAAAGACTTAATTCTCAGTAGTTCTGGCATGTGTCTCTTCTACCAGTGAATTTCTCTTTCAGGTATGCAGTCTTCATCTCAGTTAAGAGGTAACAGGTAGAACAGGTCTGGAACATGCAGGCTTTAAAAATATTTTGCCATAACAGATTACAAAAAGTAAATTTCTTTAAGACGTAAACATTTTATGCGACCATGTATTTTAAGTAATTATTGACATGCTTAGGTTCCTACGATATGGTATGTCTGTCCTCTGACTGCTAATAAGTCATTCTAGAACAAAAAGAGAGGGCTAAAACAAAATAGTAAGTGAATGAAAACTAAAAATGCATCAAAATTTCTCAGTGAATTAAGAGACTTAGAATAGACTAGAAGGGTCAAATGGTTTTCCTCAGATCCTAAGTGTGGTCGTTTAAAGCTAACCATACATAAACCAAACCTTTAATTGATGGAGGATACCAGCACAGTTAAGAAGCTTAATAGTTTGAGACCTTCTTCAGACTAAACTCTCATCTATGGTATATAACATAAGGTTAAATTATCATGAGTCCAGAGTTTATGGTGGTGTTCAACTTTACAGATTCAGGAAAGCTTAACTTTTCCTGCGAATGAGGCCACAGAAATGATGCAAGTAACTAAAAGACATGTAACTTATGTCAACATGATAAGAAACAAAAGAAATAAGTGGCCTGAAATAATAAATTTAGTCACTTTTACAGGGCATCTCCTAAATAGATTAATTTACCAATCAGAAGATACTCAGAGATAAAAATTTAAAGCAAAGGAGTTAGAAAAGCATGGGTTAGTGAAAAAAGTATGTGATTTGGAATCAGACGAACTTGAAATTGAATATTAACTCTACCAACGCAACTGTTACATAACTTCTCTAAACCTCATAGCATCAATAAAACAGAGATAATAACATAACTTTGCAGCATTGTTATGAAAAGGAAATAAAGGACATAAAATGTCTGTAAAACACCAGGCATATACATAAACAGCTATTAACTTCAAAAAGCTATTTTTTAAAGCCGCCCTGATCTACACATTTATATATATATATATATATATATATATATATATATATTTTTTTTTTTTTTTAATTATACTTTAAGTTCTAGGGTACATGTGCACAACGTGCAGGCTTGTTACATATGTATACATGTGCCATGTTCGTGTGCTGCACCCATTAACTCGTCATTTACATTAGGTATATCTCCTAATGCTATCCCTCCCCGCTCCCCCAACCCCACAACAGGCCCCGGTGTGTGATGTTCCCCTTCCTGTGTCCAAGTGTTCTCATTGTTCAATTCTCACCTACGAGTGAGAATATGCGGTGTTTGGTTTTTTGTCCTTGTGATAGTTTGCTCAGAATGATGGTTCCCAGCTTCATCCATGTCCCTGCAAAGGACATGAACTCATCCTTTCTTATGGCTGCATTGTATTCCATAAAAGTATACCACATTTTCTTAATCCAGTCTATCATTGTTGGACATTTGGGTTGGTTCCAAGTCTTTGCTATTGTGAATAGTGCCGCAATAAACATACGTGTGCATGTGTCTTTACAGCAGCATGATGTATAATCCTTTGGGTATATACCCACTAATGGGATGGCTGGGTCAAATGGTATCTCTAGTTCTAGATCCCTGAGGAATTGCCACACTGTCTTCCACAATGGTTGAACTAGTTTACAGTCCCACCAACAGTGTAAAAGTATTCCTATTTCTCCACATCCTCTCCAGCACCTGCTGTTTCCTGACTTTTTAATGATAGCCATTCTAACTGGTGTGAGATGGTATCTCATTGTGGTTTTGATTTGCATTTCTCTGATGGCCAGTGATGATGAGCATTTTTTCATGTGTCTGTTGGCTGCATAAATGTCTTCTTTTGAGAAGTGTCTGTTCATGTCCTTTGCCCACTTTTTGATGGGGTTGTTTTTTTCTTGTAAATTTGAGTTCTTTGTAGATTCTGGATATTAGCCCTTTGTCAGATGAGTAGATTGCAAAAATTTTCTCCCATTCTATAGGTTGCCTGTTCTGATGGTAGTTTCTTTTGCTGTGCAGAAGCTCTTTAGTTTAATTAGATCCCATGTGTCAATTCTGGCTTTTGTTGCCATTCCTTTTGGTGTTTTAGACATGAAGTCCTTGCCCATGCCTATCTCCTGAATGGTATTGCCTAGGTTTTCTTCTAGGGTTTTTACGGTTTTAAATGACTAACATTTAAGTCTTTAATCCATCTTGAATTAATTTTTGTATAAGGTGTAAGGAAGGGATCCAGTTTCAGCTTTCTACATATGGCCAGCCAGTTCTCCCAGCACCATTTGTTGAATAGGGAATCCCTTCCCCATTTCTTGTTTTTGTCAGGTTTGTCAAAGATCAGATAGTTGTAGATGTGTGGTATTATTTCTGAGGGCTCCGTTCTGTTCCATTGGTCTATATCTCTGTTTTGGTACCAGTACCATGTTGTTTTGGTTACTGTAGCCTTGTAGTATAGTTTGAAGTCAGGTAGTGTGATGCCTCCAGCTTTGTTCTTTTGGCTCAGGATTGACTTGGCAATGTGGGCTCTTTTTTGGTTCCATATGAACTTTAAAGTAGTTTTTTCCAATTCTGTGAAGAAAGTCAGTGGTAGCTTGATGGGGATGGCATTGAATGTATAAATTACCTTGGGCAGTATGGCCATTTCCACAATATTGATTCTTCCTATCCATAAGCATGGAATGTTCTTCCATTTGCTTGTATCCTCTTTTATTTCGTTGAGCAGTGGTTTGTAGTTCTCCTTGAAGAGGTCATTCACATCCCTTGTAAGTTGGATTCCTAGGTATTTTATTCTCTTTGAAGCAATTGTGAATGGGAATTCACTCATGATTTGGCTCTCTGTCTGTTACTGGTGTATAAGAATGCTTGTGACTTCTGCACATTGATTTTGTATCCTGAGACTTTGCTGAAGTTGCTTATCAGCTTAAGGAGATTTTGGGCTGAGACGATGGGGTTTTCTAGATAAACAATCATGTCATCTGCAGACAGGGACAATTTGACTTCCTCTTTTCCTAATTGAATACCCTTTATTTCTTTCTCCTGCCTGATTGCCCTGGCCAGAACTTCCAACACTATGTTGAATAGGAGTGGTGAGAGAGGGCATCCCTGTCTTGTGCCAGTTTTCAAAGGGAATGCTTCCAGTTTTTGCCCATTCAGTATCATATTGGCTGTGGGTTTGTCATAAATAGCTCTTATTATTTTTAGATACGTCCCATCTGATCTACACATTTCTAAACACCTTATTTCCTTGGCAATATTAAAGAAATAATGGTAATTTTTAAATACCACGGATATTTTATACTATATTATCATAATAAATTATATTATTGGTTTGGACTGATTCAGCTGCAAGTGACAGAAAAACCTAACCAGAAAACACCTTAAAACTATTCAGGGTGGATCCAGTGGCTCCAATGATAATCAGGGACCTAAGCTCCTCAGCTTTGTTACTGTTAACCTGAATCCACTGCTTCCACCTAATGACATGGGATAGCAAGCACCAACACCAGCTGTTAAAAGGCAATGGCAAGAAAAGGATACATTCACTCCCTATAAGGACTCTTCCTGGAAGCTACTCACAAACCTCTGGTGTTCACATTCCATAGCTTCAACTTACTCATGTGGCTAATCACACACAACAACAAAACTGCTTTAAAAAAATTTTTTTAAGTAGTCTTCATTCAGCCCAAACTCAAATACATTCCAGGGGTTTTCCTAGTACAAAGAAGAAAATAATAGCTATTTGGGCCACTGCCATAATGTTTATCTCAACTTTTTCAATATTCTTTACCCACTACCAGGTTCCTTCAATAGCACTGTCTCGTGGTGCAGCTGTAATCAGCTGGATTGGATCTCACCTAAATACTTTAACACTTAAATGTAAGGAAGACACCAACATTGAGTCCTTTGATGAGATAATAAGGATAGCAACAGCAAACATTTTTTTGCCTTGTCACCACTGTGATAAATACCTTACATAAATTATGAAGCGATAAAATTATTTAATATAGGTCTTACTCTAGTCTGATAATGGGTTTACATTTAATGCTTAGGGAGTTAAAATATCTAGAATCTACCCCTTCCAGCCACCTGAAACAACTTACCAACTAGAAAAAATAAATGAAATGATAACTTTCAAGACACTGGATATCAGGCAGTGAAAGACGGTGGTCCCTCCCTGAGAGGAGAAAAACAAAGTGAGCCCTATCATGGCCACTTCCAGGTGACCAGGTGACCATGCCCAGAGAGGGAACCTAAGTTGAGCCAAGTGGTCACCCTGGATTGCAGAAGCAGAGCTAGAAGCCAAGGAAGCCAATGCAGTTAACAGAACAGAGTACCAGAGAGGAGGGAGGTGTACAGAGAAAGAACACAGGTACTCCCCCTAGAGTCTTCAGTAGAGAACATATCTACATGAGACTACATGATCTACATGAGACATTTCCCAAGAGCTGAACAAGAATAATTCCTGCCATGCTAGCCAGAATGGAAAACCCTACAATTCACGGGACTTGAGGTACTGTACTCAAAAGGCTTTTCCCTCAGTAGCATGGAAAAATTAGCTCTAGATTAACTGCTGCTCTTTACCGGCATAACAAAGCAAGGCACAAAAGGATCAAATTATTTTCTTGTTTTGAAACAGAGTCTCACTCTGTCATCCAGGCTGAAGTGCAGTGGCACGATCTCAGCTCGCTGCAACCTCCGCCTCCAACGTTCAAGCGATTTTCGTGCCTCAGCCTCCCGAGTAGCTGGAACTACAGGTGCACGCCACCGCACCGGGCTAATTTTTGTATTTTTAGTAGAGACAGGGTTTTTTGCCATGTTAGCCAGGTTGCTCTCGAACTCCTGCCCCAGTGATCCATCCGCCTCAGCCTCCCAAGTGCTGGGATTACAGGCGTGGCCACTGCGTCCAGCACTTTGGGAGGCCAAGGCAGGTGGATCACTGGGTCAGAGAATGCCAAATAAATTATTAGTCTCAAATAAATAAACCTCTGGACTGATTTTTTTTTAAAGACAGTGGAGCAATGTTTTAAAAGTACTAAATAAAACAAAAACAAAAGCAGTCAATCTATCCCACAATAATCCTGAAAGGTAGGAATTGAAAGCTGTATTACAGACAGGAAAGCGACCAGTTTACACTGATCAAAGGAGGAAGGATCACAACAAAAACTCGATCACAAGTTTTCATATACATATTCATTCTTTGAAGCATCTTCAGTCTTACAGCACTCCACGTTAAAAATGATAGGTTTAAAAATAGATAAATAGATGGATAGTTACTGACTGAATTATGTTTCAACCTGCACCCCAAAATTCACGAGTTGAAGTCCTAACTCCCAGTACCTCAAAATGTCATTGGTATTTAAAAATAGGGCCTTTAAAGAGATGACTAAATTAAAATAAGGTCATCAGAGTGGGTCTTGATCCAGTCTGACTGGTGTCCTTCTAAGAAGAGGAGATTATGACACCAGGGGTACACAAGCAAGAGGAAAGGCCACGTGAGGACACAGTGAGAAGGTGACCATCTGCATGCCAAGGAGAAAAACCTCAGAAGAAACCAAACCTGCCAACACCTTGATCTGGGACTTCCAGGCTCCAGAACTTTGAGATAATAAATTTCCGTTATTTAAGCCAAAAACAAAACAAACAATGGTCAATTTAGAATACTACACAAAACTATCTTTCAAAAATCGAGGTGTTAACATCATGTTGTACACCATAAATACACATAATTTTCATATTAATGTATCAGTTTTTTAAAAAGAATAAGAAAAAATAAAGTTAAGAAATCAAGGTATCACTAGTGTGTGTATATGTATTTTATACATATATATTTTATATATATATAAATGCCAGAAACAGTAGCCATTTAAGTGTTTGCTACTAATCATCATGACTGTTGCTGCCATTGTCGCATTCATGTCATGAATGCATTAGAAGAGCATCCATAATGCTCTTCTAATACTTCCAAAGCATGGTGACTGCCACCATTCTTAATTCAGGGTGTTTGTTATCTGCTGCTCAAATAGCAAGTAAGGTATCATTTTATACTACTCTATTTATAGCTCTTTAATTCATCATTTAACTTTCCACTTGACAATAAGCTTTATCTTCCCAAACTATAACTTCTTAAAAGTACCTGGACTATGTCTTAAACATTATTTTATATGTGGTAGAAAGTTAAAAATATGTACTTTTTGGTTTTGGCTAATTTTATCATTATGGGATACCACAGTTGTGAAGAGCTTCTTTACCCTTTCCTGAGTTACGCGTTCCATTTCCTCCCTAGCTTGGTCAAATGGTCAGTGAACAAAATCACACTAACAACTAATGAGTTTTAAAGATAAGTTCTTAATCATTATCTCCAGTAAGTATAGATCATACAGTGAAACGCTCTCTTCACTTGCAGACATGAAAAAATCCAAAGCAGTGCTCTTTTGAAGAGTGAAGAAGATTAACCTGAACCTAAGGGGATTTTTTAGGGTAAACAAGTTGAACAATCACTGACAACAAATATTCTGAAGTTTGTAATCCTTTTAATGTTAAAACATTTAATATTATTAATTACTTTTCTAAGATAGCCATCCAGCTTGTCCAAATAGCTAACCAATTTCTTGTTCAGAGCTTGAGGTTTTACTTCAGAAAATAAGCATCATAATGAAAAAAAGAATACTGTCTTAGAAATCTACAGACATTGATACTTTTCCAGTTCTGCCACTTAGCAGCTGCATGACTTTGGACAAACCTCCAAACCTCAGTTTCCCCTCTATTCTGTATATCTGCCCTACATATTTCACAATTGTATTAAATGAGAAAACAAATACTCAGGAAGACATTAAATCTAAAAGACACTAAATCTCTCAGGTACAGAATGAATAAACCTTTATTCAAAGAATTGGGTGAAATTACATACTATTAGACATATATGCTACTCAGATGTTCTGACTTTAATATAACTTTAATCAGACAGGTAAGAGGTTTCTCATTATGTTTGCAAAAAGTACGCAACTACCTCTATACTACCCAGAAGAGGTCATAATTTTTTAGAAAAATTTTAAACCATATTTGAATTCGTAAGTATTCCTAAGTGCAGAATATTTTTAAAGAACATGTTTTTTAAAAGACTTTATTTAAAGAGCAGTTAGAGGTTCACATCAAAACTGAAAGGTACAGAGATGTCCCACATACCCCTCACCCCTGCATACACATAGCCTTCCCCCACTATCAACATCCCTCACCAGAATGATACGTTTGTTACAACTAACAAACCTACAACACTGACACATCATTATCCCCCAAAGTCTATAGTTACCGTCAGTATTCATTCTTGGTACTGCACATCCCATGGGTTCACACAAATGTATAATAACCTGTATCCACCATTATAGTATCATATATAGTGTTTTCACTGCCCTAAGAATCTTCTGTCCTCCACCTATTCATCTCTCCTTCCACACTAACAGTCACTGATCTTTTTGCTGGTTCCTTACTCTTGCCTTTGTCCAGAACGTCATACAGCTGGAATCACACTCTTACCATACAGTCCAGCAATTGCACTCCTTGGTATTTACCTGAAGGAGTTAAAAACTTATGTTCAGCCGGGCACGGTGGCTCACGCCTGTAATCCCAGCACTTTGGGACGCCAAGGCTGGAGGATCACGAGGTCAAGAAATCAAGACCATCCTGGCCAACATGGTGAAACCCCGTCTCCACTAAAAATACAAAAATTAGCTGGGCATGGTGGTGAGTGCCTGTACTGGGGAAGCTGAGGCAGGAGAATCGCTTGAACCCAGGAGGCGGAGGTTGCAGTGAGCCGAGATCATGCCACTGCACTGCAGCGTGGCGACAGAGGGAGACTCCGTCTCAAAAAACAAAACAAAACAAAACAAAACAAACTTATGTTCACACAAAAACCTGCACACAAACATTTATAGCAGCTTTATACATAATTAGCAAAATTTGGAAGCAACAAAATGTTGTTCAGTGGGTGAGTGGGTACAGTATGGTACATCCAGACAATGGAATATTATTCAGCACTAAAAAGAAATGAGCTATCAAGCCATGAAAAGATATGGAGGGAAAACTTAAAATGCATATTGCTAAGTAAAAGAAGCCAATCTTGAAAGAACTTGTTATTTTCATGGCACTGGAAAAATGACACAGAAATCTAACAAGTTAGTAAAGCACAGTGCCTGGCACATAGTAAGAGATGTATGTCTTGCTTGTATTATTTCTGCTATGACAATAACCGTAATAGTACATCATAAAAACCTCTATTCAACATGACAGGTCTCAAGTGCTTATTATTTAAAATATCTATTCGTTTTCTATAAAGAAGTTTTATGCCCAGCATTTATATTACCATTTTTCCATTAGCCAACTATTTTATCCATACTTCTCATAATAGAAATGCTCACAAGAAGCACGAGTTTCCATCAGCAACTTCCACTTGAAACACTTTTCTAAGGAAATCCCCTTCATGCTATACAAACCAATTCTCCATTATCATTTAACACAGAAATAGATCAGTTTCTGAAAGACATTATTATAAATACAGCTGACCCTTAACATGGGTTTGAACTGCACAAGTCTGTTTATAAGTAGATTTTTTTTCCAATAAGTACAGTCAGTTCTCCTTATCCGTGAGTTGCACATCCACTACCAAAGGCAAGGCTACTTTTTGTGTATGTGGTTCTGGCAGGGCCAACTGTGGGACTGGTGCATGCACAGATTTTGGTATCCACAGGGGTCTTGGGGTCTTGGAACCAATCCCCCTTGGATACTGAGGGAAAACTGTACATATTTGTCTTGTCCTTCCAGAATCCAACTTCATACCAGACTAAATACAATGCTACAGAAGTTTTTCCACATACTACATTACAGTTAATATTTGGGGAGTTGGCATTTGTATTTTAAGCAGAGGGATCTAGGTTTTTTTAATAACTTGAAGATGGGAAGAAAAATGGTGCAGCTTCAAATGAAAGTTATTTAATATGGGGTGGGATATGAGAGAAAGGGAGGAGTAAGGGACAAGCGATAGGTTAGAGAAGTCAGCAGAAGTTAGATCACAAACAATTTTGTGGGAAATAATTAGCAATTTTAACTTTTCTCTGAATGAATGGGAAATCAATCATTTAAATACTTCAGAGAATAACAGGGTAAGTTTACATTTCATAATTAGTCTGGCTGGAGAGTAGAAAATGGATAAAAGACTAGAAAAGCTGGGGGAAAGAACACCAGGGAAAAGAATACCATAATAATCTAGAAATAGCATGATAGTCACTTGAAATAGGAAAGAAGCAGGGATATGCGAGGCAAGTGAATCCCCTTTAAGAGGTAACGCTGATAAGATCTGGGAACAATGTGAGGTCAAAGATAACAGACACTAGATTTTTGGCCTGATCGAAGCTAAATGGATAGTGGAAACAATCACTGAATCTAAAACCAAAGGAAATGAAGCAGATTTGGAGCAATAGGGGAAAAAAGAATGTAGTTGTAGATATGTTATCATTAAGTATCTGCAGTACATCCAAGTAGAGATGCCCAGTAGGTAGCTGGATATGTGAGCCAGAAGCTCAAATGCAAGCTCTCAGATGGATAAAATGGAAGGCATCAACATACAAATGATAAAGTCCTGGAAAAGATACAAAACCAAGATGGCAAATGCATTTAAAAAAAAAAAAGTAAGGAACATTTCCATTTGGCAGAAGAAGAGAAGGCAGCAAAGGAGCCTAAGGAGAAACAGCTGAGGCTTTGCGTACTGTCATAGAAGCCAACAGAAGACAGCAATTTGACAAGTGTCAAGTACTTTTGAACATTCTATAAGATTATGGTTTTAGCAGCAAGAAGTCCAGATGATCTTGGAGCGAGCAGTTTTAGTGAATGATGAGAGAAGACATTATAGTGTATGGAGAAGTGAACAGAACATGAGACAACAGAGAAGTACACAAGCTTGGGGCTTTGTTTTGCTGGTGAGAGGAGGAGGCAGAAGCTAGAAAGAACTGAGGTTTCGTTTTTGTTTTGTTTTTTATTTTCTGACCATATCATGCAGTAAGAAATGAGACTTATGTCTAGGGGTATTTTGGTTGTTTTATGAACATGTTTATTAGTGAGATGGGAAATAATCAGAATTAAGAGAGAGATTAAAGACATAGCGTTAATCAGCAGGAAGAAAAGAATAAGACCCAGAGCACAGTTGGAGAATCAGCCTGAGGCAGCATGAGGAAACATCTCATCCACTGAAATTGAAGGAAAGGAAGAACAAATGCTACGGAGGAGATAAACTGGTGAGTCAAGTAACAGGAAATATAAGGGGTCTCCTTTTCATGGGTTCTGTTTTCCCATGAAGGGGGGAGACCATCCGGGGAGGATACTTTCTTTCTTAAGTTTAAAGAAAGAAAAGAATGATTAAAATAGCCCCTATGGAGAATAAAAGAATTGCAATGCAGCCCTGACAGCTCTTTCAGGGACTAGAGACCATGAATTTGCAGTACCACTAATCTGGGTAATTGTGTGTGATTTTTATCCATCACTGCTCAACAAATGCTTTTTTTGTTGGCCAAAGAGACAAACTGATCCAGAACTTAGGTTTTGCCAGATACATACGATGAAAATTCATGAGGACAAGGACACTGAGGATTCTGGCAAGAAGTTTAAAGTGATGGAAAATGGGTTCCTGCCTGCTAGTAAAGGAACCATTTAGAGATGTCAAGGAACTACAGATCTCAAAAGTTTACAGTCAGAGCCAGGACAGTGTTTTAAATTTAAGACCTCAAAGGTAAAGCCAATTTTCAGGTAATGGTGAGGTCCAGAGTAGCTCCATGGGATTAAGTGAATGAATTAAGCGAAAAGAAAGACAACTGGAGATGATGAAATTGGGAAACTATAAAGCCAGAGTCCTGGGCCCTCTGTTCACATAAACTCTAAATTCACCACGAATGGTGGCAAAGCCTTATGGGGAAAGATTGTGAGCCACATGCCTGTGTCTTCAATGAGAAAGAGAACATGGCCAAGAAAGAGGCAGAGGGGGAGTCTCATTCTGTCACCCAGGCTAGAGTGCAATGGTATAATCTCAGCTCACTGAAATCTCCACCTCCCCAGCTCAAGCAATCCTTCCACCTCAGACTCTCAAGAAGCTGGGACTACAGGTGCACACCACCACACTTGGCTAATTTTTGTATTTTTTGTAGAGACAGGGTTTCACTGTGTTGCCCAGGCTGGTCTCCAACTCCTGGGCTCAAGCTATCTGCCCACCTTGGCCTCCCAAAGCACTGGGATTAGAGGTGTGAGCCACCAAGCCCGGCCAACTGTCCGTTTTTAAAGGGGCATATGTTACTTTTGTAATTTAAAAAATGAAGTTTGTTTTATTTTGTTTTTGTTTTTGTGATAAGCTGACAAAACAGAGAAGGAGACAGAGCAATCCAGGTACACACAAGGGCAAAGAGTATAGAGAACATGGTATATTCAGATTATCAGTGAAAAGAAGACTGCCTCTATCCCTGGTCCTGCTCACTCTCTTCCCTTCCACATCTCTGATATGAAACTTCTATCCCCAAAGTCCATCATCTATGAGCCATAAACCCCACCAAGACTTTGTCTTACTATTCTCTTAGATTGTAAAGATCCATCCAAAACCCCAATGCGACTAATTACACGCAGTGAATTAAGAACACAAAAATGCCAACAATTTTCATTCATTTATTTAACACTTAGTGAAGCTAATATGTGCCAAATAATATGCTACATTTGGGGGGGGAAACAGGCTAATATCAGAGGGTTGATTTTGTATGCACATACATTGAGAGACACAAACAATATAGGCTGTTATACACATAGTTTTTCAACTGTCTGTAAAAAAGCTAAAGTTCTGTACAGTTTACAGAACACTAGCACATATAGTTAGCTTCTCACTGTATTCTTCACAACTCCTTGAAGGCAAATAGTCCTATAAATTACTCACAATCAAGAAGATAATCACTAGAACATCTCATTAATTAACACCAGTCTTAGCTTTTCTGACTCCAAATCCAATGTTCTTTCCACTATACTACTCTCTCTTTTAAAAATACACTTGAAACTATTCACAACAGCAAAGACTTGGAACCAACCCAAATGTCCAACAATGACAGACTGGATTAAGAAAATGTGGCACATATACACCATGGAATACTATGCAGCCATAAAAAATGATGAGCTCATGTCCTTTGTACAGACATGGATGAAATTGGAAATCATCATTCTCAGTAAACTATCGCAAGGACAAAAAACCAAACACCACATGTTCTCACTCATAGATGGGAACTGAACAATGAGAACACATGGACACAGGAAGGGGAACATCACACTCTGGGGACTGTTGTGGGGTGAGGGGAGGGGGGAGGGATAGCATTAGGAGATATACCTAATGCTAAATGACGAGTTAATGGGTGCAGCACACCAGCATGGCACATGTATACATATGTAACTAACCTGCACACTGTGCACATGTACCCTAAAACTTAAAGTATAATAATAATTTTTTTAAAAATGCAAAAAAAAGAAACAAAAAAAAATACACTTGAAATTAAAAATTCAAGTCATTTTCCTTCATTTTTTGCCCATCTTCACTACCTTGGTGGGGAAACTCTTAAGAAAAAAATTCATTTTAACCTTCATATGTTAATGAGATCAAACAGGGATCCTCTTTATGTACTTTGGTGGAATTTTATTAATAGAAAATCATTTGAAATAAGGCATTGTTCAGATTTTTAAACTTTTATTTCACAGATCTGTTGTAACTAGAGTCAAACTGAGTAGTTCTGTTTAAAAGAAGGGGAAAGCACATTAAAACACTACACCAAATATTTACATTATATCATCCAGAAAGACAAAACTTCCCTATACTAAAAGCTTGTAACAATCCCATCTCCAAAAAAAAAAAAAACCGTAACTTCTTAAAAATTTATTCACTGTTATATTTTATGACTTCCCTCAGAAGAAAATTTTACAAGCCAATTTTGTACTAGAGTTTCCTTTTATTAGTTCTAAATTTAGTTTTATTTGTATCATCTGCTGTTCTCCTATTATGGAAATGTCTTAAAAATGGAAAACAATCTGTTTTCCAGCATTCAAAATTTATAACTTTACAGCCTCCCCATTTTTACAAAAAAAAAAAATTGCTTGCAGCAGAAATTGTTTTACAAAACTATCAGCAAAATCCTTTAGGTGCGTTTTCTCGTTTTTGTGATTAAATTCTTTAAATGTTCTCTTGCTTTTGTGATTAAATTCTTCTTTAACCTGAATATAACAACATAAACATTATCCATATTCTAATTTTAAATGTTGCAACCATGAGTTGCATATTCCGTTTAAGCTACAGCAAGAAATAATGCCTGAGAATATTTTTAGCATGAACATGTCATAACTGACTCATGAAGTCTCAAATTAATTGCATTTTTTTCAAATATTTAGAAATGCTGGAGCATCTTGTACAACACTGAGGTATTATGGAATTAGGAATTCTCATCACCAGATTGTAAAATGTTTCTAACTGGAAAAATACTTCCAATAAAAATGTTTCTAAATCATCCATAACACTCTTCTAAAAATAACTGCAGAAATATATTCAGTCAGTGAAAGAAGCATCACCTAGTTTCAGATTTCACATTTCTAATTATCTTTCTATTCAGCAATTATTTGAAAACAATATTTCAAAAGATAAAATGTCATAAATCTTTAGGGCTTTAAAGATACTTTTATTATATGTCACTCTAGAGCCCCACGTTATTGAATTGTGCCTTGGCCACAGGGTATGTAGTTTTGTTAGCCATGAGATAAAAATCCCACAAACTATAACTCTAAAACAACAAAGTTATCTGAAAAAGGTGATACATTTTTCAAAATCATACTAATATTTTCATATTTAATATACAAAATACTTTTACAGGGATTTCAACATACAAAAACACATTTTTCACTAGATCTTGTAGGCATCAAAGCTCATGACAACTGTGCTAATACACTTTCTTTTCCTTTTGGTTTTAAAACGAAAAACTTTTAAGAACCCAAGAAGCGGAGGCTGCAGTGAGCCGATATCTCACCACTGTACTCTAGCCTGGGTGACAGAGACTGCGTCTCAAAAAAGTCTCAAAAAAAGGAGAAGGGGGAGGAAGGAGGAAGACAAGGGAGGAGGGAAGATGAGGAGGGAGGAGGGAGGAGGAGGAGGGAGGAGGAGGAGGGAGGGAAGAGGAGGAGAGAGGAGGGAGGAGAGAGGAGGAAGGGGAGGAGGAGGGGGAGGAAGAGGGAGGAGGAGGGGGAGGAAGAGGGAGGAGGAGGGAGGAAGAGGAATGAGGAGGAGGGAGGAGGAAGAGAGAGGAGGAGGGAGGAGGAGAGGAGGAGGGAGGAAGGGGGGAGGGAGGAGGGAGGAGGGAGGAGGAGGGGGAGGAGAAGGAAAGAGGAGGAGGGAGGAAGGAGCAGAAAGAAGGAGGGAGGAGGAGGGAGGAGGAGGGAGGAGGAGGAGGAGAAGAAGAAGAAATAATATTTTCTAAGTTTCCTTTGCTACTCAAGAAAAAAGAAAAAGGTACCACATGTAGTTATCTTTAATAAAAACTCAAAATAGTTTATCTAACCTAACATTAAAAAGAAAACTTCAATTTCAATAAGCATATTCTGAGTATGACTTCTAGAGGATTCACACCTAAATACAAAGCAAAAGAGTAGAATCACACACTGATACACCTGTGAACAAGAACATGGCACCTGTGCCACCTGTGAACAAGAACAGGCAACCTTTGTATCTGTAAGGCAAATTAAAATGAATACTCAAAAACAAGCCAAAAGCCAAGTGCAATAGTACTTAAAACACCAACAGCTACCTATCCTCTATATGAACCAAGTTATTGAAGTAATACTAGTAACTGTTTTAACAGAGAAGTATAAAGATAAAATTTGGGTCAACAAAAGGGAAAGAAATAAGTTTATAAGCTTATACCTAACATGTTCAAAACAATCAAAAGATGGAAGATGAACACAGAGCAGAATGGAACAAAAAAAAAAGTCATGTGCACGTCAGAAGCCCTTAACATCTGTAGCTCAGAAATAACCCAATTAGCCAGGCGCGGTGGCTCACGCCTGTAATCCCAGCACTTTGGGAGGCCAAGGCGGGTGGATCACGAGGTCAGGAGTTTGAGACCAGCCTGGCCAACATAGTGAAACCCTGTCTCTGCTAAAAATACAAAAAATTAGCCAGGCCTGGTGGCAGGCGCCTGTAATTCCAGCTACTCGGGAGGCTGAGGCAGGAGACTCACGTGAACCTGGGAGGCGGAAGTTGCAGTGAGCTGAGATCACACTGCTGCACTCCAGCCCAGGCGACAGTGTGAGACTGTCTCAACAACAACAACAACAGAAACAGAAATAACCCAACTAGTAGACTCCACTGCCATTATTAGGGCCTTCCCATTAGCCAGGTGCAGTGGCATGCACCTGTAGTCCCAGCTACTTGGGAGGCTGAGGTAGGAGGACTGCTTGAGTCCAGGAGTTCTAGGCTGCAGTGAGCTATGATCACACTGCGCTCCAGCATGGACAACAGAGTGAGACCCCATCTCTTAAAAAAAAAACCTTTTTTTAATTAAAAAAATAAAAAAGAGCCTACACAGATCAGCAAGACTCATTCATTCCTTGGAAACAAAAAGTATCATAACAAGGTTTTAAAAAAATGCTTAGTATTAACTAGGCCTTTCAGGTATAAACACTTATCAGTAGGATAATTCCACATTCAGAGGGCACTGATCTGTATTTGTATTCTATTTTTGGAATTCCAAACACTGGAATTGGCCTGTGGTATACAAAATAAAACTCCTTCACCAGTTGATTACCGTATTATTTCCTAGCATAAAAACAAAAACAACTTAAATATAATGATCCAAATTAGGCCACACTCATGACACATTAGCAAAAATCAAAAGAACAAGCAAAACACGCACATAAAACAGTGGCCAACATCATTTGTCATTGGTAAAATGCACTACAATGGCTATAATTACAATGACACACACTACCAAGTGTTTTGTGATAATATGGAGAAACTGGAACCCTTATACATTTCTAGTGAGAATGTAAAATGGTAGGGCTACTTCAGAAAACAGTCTGCAGTTTCTCAAAAGTTAAGCATAAATTTACCATATGACCCTGCAGTCCCACTCCTTGGAATCTGTCCAAGAGAAATGAAAACATATGCCCTCACATATGGTGAATTCATAAACAAAATGTGGTATATCCATAACCATGGAATATTATTCATCAATTAAAAAGAACATAGTATTCATGCTGCAACACAGATGAATGTCAAAAACATTACGTTAGGTAAAAGAAGCCAGGTAGAAATCACTGCATATTTTATGATTCCACTTATATGGAATTTACAGAACAGACAAACTTATAGAGACAGAAAGCAGATCAGTGGTTGGCTGGGGATGGGATTCAGGATTGACTGCAAATAAGATCAAGGGAATTTAGGGGGGGTGATGAAAATGAATTGTGATGATGGTTACACAAATTTGTAAATTTACTAAAAATCATTATATTGTACACTTACAATGGAAGACATTAATGGTGTATAAATTATACCTCAATAAAACAGTTGAAAATAAAAAGAACTAGCAATGCTAGTAAACAATGATGCCTGACTCTATATATTCAATACCTGCTCATTCTCAACCACCAGACTTTTATTTCAGAGCTGATTCTAAGAGCTAATAAGAGACTGAAACACATTTTGCCAATTGCACTACATCTGCTGGCTGTATTTATTTGTTCAACCAATATGAAAGGCTTATTACAAGTAAGATACTATGTATCACTCTTCTTTGTCTGCTAAATGAATACCACTAGTAGATATAGAAGAAAAACTATCACAGCTCTAAATTCCATTCTTTCTGTAACTGTTTTAAATATGGTCCAGAGAACACACAAAAAAAGCACCTGCATGTATTAGGAAAAAAAAAGAAATACTACAAACATGAAACAGTTTAAAGCCAAATCAACACATGAGAAACCAGAATGCTTAATACCTGACAAATTCTCAAGTCATCGTGACTTGCAATGACACACTTGATTCCTGTCAAAAAAATCTCATGCCCTTTAACTTAATTTTTAGTACTATTGAAAAATATTGCCTTACTATTAATAACAGCCAATACACTATTTTAAAGGATTTCACCTTGTGAACACACCACCAGCATTTCATCTGCCCTGCTCATAAAGTGCAATTCCAACACAGGCATAACTAGGTACATAAAAAGAAGTAAATGTGTTTAACCAGAAAAAAGTTAAGGAGAAGGGGGAAAAAATGACACATATAAATAATAAAAAGCTGTTCAGCCCCCATGAGGTATCTTTACTTCACCTAAAACACTGAATAAAATTCACCTAATTCTTTCCAAGACAAACTGTTTCACAACAATCCGGAAAATATCCAAATCACAATTTGCTTTTCCTACATGATCTCCAAATTAATTCTACTTCTAAACCCATCCTCCCTGCATATATAGATGTTTACTTATCTTCTTTCCTATGGATAGATAAGAACTTAGTGACAGGAACACATATCAAAATGTTTATCTGGGAAGTATTTTAATTAATGACTCTTCAAGTAGAGATATTTCTACAGGTTATCACTCCTGTTATTTAAAAAAAGAGGCCAGGCGCAGTGACTTGAGCCTGTAATCCCAGCACTTTGGGAGGCCAAGGTGGGCGGATCACAAGGTCAGGAGTTTGAGACCATCCTGGCCAACATGGTGAAACCTCATCTCTACTAAAACACAAAAAATTAGCCAGGCGTGGTGGTGCACACCTGTAGTCCCAGCTACTCGGGAGGCAGAGGCAGGGGAATCCCTTGAACCCGGGAGGCAGAGATTGCGGTGAGCCGAGATTGTGCCACTGCACTCCAGGCTGGGCGACAGAGAGAGACTCTGTCTCAAAAAAAAAAAAAAAAAAAAAAATTGTTAGTTCATTCAACAAATATTTACAGAATAGGAAAACATAAAAGACTCGTACTAAAAGAGCTCATATTCTGTGCATTAAATAAAAATAAACTCAAAAGCCAAGAAGCATATATGAAGGCAATGCTTAGCATATTAAGCATTTGTCAACACAATCATGCAGGTAATTAAGACAATACCAGCCCTGCTCTGGCGCGTTTCTATCTAAATAAAGTACTGCTAGAGAACACTTCGCTAATTCATTTCCATGGCATAGAAACCTCAATAATTAAACATTAGAAATTGTTCCAAGTCTATAATCCCTTGAAAATAAAATGTCTATCACTTGCTTTATAACTAAAGAAATCTGAGGTGAAACTCTTTTAGAGAATAAAGGAATTCAGACATTGAATATAAGTGGTCAATCACCTATGACAAAAAAAAATTATAAAGCACTTTAGATATCTGAACAAACAGCCCATACCTTACCAAAATGAAGTACCAAACCATAAAATCATTCCTGGACTTAGAAACATTCCCCAAAATATTATTGACAATGAACTAAAAATGAATCCAAATAGTTCCCTTTGACTGATACACACACACACACACACACACACACACACACACACACACAGACACACACACGGAAGGGGAAGGCGGGGAATGAGAGAAATGCTAAGTATTGTGACCCAAATGCTTTTTGAAAAGATATGTGAGGGTCATTTAGAAAACCTAACTGCAGAATTTACAAGAATATCTATATAATTTAATAATACTTTAAAGGGGGGCAGGAGTACAGATGAGAGGAAAGAAAAATGACTCCAATTAAGGATAAAGTGAGTATAGTTTTAGTTGAGCCCCAAATGCACCATGATTTCACATCAATTTATTAAACAGTAAGCTCCATATGCTAGTCCACCAAGGGAAAATGTTCTTTTATTATTTTTAAAAGCTGTAAGTTGCACTGAGTCATCCACATTCTCTCCACCAGTAATCCTTATCACTAACAAATTAGAGTTTTAAGTATAGTTGTATAGTATTTTCATGAAGAAATTCAAGAGGCCCAAATAGAGACCTAACCTATAATCATTAGACCTTAATCATTAAACCTTTTTTCTCACCCCAATCACCACTCTCCAAATAGAAAGTATAATAAAGAGATGTAAACAGAAACTCCCAATTAATATTTTGGGAAATTTAATACCTAGACAAATCTCAATCTCCTGATATAATCTTTGAACTCCTACTTCATACTTTCCATCAGAATTCCAAATGAAATGAAAATATCAATAAAAATAAAGCCATGTGAGAACAAAAAGTCAGGTATATGATGATATAATCCTGGTAACAGAGAATTTCCTAAACATGACCACTAAGCCAGAAATCACTTTACAGTGAAACGATTGATAATTGTGACTATATAAAACTCATACTATTCATTAAATATTTAAAAAGATAAAGCACATGAATACTGTAATTTTTAAATACATATAAGTTAAGATATATAAACCAAAATGTTAATTTAAACAGTGATTATCTCTAAGGAAGGAGATTGTAGATAAGTGCTATTAGCATTTATACCCTTCTATGCTCCCTAAATTTTCTACAACGAGAGCATATTATTTTTATAATTTAAAAAATGACAAATCTTTCTTCACTTTAAAAAATAAAATCTATGTTTCCCTCTCAGCCATAGTTGGTTGTCACTTCCCTCAGGTACAGATAAAACTAAAAAGAAATGACTTTTTTTCCAGAGACAGGGTCTCATTCTATCACCCAGGCTAAAGTGCAGCAGCACCATCACAGCTCACTCAGTCTCAAACTCCTGGACTCAAGCCATCCTCCTGCCTCAGCCTCCTGGGCAGCTAGGATCACAAGTTTGTGCCACCATGCCTGGCTAATTTTTTTATTTCTGTAGAGGCGACAAATCTCACCATGTTGCCCAGGCTGGTCTCAAACTTCTAGCCTCAAGCAATCCTCCCAACTCAGCCTCCCAAAGCACTGGTATTACAGGCATGAACCACTGTGCCCAGCCAAGAAATGACTTTTGAATTGAGCATGGGTTAAACAATAGAACCAGGACTGATGATCCGGTGTAGCTACTAAGGTGGTAGAAAAGCAAATTTAAAAGTCCAACTGTCAGTAAACTGACTTTTAACAAAGGTGCCAAAGCAATCCAATGAGAAAACTTAATTTTTTTAAAATGGTGCAGGATAGTCTGGATAACTGGATAATTATGTGGAGAAAAAAAATTAACTTCAACCCCTAACTCACACCACACATTAAATTTAGCTTAAAATGTATCCTAGACCTAAATGTAAAAGTCAACCATAAAGCTTTTGGAAAAAAGCAAAGGAGAATATCTTCACGACATGAGGATGGCGACAATTACTTGGGCAGAAAAGCAACAACCATTAAAAATTTTTATTAAAAAAAGAGATATGGGGCCAGGCATGGCGGCTTGTGCCTGTAATCCCAGCACTTTGGGAGGCCAAGGCGGGTGGATCACTTGAGGTCAGGAGTTGGAGACCAGCCTGGCCAACATGGTGAAACCCTGTCTCTACTATAAAAATACAATAATTAGCCGGGTGTGGTGGTGCATGCCTGTAATCCTAACTAATCAGGAGGCTGAGGAGGGAGAATCACTTAAACCCATGAGGTGGAGGTTACAGTGAACCGAGATTGTGCCACTGCACTCCAGCCTGGGCAACTCAGCAAGACTCTACCTCAGAAAAAAAAAAAAAGAGACAGAGAGAGAGATACACCATAAGCTAGGAAAAAACATTCACAAAACATTTATTTGACAAAGAGTGTTCTCTTTATATACAAAAGAACTTCTAAGATTCAATAATAAATACAAATAAATGACCCAATGTTTTTTAATGGGCAAAAATGGAGGTATGTTGCTTCAAACAGATGCTTCACAAAGGAAAATATATAAATGGCCCGTAAGTGCAAGAAAAAGTACATCATTCATCATGAGGGAAATGCAAATCATGCAAATCGAAATCACATTTTAAAGAGCAGTGTCGGGGAAGATGTGGAGCAACTGGAACTCTCATATACTGTTGGTGGGAGTATAAAATGGTATAACTACTTCATAAAAAGATCTGGCAGTTTCTTTTTTTTTTTTTGAGACAGAGTCTCACTCTTGTTGCCCAGGCTGGAGTGCAATGACCCAGTCTCAGCTCACTGCAACCTCCCACCTCCTGGGTTCAGGTGATTCTCTTGCCTCAGCCTCCCAAGCAGCTGGGATTACAGGTGCGTGCCACCACGCCTGGCTAATTTTTTTTTTCTTTTAATTTTTAGTAGAGATGGGGTTTCACCATGTTGATCAGGCTGGTCTCGAACTCCTGACCTCAAATGATCCACCCACCTCAGCCTCCCAAAGTGCTGAGATTACAGGCATGAGCCACCATGCCTGGCCATCAGTTTCTTAAAAAGTAAACACATATCTGCCCTATGAGTTAGCAATTCCACTACAAGGTATTTAATTTACCCAAAAGAAATGAAAACTTTCATAACAACTGTATTAAGAGCCAAAGTAGGCTGGGTGCAGTGGCTCAGGCCTCTAATCCAACGTTTTCAGGGGCTGAGGCTGGAGGATCACTTGAGGCCAGGAGTTTGAGACCAGCCTGGACAACACAGCAAGACCCCATTTCTGCAAAAATAAAATAAAATAAAAATTAGCCAATTACAGTGGCACAGGCCTGTAGTCCCTACTAGAGGGGCTAAGTTGGAAGGATCATTGAGACCAGGAGTTGAAGGTTATAGTGCGCTATGACTACACCACTGCATCCCAGCCTGAGCAAGAGAGCAAGATCTTGTCTCCATATTTTAAAAAAATCAAGCCAAAATATATAATACACTCAGCACTCTGTATCCATGAATCCAACCATGGATCAAAAATAATTTGGAAAAAAAATAAAAATTAAAAAATACAAACTAAAACAATACAGTATCGTATTAGGCATTGTAAGTAATCTAGAGATGACTTAAAGTATATGGAGGATATGCACAGATTACATGCAAATACTAATGCCATTTTATAAAAAGGACTGTGCGTCGTCGGATTTTGGTACGTAGGCAGACTATAAGGCAAGTATCCTGGAACCAATCCCCGGAGAACACCAAGGGACCAGTGTACATTCTGAAAACAAAAAACTGAAAACTAGTCCAGGTATGCATCAACACGAGATATCCAAGCAAACTGCAGTTTATACATATAACAGAAGACAATTCAACAATGAGAAAAAGGAATAAACTGCTGACACACACAATAACACAGATAACTCTCAGAAACAATGCTAAATTAAAGAAGCCAGACACAGAAAAGTATATACTATATGATTCCATTTTTATGAAGTATAGAAGAAGTCAAAGTAATCTTTACTGCAAAAAAAAAAAAAAATCAGAAGAATGACTGCCTCTAATAGAAGAAAATGGTGTGTGAAATTAGCTGAAAAGGTGTGAAGGAGATTTCTGAGTTGGTAATAATGGTCTGTATTTTTACAAGAATTTGCATTAAATAGGTGTGTGCATTTGTCAAAACTCACCAGCGGTACACTTCAGATCTGTGCATTTCATTGCATGCAAATTTAATCTTTAAAAAATCTAAACAAATATTGAACTCTTCTTAATTAAATACATACTGAAGTGTTTGAAGGTGAAGTATACTAATATCTCCAATTTACTTTAAGTGAACCAAAAATAAAAGATGTATTGATAGATGGATAAAGGAATGGACAGATAAAGAAAATACAGCAAATACAGCAAAATATTAATTATGCGGTAAATATATGGATGTTCACTGTCGATTTTTTCACCCTTACTATACTTCGAAATTTTCTATAATAACATCATGGGGAAAATTTTCAACTCTATCCATTATATTAAGTTGACTGAACATAGTATATCTTAAAATCCAGCAATTCCACTCCCAGATATATACCCTAATCTACAGGAATTATTCACGTGAGCTCCAGAAATGCTCCTAGCAACACTTTCCATAACAGAAAAAAAAAAACAAAAAAAAAAGAAAGAAAGAAAACTGTAAATATCCATTAAGTAGATCGGAGCTATACTGATTATCATAGCAGAGAATATGAATAACCCACAATGTTAGTGAATCTTAGAAACACCATTTTCAGTAAATAAAGCAAGTCATAAAAGAATACATAAAAATGCTGACATTTTATAAAGTTAAAAAAACAAGTAAAACTAAACAATATTGTTTAGAGATACACACAAATGTAGTAATCTATGAAATGAAGCAAAGGAACAATAAAATGTTCAGGGTAGCAGATGAGAGAGGATGCAGGAAGACTGAATCCAGCAGCGGCGACGGCACACAGGTAACTTCTACAGGCTAGTGTTCCACTTATTAACTTGTGTGGTGATTTCATGAATATGTTTTTACGCTTCGTAACTTATATTTGCATACTATATTTTTAGAATTCAAAATGGGAAAAAGAGGGCTATCTGATCAAGACTTGGGAAATAAAAAACAAAAAAGTTAGGTTTCAAGATAATTATCCACTATTTATTTACAGCTACTGAAGTGTATGTAAGTCCGTATTTCCTTACTTAGTCTACATTGGCCTTACCCTGGGACCAAAATGTTTCCGAACTCAGAATTTCTTGGATTTTAGAAAGGTACACAGTACATATACTGTGTACTCCCAAAAATGCTCTTGAAAATCTGGGCAACACCCTGAAATCAAATACATTCATATTCCTCCAGCAAAAGGCATTATTATTTACATCAAGAGGAATGACTAGACCACAAGTATTCTAATGTGAGATTAGGTCAGATGTTATCATCAAATACATTTTACCAAAAACTGGGTTTTTTATATATCAAAATTGTGGATAAGGGATTGCGGACCTGCACTTGCTTCACATCAACAGTAAGTTCCACACATCACCTTTTTTTTAAAACCTCCCTAGCTAACTCATTTTCTTTAAATATCTCCTATCAACATGAAAGTTTTAAAGTAAACTAGTCACAAATTTTACACTATAAATGCCAAACTCTTCATAAAGAAAAAAATGTATAAAATGATTTTTAATTTTTATTCTATTTCATTTTTATTGTATCTTTATAATGTTCTTACTTATTACATGATGGGAAAAATACACATACAATTTTATTTTAACTAGGCAAATAACCAGCAGCATGCTGAAAGAGTCTAAGCACTGAGATAATATTGTCAGATAGTTTACAAGTATAATGAAATCAATCAAATTATTTTATGTTTTATGCCACTGAAAATTGTAAACAAAGTTTTAATCACCTTTGCCCATCCACACAAGTCTTAAGTAAGAGTTTACCCAAGCGTGAGTCCTACAGGTTATTGTGACTGTTTACTCTTTGAAAGAGTAAAATAAATCAACACTCAAAAAGCACAGACCTTTAGAAAAATATCTCTTCAGCAAAGCCTGAAACACAGTTCTTTTTACCATAATAGGTAAGCAGTATGAGAAGCTGGTCTTGACAACAAAGCATAGGTATTTACCCAAAGGTTTCAAACACTACAAAAGCATATTACTGAAGACTCGCCTCCAAAAAAAAAAAGAGGCAGTAGAGAAGCAAAACTCTAAGTAATACTAAGCGGCTCACAATCTGCAACCATAAAAGAGATATACTCTTCTCAGATTAATTTAAGGACCCACATAAAGCCATGAGCCTTTGCAGAGAAACAAGATGTCATCTTTACACTGATTTAGTCTTGGAATCCAGCTCTACCTATGCCTAATGATTGCTAGCACTTTTCTGATGACAAATTCAAATGATAATGCTACTCACTCAAAATTATGTAGCAAGAAATAGTTGCAAATAAAACCATTTTCCTTTGAAAAGAAAATTTAAAGCAGTTAACTAATAACATGCTAAGTGTGCACAGGAGAAGTGAACTAAATTTAATGAGCACTGTGATGTACCAAGCACTAGGCTAAGCACTTTACACGTTATCTCATAAAACTTTGTTTCCTACAGAGTTTTACCTTCTAGGCCTAGCCCACTGAAAGCATCATACAATCATTTCTGGTGTACTTCATCTTCTTTTGTCATCTTAGGTATATACTATTTTTAATGGTACTTTCTGAGCTCCTGAATGTAGTGTCGCAGCTGTGTTTGCTTTAAATTATATTCCTTTAAATTTTCTGTTAAAGACAAAATATGTATTTCCCATGGCAAAACCAAAAAATAAATGTCATAGGCAGTAAAACAATGACCAATAGTGAAATGCAACCTAAATGCTAAGGTTTCAGATCTTTAAAGTGATACCAGCCATTATTTCGTCAGTATTTCAGGAAATATAATTTTTATAACATTCTTTTAAACATTAATTTACAGTTTCAGTTTGGAAAAATGAAAAGATTCCAGAGACGGATAGTGGTGATGGCTGCACAACAATGTGAATGTATTTAATGCCTGCCACTAACCTGTACACTTAAAAATGGTTAAAAATGGTAAATTCTGTATACGCTACCACAATAAAAAATCCATTCTAGTAGTTCATAAATAAAATACGCGTAATTTAAAATTAATTTATTATAAAAAAATTTTTAAATTTCGTTTATCAATTTGTAACAGAAACACCAGGAACCTTGCTCCAAAGGAATAAGGGACGCATTTTGGCTTGGAAAGGTTTACTGCACCTCAAGCATATTTAACCAACTAGAAACAGCAATAACAGAGTCTGTCAAGTCATCAGCACCTGATGTCAATTCTCAGATCCGTAATGTGCCACCTTAATAAAAGTGTGTTTTGGCTGTAATAACTGCTAAATGAATGAACTGTGTCCTGAACATGTGAGATGTTTCACTTTTAAAAATAGCCTCCATTTTAATAATTTGGAAAGCAATAAAACAAAATGCATGATCATATTACATGTATAAGCTACTTACATTCAAGCTCAGAATAACTCTAATAATTATGATTAATATCATTAAAGATCTAAGATATCAAAGTGAATTGCAAAACGTTTCCATCTAGGATTTAGCATGAACCTGATGAATACTTGAGATTTGCTGTACTATTTTTAACTAAACTTTCTGGCCTTAGGTCAAAGTTTTGCTAGCAAAATACCAAAGTGAAAATGCTGGGAGTGCAGCCCAGAGTCTCCGCTTTAGCCTAGGAAAAGCTATGCCATCCATGCAAGCAATCTTACTCCCGATTAAAGACTTTCAAAGACTGCTCCCATTAAAACATAGGAACAACACATTAACCCGAAAAACAGTAAAACATCAAACACATGTGACACAATATAGCACATCATTCATTACTTTCTGTACACTGTGCAGAAAGACACTATATAGCTAAAGTCAGTTCCTGCATTTTGACCAAACAGGACTGAGTCACTCTGCAAACGATGCCTGAAACCTCAAAGGATAACCAACCGCCTCTGACCAAAAGCCAGTCCGTCCGTCCCTGGAAAGGGAGGAGGCAGTTTTTCTCATCATACAGTAAGGTTTATTCCAGGAGGGAATAGAACTAAACATCTGCATTCCAGCACAGAATGTCTAACGGATCTAAGGACCTCCCACCCTAGTTCTAGTCTTCCAGAGTCAATTTAATACACAGAGTATCGTTTTCACCTTTCTTCCCCTCCCCAGGGTAAAAGTCCACACCCCCTTTTCCCATAAATGCATCTACACTGCACACTACTCAAATTGCGAAATACAATCATCTATCCTAACAAAAATAAGAAATAAGCCAGCATTCTACGGTGCATTTCTATTTTGTAAAACATGCTCCTTTCTTAACCAAGAGCCAATTAGCAGCCTTTACGGTGCTATTAATCTGGATTTCAAAGGTCGTTATAGGAAAGAGACGCAATGAAGAGGACAGATTTATTCCACTCCACAATTCAGACTGATTTTTTGGCTCTGGCGCAATAATCTCAGGGAATTAAATTTACAGCAATTAAAATGCACTAAATAGCAAGTATGGAATGCTCAAACGCAAGTGAAAACAGCAAAACTTTAGCTGTGTGTTCCAAGATTTCAGACTAAAAGGAGAGAGTGAGGGCGGCTCTTTGTCATGTACCCCAGTGAGTACTCGCAACAGGGACAGCATCAGGTTTCTTTCTCCCTCGCTCGCACCAAGTCCCCACGTAGCATGACACTTTCAAATCAGCTAACCTGGTGTATGAAGCATGGCCAGTCCTCCACCCACCTCCCCAGAGTGGGCAGGCGGAAGGAGAAGAGGGGTGTTTTCCTCCCAGTGCTGCAAGAAAGGAGCAGCCGGGGATGACACTGGCTCCAGCAGGAGGTAGAGGGAGGAATCAAAGGCGGGTCACTACTCTTGGAACTCGGTGACAGAATCGTTTGGTCTCCGGCCCCGGCTGCCGGAAGCAGGGCGGGGTGGGGCAAGACCTCCCCCTCCCCACGGGCGGACGGGCACGGAGGGCTGGGCGGAGAGGGGATCTGAGGTGTGAGCTGCAACGAGCAAGCTCCCAGGCCCCGGCCACCTACCAGCAAGCTCTCCACGTTGATGGGGGAGCGAGGGTCTCGGATCAGCGCCTCCAGCTTCCTCTGGCGGCTCGCGCCTGCCCCGTCCCCCGGCGCGGTCTCGGGGGCGCCGGGCATTTTCCCCGTCGGCGGGGGCCGGCTCATGCCGCCACCGCTGGACCCGCACTCAGGCTCCTCGCGCTCAGGTCCCGCAGCCTCGGGGCCTAGCACCGCCCCCGAACCACCAGCTCCGGCCGGGACTCCACCCGGGCCCACCGCCTGCCTCTAGCTCCGGCTTCGGGTCTCCAAGGCGGTCCCCCGCCTGGGGGCTGCTCCCAGGGGCCCGCCCGGCCCAGCCCGGCCCAGCCCGGCCCGGCCCTGCCGGGAGCGGCGGGGAACAGACGGCGTCCCCGCCCCTCAGTCAGATTCGCGCCGCCGGTCCGCTGGTCCTCAGCGAGTGCCCGCAGGAGTCCTCGGGCGGGAGCAGGGAAGTGGCGCCGCCACCGCCGCGGCCCGGACCGCCCCGCCCTCTGGGGCCCCGGGAGGCTGAAGCCCAGGCCTGGGCCACTACGGCCGCCGCCGGCCCGCTGCCATGGTCGCCGCCGGCCGCCTTGCAGTCCCTCAGCCAGCTCCCGGCGCACACACTCCCGCGCGGCCGCCCGTCTCCGGCCGCGCGCCGCCGCTACCCACAAGCCCCTCCGCCCGCAGCCGCCGGCGCGCGTCCCCGCCGGCCCTGCGCGCGCTCCGCCCCGCCCCGCCCCGCGCACCGCGCTTCCTCCCTTTCTTTCCCTTCCTGCGTCTGTCCCGCTCCGCTTTCTCCTCTGCGCCCCTTCCTCGCCCGCCCTCGCCTCCTCCCCCTGGCGAGGTTCTCTGAGGCGAATAGCCGGGCGCGCGGTCACGGCCGAGCTCCTGCTGGGGGAGGGGAGACGCACCCAGGCCGGGTCCTTCCGCGCGCCCCCTGCCCCTCCCGCCGGACCCCGCGGACTACCCCGCGGCCCCGAGGCGGAACCCCAGACGCCGGGCCCAGCGCACCGTGCGCTGGGGGGGAGCCCGGCCGCGCCCCCCGCCGCGGCCCCCGCTGACTCAGCGCGCAGCTATGCGGGCCTCGCCTCACCCGCGCCCAAATAATAGCGACCGAGCTCGGCGCCCGCGAGGGGCCGCAGGGCCGGGGGTTTCGAGGCGAGCCTGAGAGGGGGCCCTGGGTGTCTGGGATTCCGAATTAGCGGAGGCGGGTGGAATCCTAGTCCTGGGGCAGGAGGGCCTGGGATCCTGAAAGCGTTTCTGCCCGGCTTAGACACTAACCACTTCAAGAGAACGGGAGAGCACCGGAAAAAGGCTTTCCAGCCGCAGGCCTTCGCGGGGTCTTCTCCTTTTGGGGGGCGGAAGAGGGGTGGTTATCGGGACCGTTCCGCCGCATTCCTGCCCTCTCGGCGGCCGGTGCCATCGCTTAGATCCGCCCAGGGCGCAATCCGAAAATTATGTGCCAAGAGCTATAAAACCGTTCATAGAGCCCCTTTGACCCAGTAAACCCATTTAAGGAAGTACATTTCCAAGGAAATGATCCAAAGGGCGAAGAAGGGGGAGAACTTGCAGAAAGATGTTAACAGCAGGGCTATTCACAATGTTCGTGATGACCAAAACCTGGGAATGGGCCCAGTTGTCCAACAATTGAGTAACCCAAACAGGCGCCTTCACATTAACAGCAAGAATCCTGGCAGGTATGCAGACTGTGTCAAACATGAAATTTTGGCAAGTACATGAGAAGGTATATTAGAAATAAATGAAACAAAAAAAATCGTTTGTACACACTAAAACTATGTAAAATGAGCAGCTATAAGAACCAGAGAATACAGTACTTCTTAAATAAATGGGATTTTTTTCTGTAAAGATACTTAAGAACAAATTAAATTTCAAAAAATGGAAAAACCACTCCGAAAAGCAACAATCTGATATCCATTAAGTAATAAGAATGTTAAGAACTGTCTCCCTGGCATGTCAGAGATAAACCCGAAGATAGGGTGAAGCCCCAGCCCTGTAAAAGTTGCATTTTGATCCAAACCATTGGATTAGTTGGAGCCTCTTCTTTGGTTTTAGGTTAGTTAAAACCACCCCTAGCTGGACTCATGCAGGAAGAGGCCCCGATGATCCATCCAATGCAGCTTTTCCCTTTCAGATAGTAACACTGACTTCACATCCAGAGAGTCCTTTAAGTCTGTGTATTGAGCTACTCATTCAGACCTCCACAGAGGCCACCAGGAGAACAGAGGGAGCTAGACACTCCCACTTATGCATTGGAGCAAAATAATGAGATAATCTATGATTATGGATTATTTTTCTGATGACAAAATAATATGCAAGGCAAAAGGAGCACTCTGTCTAGCGGGGCGTGGTGGCCTGTGCCTGTAGTCCCAGCTCCCCCTGAGGCTGAGTTGGAGGCCTCCTCCATTGAGCCCAGGAGGCCAAGGCTGCAGTGAGCTGTGATCACACCGCTGCACTCCAGCCTGGGCAACAGAGTGAGATTGTCTCAAAAAAAAAAAAAAAAAAACACTGTGGTTCTCAGTTTCCAAATTAATTTTGACTGGTTGTATATTTGTATGTAGCTTGGTGGAATAACAGGAAGCCATGGTCCAAATACCGAACATGAAAACCTTATTTTAAGAGTAGTGATCAACAAGATATATATCCTGGGCATGTTCTACATATACTTATTTATATAGACCAGAAAAAGCCATGGTACAGAAGATTTTTACCCAAGACCTATCCCATTGTCTACCTGGAAGAAGAGAAAATGAATCTGTTGATATGAGTTAAACCTTTTTGCAGGATGGGGTAAGGGTAAGGAGGAGGTTAGTACAACAATTCTTGTTTTCAAAAGTAATGCACAAATGCATTCTTGTAAAAGTTCAAACGAACCAGAAATATATGGAACATAATCTAAAATTTACTGTTCTGACTATATTTCCACATACATTCTTATATCACTCAAGGCCTTTGGCCATTCTCATACATATGTATTATAGATACATGTTACCTTTTCCCCACAGACATGAAATTATACCATATCATGGTGTTTGGCAACTTGGTTTTTTCCCTTCATTACTAATATGTCCTAGAGGCGTGTCCATGTCTATAGGCAGAGATCTGCTTCATTCCGCTTACCTGCTGTCCTCTACTCCCCAGTTTGGATGTGCCACACTGTAATTATTCTCTATTCGAGAGCATAGTGGTTAAGAAACAATTGCCAAAATCCTGCCCCAAACACACACTTGCCATGTGACCCTGAGCAAGTTACCTAACTCCTCTGTGTCTCGGGGTCCTCACAATATTTGTTATAAAGTGCTTAGAAATGTGCTGGCCCTCAATCAATGCTAGATATTATTAATATTTTCTCACTGTTAAAATGATCCATTGACATCCTCGTATCCTCATATTTGAATAGTATAGATTCCTAAAAGTGGAATTGTCATAACAAAGGGTAGGCATACTGTAAATACAGATGCTGCCAACCTGTTATTTATTTATTTATTGGAGGCAGGTTTACATTCTGTCCTTCAGGCTGGAGTGCAGTGGCACGAGAGATCTTGGCTCACTGCAACCTCCACCTCTAGGGCTCCAGCAGTCCTCCCACTTCAGCCTCCTGAGTAGCTGGAACTGCAAGCACACAACACCATGCCTGGCTAATTTTTGTATTTTTTGTAGAGACAGGATTTTGCCTTGTTGCCCAGGCTGTTCTCTAAGTCCTGAGCTCAAGCGATCCACTCACCTCAGCCTCCCAAAGTGCTGGGATTACAGGGGTGAGTCACAGAGCCGGGCCTCAACCTGGCCTTTAAAAAGACGCTACCCGTTTACATTCTCAGCGTGAGTAGAAGAAACTGCCCATGTCCCTTCACCTTTCCCAGTATTCAATATTATATTTTTAATTGTTGTCAATAAAATGGGCAAAAAACGCCATCTTGTTCTGACTTGTATTCCCTTAATTACTACTGAAGATAGGCATTTTGTCTATCTATTTCTTCTGCAATTACCTGTTTATATCTTTTATCCATTAGTTTTGTCTCTTTTTATTATTTATAAGAGCTCCTTATGTATTTTGGATATTCCTTTTTGTTATATTATAATAGAATATATTAAAATATGTTACAGTTTGTGAAGATTTTTTTCCAGTCTGTTGCTTGTCATTCAGTTTTGTTTTTTACCTGTTATGCGGTCAAATCGGTTGATATTGTCCTCTACAGCTTCTGGGTTCTGTATCTGTGTTAAGGAGGATTTCCAACCCAGTTTTTAGGTCACACAGAATACTGGAATTGCAACAGGTTATGAGGAAATGGCAGTTTCCTAATATTCTCAGCTCAGCTCATCCCAAATTAGCTGTGGAAGGGGGTTCCCTGGGCTTGCTGGTCTCCAAGGGAACTCCTGCTGTGACTCCTGTTGCCACGCGACTCGGGCCAGGGTTGACTGCTCCTTTCTAACAGAGTCCCCAGTGTGTCCTGAGCACAGTTGAGACAGGCAGGAACTTGGACAGAAACTTTTGTTCAATAGTAAGGAAGAACAATGGAAAAATAAACACGGAAAATACAGGGCATTTAACCAGGCTGGCCTATCAATGGATAAGGCTTGGATTGCACCATAACTGTTCATAGCTTGCTCTGCAGAACTTAGAAACTCCACTCCGTTTCATATGAATTTCTTTTCTCTGTCTCTTCATTCCCAATGGTCTATTTGACATCCACTACCCAGCAATGCCTTCCTAGCCCTCCTGATGCTTCCTCACCCAGACTGAGGGTCCAGGCCTCCTTCTTTTCTCTGAGATCCATCTCCTCAAGTTTCAGTTTTTTATTTGAGGAATCTGCCTCTTCCTCAAGAATTAATTCACCTTTCAGATGCAACTTTACCCTCTCCACCCATAGCTAGTGCTGGAAAAGGACCATTTTTGTCTTTTGACCATGTGGCTTTTGTAATTACTCTTTTAATTATAACTATTATTTTAAGGACTAACTATGTGCTAGGCAGCACGCTTTATAGAGATTATCTTAATTCTTGAAACAGCCTTTTGCTTACGGTAATATTACTATGCCCATTTTACAGGTGATGTAATGAGGACTCATATATATGCACATGGAGTGAATAAATGAATTAAGGAATGGATGGGTGAAAACAACGAACTGTGAATGGTCCAGCCATCACCAATAAGACACGTAACAACTTTTCCCATCTCGCTTCACGCTGCCAGGCAACGCAGGCTGGCATTGTTGTAGTGAGTTGCTTCTGTTCCACACAAGCCAGGATTTAATAACAGAATAAAGGAATGAACTCGCAATACAAAGGTGTCATTATCTTTGTAAACTCCTCTACTATAAAGGGTACAGGGTTTAATGGTTTATGAAATAGAGTTTCATCCTAAGTTTCATTCATGGTTCTGGTAATAATTCCCAGAGTGAATGAGAAAATTGCCGAACCCCTCTGTGAGTCAGTTGCCTCATACACAAAATAGAATTAATGAAGCTTGGTTGTCATTAAGGCTTCTTAAGATCTGCAGATGAAAGATACTGCATTCATCCAACACAAATTATTCACCAGTATACTATGAAAGACTCTCAGAAGAGAAAGCTCTGGTCACAGCTCAGAAGTGCACTTAGAAGTAAATGGTAAGTCACTGCAAAAATATGTACCGTGTAAATGTATATATTTGAGAATGGTGGTCCCGAGAAATGACTTGGAGGATCCTGGAAAACTAAGTTTGTTTCTGGCTCTGCCAGTTTGGCAGGGGACCTTGATGTCATACCTGGCAATCTCATTTTCCCCATTAGTGAAATAGAAGTGGCTCTGTGATGCTTTATGTGATTTTCCTGCTCAAAAACTTTCACTGGGTCTCCTATGATTGTGCGTGAAATCCTCAGCCTGGAATCTGGTCTTTCTACAGATGTCAACACCTCCCTTTTCAGACTTTTCTTCCAGTGTTCCTCTTCTCTTTTTCTCAAAATGGAACACCCTTGGCTGATTCCTCTTTGGTTAAGACGATTTCCACCCATGTGGAACGGCACCTCTCTGCCCCTCTCCACCTGTGAAGTCCCTACTCATCCCTCATGGAGGCCCCTCTTCCTTGAGTGAAGGCTTGATTCTTACTGGGTTCTAGATCCCCTTTAGCCTTTAACAAAATATTTAGCAAAGTGCTTGCCTCACATGCATGAGAAGAACAATATTTCCATTTCCCTTTCAATGCTTTTCACATCCAAAACCTTGGGTCTGTTGTTAGTCCAGAGTAAATTAGTAATTTCCCATTATTAACCATGAAGAATACTTTTCTACTATTCCACTCTCCAAAAGCTTCAGTTCAGCAAAACTATAAACTGTGTAGGATGTATCATTCACAGAAGTAACCATGCCATTCCCACCTCTGTGCCTTTGCTGGTGCTGTCCCACCTTCCCTAGCCTCTCCTCAGTCCTCTCCCCTCATGACCCACCCTGGAAGGCATTCTTCTCTCAGGCCAGTTTCCTATCTCCTGCTTTCCTTCTACATTCAATTTGAGCATCGTGCTTGCGGGTTCTGTGGTAGATACAAAAGGAACTGAGTATGGGTTCTTTCTACACAGAGTTTGCAGTCAAGAATTGTTGATGCAAGCTAGAAATAGTGGCGTATGCCTGTAGTCCTAGCTAACTGGGAGGCTGAGGCAAGAGAATCACTTGGGTCCAGGAGTCTGAGTTTAGCCTGGGCAACATAGTGAGACACCGTCCCTAAAAAGAAACAAAAAATGTTTAAGGAATTGTTGATTGAATAGATACTCAGTGTATTTTTAATGGTTGAATGGTTGAGTGAATGTATAAATGGAAAAACACAAATAATTTTAATTCAACAAACATAAGTGCCTGAAGAGATTCACAGATAACATACTGATGCAAGAGATGTCTTCCAGCAGGGGAATCAGGGAAAAGAGGTGACACGTGGTCTGGGTCCTTAAAAGTTAGCAGAGTTGGCCGGGCGCGGTGGCTCATGCCTATAATCCCAGCACTTTGGGAGGCCGAGGCGGCCGGATCACCTGAGGTCAGGAGTTCAAGACCAGCCTGGCCAACATGGCAAAACCCTGTCTCTACTGAAAATACAGAAATTGGCCGGGTGCAGTGGCTCAAGCCTGTAATCCCAGCACTTTGGGAGGCCAAGGCGGGTGGATCACCTGAAGTCGGGAGTTTAAGACCAGCCTGACCAACATGGAGAAACCCTGTCTCTACTAAAAATACAAAATTAGCCAGGCATGGCAACGCATGCCTGTAATCCTAGTTACTCGGGAAGGCTGAGGCAGGAGAATCACTTGAACCTGGGAGGTGGAGATTGTGGTGAGCCGAGATCACGCCATTGTACTCCAGCCTGGGCAACAAGAGCGAAACTCCGTCTCAAAACAAAAAAAAGAAAAGAAAAGAAAAAGAAAATACAAAAATTAGCTAGGTATGGTGGAGTGCGCCTATAATCTCAGCTACTCGGGAGGCTGAGGCAGGAGAATCACTTGAGCCCAGGAGGCGGTGGTTGCAGTAAGCTGAGATTGTGCCACTGCACTCCAGCCTGGGCAACAGAGTGAGACTCCATCTCAAAAAAAAAGAAAAGAAAAAAGAAATTAACAGAGTTGGCAGACACCACAGCCACCAGGAGCCCCATACTACCAGCCATGGTCAACCCCACTGTGTTCTTCGACATCAGTGTCAGTGGCAAGCCCTTGGGCCATGTCTCCTTCAGGATATTTGCAGACAAGCTTTCAAAGACAGCACAAAACTTTCGTGCTCTGAGCACTGGAGAGAAAGGACTTGATTATAAGGGTTCCTGCTTTCACAGAATTATTCCAGGGTTTATGTGTCAGGGTGGTGACTTCACGTACAATAATGGCACTGGTGGCAAGTCCCTCTATGGGGAGAAATTTGATGATGAGAACTTCATCCTGAAGCGTATACGTCCTGGCATCTTGTCCATGGCAAAAGCTGGACCCAACACGAATGGCTCCCAGTTTTTCATCTGCACTGCCAAGACTGAGTGGTTGATTGGCAAGCATGTGGTCTTTGGCAAGGTGAAAGAGGGCATGAATATTGTGGAGGCCATGGAGCCCTTTGGGTCCAGGAATGGCAAGACCAGCAAGAAGATCACCATTGCTGATTGTGGACAACTCTGGTAAGTTTGACCTGTGTTTTACCTTAACCACCAGACCATTCTTTCTGTAGGTCAGGAGAGTAGCCCTGTATTAGTCCATTTTTATGGGGATGATAAAGAAGACATACCTGAAACTGGGAACAAAAAGAGGTTTAATTGGACTTACAGTTCCACGTGGCTGGGGACACCTCAGAATCACGGTGGGAGGCAAAAGGCGCTTCTTACATGGTGGTGGCAAGAGAAAAATGAAGAAGAAGCAAAAGTGGAAACATTTGATAGAACCGTCAGATCTCATGAGACTTATTCACTGTCACGAGAATAGCACTAAAAAGACCAGCCCCCATGATTCAATTACCTCCCCGTAGGCCCCTCCCAAAACACGTGGGAATTCTGGGAGCTACAATTGAAGTTGAGATTTGAATGGGGACACAGACAAACCATATTGTCCCCTCCACCCCATTTGCTCACAGTATCCTATAACCTTTCTGTTCTCACTGCAGTTCCCTTTGGGTTCCATGTTTTCCTTATTCCCTTCCATGCCTAGCTGGATTGCAGAGTTAAGTTTATGATTATGAAATAAAAACTAAATAACAACAGCAACAAAAATTCAGCAGAGTTTGGAAACAGAAAGAGAGAACATTCCTCCAGGCAGAATGAGGCCAGGAGTGGGAAAGTAGGAAGTAAATAAAAGGAAAAATGAGTGATGACTAGGGAAAAGGGCATACAGGTGGTCAGAAAGAGGATGGGGGGTAGTCAGTGGAAAGCAGATGAGGGAAAGCCCAGGTCCTATACTAACTTGCAATGTGATGTCAAAGAAACTACCACAGTGCCGTCCTCCAGGACTCACTGCAGTTGCAAATGTTAACATAGGATACCATCCAAGGGCTTTCTGATCGCACCACCCTCTGCTACTGTCGCGCTATGTAGGCAGGCAGGTGGGAGGGAACCTTGCAGCAGTCATGGGCAAGATCGTGTGGAACTTGCGACACAGCAGAGAGGAAGAAAGCCAGTTTGGGGGATATTTTACTCATCCACAGGCCACCATTTGTAATTAGGTGGTATATGATCATGATTAATTAAAAACTTACAAAGCATACAAAGAAGAAAACTGTAGTTAAAGTGATTGATCATTAGAATACTGGGATACACTTAGTTTCCATAAAAGCCTGCCTTATTGCAAAATGAGGACCCACTTTAAACTTCCCGGCATTTAGAGTGGCATTTTGATGGCCACGGTTGCCTTTGTCATATTCCATTTGCCTTAAACAAAGTTGGAGCCTCCAAGAAGTGAGCATGGAAGAGGACAGTCCACCAAAAGTCAGAGCTGCAAGGCTGGGAGGGTGGGCTGGTCAAGGTCCTATCTCCGAACAGGCAGCGAGCAGTGGGGATGAGGCCACCTGCAATAGAGTCAGAGAAACATGGTTCCAGGCCTGTCTGTCCCTTTTTACCTCTGTGGCCTCAGGCAAATTAACTCACCTCTCTGAGCTTCAATTTCTCTTTTAGGATTCTGGTGAGGAACAAGTAAGAGAAGGCTCAGACAGCGTTCGGCCTATGGAAAGGTACTCCAGAAAGGCTGGCTCCTTCTCACCTGGCAGAAGCTGATAGGATTCCAGCTGTTGTTTCTTTCATTCATTCATTTTCTCATTTGTTTGTTCAACAAAGATATTTATATCCTGGTAATACAGTGAAGAACAACAGAGAAATAATCCCTGTTGGCCATTATCAAACTAATGATCTAATGGAGAGGGACAGATATTAAACAGCCACTTACTGGCTGTGTGACCTTGAGCAAGTCACAAACTGCTGAACTCTTCCCTACTGGTAAAAGCTACACCACAGACTTGATTTCTGCATTAAAATAAGAAAATGTATGTGAAGGGGCCATGCAAATATAGGACTGCGGGCACACTTCCGAAGTCTGTAACCTGCGACAACCCCCAGCTTGGGTTTGGGCATGGAAGAGGAGGGGAAGGGACCCATCAGGATGACCCCCAGGTCTCACTAAGCTCCATCGGTGAAGTAACAAGATTAGTTATTGTATCTAAATGCTGTGAATTTATTTTAAGGTAGATAAAGATGGATGAGTTTAAAAAAAAAAAAACCAGAAGCAAGTGGTAGGTTAGTTTGCATTGATTCTTTTGCCCTTTTCCAGAAGGGAGAAAGGGAGGGAAGGAGGGAGGAAGGCAGAAAGGGATGGAGGAAGGGAGGGAGGGAGAGAAGGGAGGGACAGGAAGGGAAGGGAAGGGAGGGGGGAGGGAGGGAGGGAGGTAGGAAGGAAGGAAGGAAGGAAGGAAATGTGCAACTACTACTACTCAGAAGCTGAATGCCAATGACCACTGTCTTCAGGTCTTTGGATTCTTATTGACATTCGCATGGATAGTGTTTAAACAGAGGGTGGGCTGTTATACACACAGTCATTGTTTGCTGTGGCCCAGCAGGATCTACAAGGGAAGGCCGTTCAAACCTCAACATTGATCACCCGGTGCAGAGGACGTGGCGGCCTCGTGTTTGAAGGAAAGTGGTAAACTTTGCTTTCATCAGCTCCGCCACAACCCTCAAAGAAATAGCCCTGAGACTCTGCAGGCCAGATGAGAGCTGAGAGCTCGGAAGAACTCAGTAGAGCAGAGATACTGTGGAAGTGAGACCCCAGCCCCAGAGCTTCATGCTATTGGAAGTGGTGGGAATTTCCAGAGCATCAGAGGCATCAGCCCTCGCGTAGAATCCCCACTCTCACTCCAAGACAAGAAAGTGACTTAGTGATGAGTGCAGGAGCACTCCCTTCTGGTGCCTCCAAGAATGAAAGCCGGCTGTCCTGGCTTTCTCTGTGGCCACATCCTTGGTATAAGGCAGAGTGGTATTTAGTGGACCTATTTACTAAACAACAAAATGGGGTGAATGCCTACCATGCATCAAGGACCAAGACTGGCACCAAGGGGAATGCCAAGATAAGAAAGGCAAGGTCTGGGCTGGGTGTGGTGGCTCACGCCTGTAATCCAAGCACTTTGGGAGGCCGAGGTGGGCAGATCACTTGAGGTCAGGAGTTCCGAGACCAGCCTGGCCAACATGGTGAAACATCATCTCCACTAAAAACACAATTAGCCAGGTGTGGTGGCAGGCACCTGTAATCCCAACTACTCAGGAGGCTGAGGCAGGGGAATCGCTTGAACCCAGGGGGCAGAAGTTTCAGTGAGCCAAGATCGTGCCACTGCATTCCAGCCTGAGTGACAGAGTAAAACTGTGTCTCAAAAAAAAAACAAACAAACAAACAATAAAAAGGCAAGGTCTGAGCTTCGTGATCTGGGGAGGGAAATGAGACATATGCACAGAGGCTGGCCAGGAGTGAGTGCGTGCTCAGTGTATTTATAGCCTGAACAAATGATTGAATGAATGAACAGAAGGACATAAGCACGAGCAAGCCACGTGGTACAGAAGAAAGAACACAGGCTTGTGGCATCCCAGCTCCCCCACTTCCAGCTGTGTATGAGTCTGGAGAGTTCCGCTAGCTTCTAGAGCCACTGTCCACCCTGCTCTGCGCCCCAGGGGCTGACCTCTATGGACTGCCTACTCTGGGCTCTCTGTGGTCTATCTTCTGGTTGAGCTCTGCCCAAAGGGAGAGCTGGAAAGAGATTGGGGGTGAGGACAGGGTTTTAACCCCCTAAATCCCTGGAAAGAGATTGGGGGTGAGGACAAGGTTTTAACCCCCTAAATCCCTGGAAAGAGATTGGGGGTGAGGACAGGGTTTCTTCCCCTCTGCCCCAGCTTGACCTCTGGCAGCAGCTCTGCACCTCAATCCCTGCAGCTCCGCGGACTGCATTCCATTGCTCACTGGGCCTCAGGGAGGTTATGTCCTCTCTCTGCCCTCCTGACCTCAGCTTCTCACTGTCGCTGGGGTCTCAGTGCCTCAACATTTCTTGTCTTCCTTTAATTCTGTCTACACCTCTGGAAAGAGCTCCTCTATGGAAACCATCTGAGTTAGTTCTATTTCCTGAAGAGACCCAACTTATTCAGTAAATTAGAGGCAATCACAGAACTCGTCATAGTCAGATTCCTCCACTATGAAATGGAAATAGTAGCAATACTTAGTATCTAGCACAGTTCAGTGCCTGGACATTGGCCCTCATACATGTTGGCTGCTTAAATTAGTGAATACCTGAATGAATTAATGGCTAAGAGGATTAATGATGATGTTAACATACAAGGTGTGAGAATATGGGTTTTTATAATTCTTACAAGTGGCAAATGAATGTAATAGTATCAACTTTCTTGATATTGTAAACTGGGCATGAGTCTGGAATCAGGAAAGCTAGCCCCATTCGTTTATTGTGTGATTTTGGGCAAATTATTTTCCCATTCTGTACCTCTGTTTTCTCCCCTATAAAACAAAAGGGCTGAAGGTAATAACCTGTAAGAACCCATCCGTCTTGGCCATCCTATCAAGTACTGAGCATTCAAGAGAACTGTACAATAATTTGCATTGGAGAAGCCAAGGAAGGCCTCAGGAAAGAAGCAGGAACTTGAAGAATAGAATAATAACTAGAATAGCGGAAGGATCTCCCAGGTGAGCAAGACTGGAGCAGGGGAAAGGTGGGAGAGGCCTGCCAATGCTGGTGACCATGAAGGACATCTGGCTGGATCAGAAGTTGGCTATGGGGACGTAAGAGGGAAAGGCTGGGGACATAGGCTAGGGACACATACGAAGGACCTTGACCACCAGGCCAAGAAACTCAAAGGACCCGCAAAAGGAAGGGTTCTGACTTCCTCAAGGCCCCAAAGCTAGCACAGAACTAGACTTGAGGTTTCCTCTGCTCAGCCCCGAGTTGATCAAGATCTGTCTCTTCAACTCCTGAGGGCAGCTGCCTTCTCCCTTTTGTGATTCCTTTCTTTGAAGGTCACTTGTCAAATGAGGGACGAGGGAAAATTTATTGAGTGAGGAAACCATTTGGTAAGGGATATTTTTGGCACAACAAGTCCTTGGCAAAGGACTTGTTCCTGTCATTATTCTCCTTATGTTTTAAAATCTGTTAGTTTGCCATAAAGTCAAAGGCAAGATCATCAAAAGAAAGTGATTCGCTTTTTTTTGATTACTGAAAAAAAGTGAATCTAGAAAAAATATGAGTCTTGAGCAACAATATTAATTGGAGGGTCCTGGACGTGAAGTCATAAGTATTTGAAAAAAAAATGATTAAAATTAACAATGAGAAAAATAATGCAAAACTACTGTAAGATAAGTGGAGTTATTTGAAAAATGTGTCCAGCTGTGTGAATTTAGGCAACTCCCTTCCCTTCTTGGGCCTCAGTTTCCCCATACGTCAAATAAAGGAGTTAAACACGAGGATGAGGTCTAGAAGCCTGTCCTGCCCCGACAGGGCCCATGGCTCCCATTTCACCACTCTTTTTCCTCTGTTGAGAACAGCATTCCTGGGAGGGCAGTTGCATCACTTTGGTGTCGGCTCCTCTGATCTCTGTCCCCTGTGTGGCCTCTCAGAGCACAGGGGCTGGAGAACTGAGGCAGCTGCTCAGCTCTGGCACTTTGTCCGGCTGCGGCCAGAGATGAAAGGATTCAGAGCCAGCCTGCAATAAAGCTGGGCCTCTGGGTAGAGGTCATCCAGACATGCCAGTCTCACTGCCACTGCTGGGAACAGGCCTCATCAAACCTGTCACAGATGCTCGCCAGGGGAGCCCCTCAACGCTTGTCCAGCCTCCAGTACACACCTTCAGGTCCCCACAGTGGTCATTCCAAGAGGCTCATCTGTGGTTTGTGTTATTCTCCAGCTCAAAGTGTTGGCAATGCTCCTGTGTTGAGCTACAGCAGTGTGTCCCTAAGAGACACCCATTCTGAGAGACACTCAGCTGCAGGAACACAGGTGTGGTCACTGAAGTTTGGAGAAGCAGCTTCTCTGTCTCTGTTTCCCTGACCTCCTTGCAGTGCACCAAGTCCTGCAGGAAAGAAACCTGTTTAGCCTCATCAAACCAAGCATATTTCCAAAATATAATCAACCAGAGGAGTTTTTATTTTTTTGGTTTAGTAACTCCAAGAAATGTCTCACACAAATACAGTTCCCAGTAATATGCCTTGGGAAACATGGCTCTCTGGGTGATATACTTTGTTTTTGTTGTTGTCGTTGTGTTTTGTTGTTGTTGTCATTGTGTTTTGTTGTTGTTGTTGTTGTTGTTTGTTTGTTTTTTTTTTTGAGACAGTCTTGCTCTGTTGCCCAGGCTGGAGCGCAGTGGTGCAATCTCAGCTCACTGCAACCTCTGCCTCCCAGGTTCAAGCGATTCTCCTGCCTCAGCCTCCCAGGTAGCTGGGAGTATAGGCATGCACCACCACGCCCGGCTAATTTTTGTATTTTTAGTAGAGATGGGTTTCACCATATTGGCCAGGCTATTCTTGAACTGCTGACCTCAAGTGATCTGCCTGCCTCAGTCTCCCAAAGTGCTGGGATTACAAGCATGAGCCATTGCACCCCGCCAAACCTTCTAGTGTTTAGGTAAGACTAGATCAGTCTGGTCCCTGGTAACTCTTGGCCTGTTTCTCATTACTTCCCTGTGCACCCTAAATTTCAGCTCCATTGAATGACTAGTTGGTAGCTGATGATTTGTATGAGTGAGAATGTTGCAAAAATATAAACCTGGAGAAAGAAAAAGAAAAAAAAAAGGAAAAGGAAAACGGGGCCTTAAGCAAGCATATTACCTGAAGGATCCTAGGCTTCCAGTCAAAAGAGCCAGAAAAGTCAAAGTATACTAATTATTTGCTCACTTTTTTATTGTCAATAAACTAGGCATTTCCCTCCTTTCAGGCCTTTCCTTTTGCTGTTTCCTCAGTCTAGAAATTTCCCTCCTTTCTTTCTTTCTTTTTTTTTTTTTTTGAGATGGAGTTTCACTCTGTCATCAGGCTGGAGTGCAATGGCACAATCTTGGCTCACTGCAATCTCTGCCTCCTGGGTTCAAGCAATTCTCCTGCCTCAGCCTCCCGAGTAGCTGGGATTATAGGTGCCCGCCACCACGCCCAGCTAATTTTTGTATTTTTAGTAGAGACAGGGTTTCGCCATGTTGTCCAGGATGGTCTCCATCTCCTGACCTTGTAATCCACCTGCCTCGGCCTCCCAAAGTGCTGGAACTACAGGTGTGAGCCACCGCACATGGCCTCCCTCCTTTCTTTACTTATGAAAACGTACTTATCTTTTAAAGGTTTACTTAAATGCCACCTCTGCTGTGAGCCCATCCCAAATTCCATGTAAGAGTCTATTACTCATTACTCTGTGCTCCCATTGCACTTCCCATGGACTTTTATTAGAGTATTTTCATTCTCCTTTCCCTGATGTGCATAAAATAGCTATGAATTATTGGCCTCCTCTGTGCCACTATTAGGTTATAGGCAAACGGCATACTGGCTAAAAAATAAATAAAGACAGTTTCTGTTCTCTGTGCTTTCAGGTCCCCTCCCCTCACTGAGAGCTTCTTGGATCCTGTCCTGGGAACTTTCTCCTCATGCACTGCTTTATCCTGAGTCTGTCTCCACTGCTCTGTGGAAACCTGCACATTAACTTGCTTCCTATGAAGAAAATCTGTTGAAATAAAAAAGAAAATGGTTCTGAGCCCTAAAAGGAAGGACAATGAGGTATTAATTAGCAACAGTTCCCAAATCAGGGATTTAATTATTTGGCATTCAGACAGTCAGAAAGGAAATTGAGAGTAAGGAAATAAGCAAAAAATGTCCTATGTGAATAGGCAGAGAGGCAGAGCAGATGTCATAAAGCCTGTGCACTGCATTTTAGCCTTTTGCTCAAGTCTTTATCTTCTAGACCCAATCCTAACAAACCAATGATGTATTACGAAAAAGCAGACAAAACGCATGGCGTAGTGATGCTGGGACACTACCAGAAATAATAGGGTGTGAGAGGAGTGGATGCCATAGAATTAATGCAGAAGAAAAACAGATTGGAGCCCTCTAGCGGGGGGGCAAATAGTCCTCTAGTCCTCCGAGCTTCCACCATCTCCACCTCCATGGACAGCACTACATGGTGCCCAGCATTGACAATCACAGAGATGCCCGAATTATCAGGAACATGTTAAACTACCTGCTAGATCCTCTCAGAAGGCAGCCACGTGTAGGCTGGGTGCAGTGGCTCATGCCTGTAATCCCAGTACTTCGGGAGGCTGTGGCAGGTGGATCACTTGAGCCTAGGACTTTGAGACCAGCCTTGACAACATGGTGAAACCCTCTCTCTACAAAAAATACAAAAATTAGCTCGGCATGGTAGTACGTGCTTATGGTCTCAGCTACTCAAGAGGCTGAGGTGGGAGGATCACCTGAGCCTGGGAGGCAGAGGTTGCAGTGAGCCGTGATCACACCACTGCACTTCAGCCTGGAGCCTGGGTGACAGAGCAAGACCCTGTCTCAAGGAAAAAAAAAAGGGGGGCAGGGCAGCCAAGTGTATATAAGCTATTTAAAAACAAAAACAAAGTTTTAAAAATTATGTGTTTGTTCAAAAGGTTAAGATTTTCCCCAAGATATTCTCACAGTTTGTGCCCCTTCTTCTCAGGTCTTTGTTCATTTTTTGTGTGTTTTTGTGATGGAGTCTCGTTCTGTCACCCAGGCTGGAGTGCAGTGGCATGATCTCAGCTCACTGCAACCTCTGCCTCCTGGGTTCAAGTGATTCTTCTGCCTCAGCCTCCCCAGTAGCTGGGACTACAGTTGTGTGCCACCATGTCTAGCTAATTTTTCTATTTTCAGTAGAGACAGGGTTTCGCCATGTTGGCCAGGCTGGTCTTGAACTCCTGACCTCAAGTGATCCACCTGCCTTGGCCTCCCAGAGTGCTGGGATTACCGGCGTGAGCCACCGCACCCGACCTACAGGTCTTTGTTCAAATGTCACTTCCTGAACCCCTTGATTCAAATTGCAACCCCACCCCACTCCTAGCCACCCCACGCCCAAGCCCCTTTTCTTACCATATTTTTCTTTTTTCTTTTCTTTTTCTTTTTTTTTTTTTGAGATGGAGTCTCGCTCTGTCACCCAGGCTGGATTACAGTGGCATGATCCCGGCTCACTGCAAGCTCCGTCTCCCGGGTTCACGCCATTCTCCTGCCTCAGCCTCCCAAGTAGATGGGACCACAGGCACCCGCCACCACGCCTGGCTATTTTTTTTTTTTTTTTGTATTTTTTTAGTAGAGACGGGGTTTCACCATTTTAGCCAGGCTGGTCTCGATCTCTTGACCTCGTGATCCACCCACCTCAGCCTCCCAAAGTGCTGGGATTACAGGCGTGAGCCACCGCACCTGGCCTAACCATATTTTTTTATACCACTTATCACCTAATATAATATATAACCGAGTGGTTATTATCCATGTCTAGCATCCCCCAAAAATGTAAACTCCATGAGAGTAGACGTTGGTCTGTCTGTTTAGTTTCCTGCTGTGTTATGGGGAAACTGTGCGTCTGGCACCTATAGGCCTCCATTATTATTATGATGATGATTTATTTATTTATTTTTGAGATGGAGTCTTGCTCTGCCGCCCAGGCTGGAGTGCAGTGGCGCGATCTCGGCTCACTGCAAGTTCCGCCTCCCAGGTTCACACCATTCTCCTGCCTCAGCCTCCCAAGTAGCTGGGACTACAGTCTCCCACCACCACGCCCCGCTAATGTTTTGTATTTTTAGTAGAGACGGGGTTTCACCGCGTTAGCCAGGATGGTCTTGATCTCCTGACCTTGTGATCTGCCCTCCTCAGCCTCCCAAAGTGCTGGGATTACAGGCGTGAGTCACGGCGCCTGGCTATTACTATTATTATTATTTTTTTGAGAGAAAGTCTCACTCTGTCACCCAGGCTGGAGTGCAGTGGCGCGTCCTTGGCTCACTGCAACCTCCACCTCCCGGGTTCAAGTGATTCTTGTGCCTCAGCCTCCCAAGTAGCTAGGATTACAGGTGCTTGCCACTCTGCCTGGCTGATTTTTGTATTTTTAGTAGAGTCGGGGTTTCACCACGTTGGGCAGGCTGGTCTCAAACTCCTGACCTCAGGTGATCCACCCGCCTTGGCCTTCCAGAGTGCTGGGATTACAGGTGTGAGCCACCGCACCTGGCCAGGCGTTCGTTGTTGGATGAAAGCATGAGTGAATAAATTTAGTTATTTGGAAGACATATTTACATTGTTAAAAGTCATTCTATGGAAATACTGGCTAAGGGCACAACAATTATATGAGAATTTTTTAACACAGGGCATATTAATTCATTGGCAAGTATTTATCAAGGTCACACTCTATGCAGATGCTGTGCATTGGAGATTTGCTTATTTTGTTTCCACCCACACTTTTGAGTTCCTAAAGCCTTTACCAAGTATTCCACATGCAGAGTCACTGACACACTACACATCCATGCACACATGCACGTGCACACACACAGACACACACACAGACCTGACACTCTGGTTCCTTCTTATAGCCATGCTTCGATCTTATCAGCTCTCTTATGTAAAAGTTTGACAAGTCTGGTCTATGTCGCCTTCAGAAAATTCTTAGAAATAGGAAATGATTATATTGATTAGAAATGATAATGTTTTCCCAGGAGTGAGCCTAGAATCATTATTTAACCACCGTTTATTGTAATGTTGGAGGCAGACATTGGATCTTGAGGAGTACACTGGGCATAGAGCAAAAACTTGAGTCCTAGCCCTGGATCCATCATTTAAGAACTGAATGATTCTGGCAAGTGACTTAACCACAAATAGCTAGTTCAGAGGTCTTTTTTTTTTTTTTACAGGACTTTGTAAGTTATAAAGTGCTACACAATTTTAAGGAATCATCATTATTTTGTTGAAAAGTAAAATAATGTATGACACAGCACTAGAATTAGGGATGAGATCTTGGTGATTCATGACTCTTGATATGCATGGGTATCAGTCTTGCTATCTCAGACAACTTCTGATGGAATTTGCTGTGCAACCTTCACATTTACGACCTCAGTTTCATCATGTGCAAAACAAGGTTTCTACCTAGTTCCAGCATGCTGGGATGATTTCTCTGACTGATTACAACTGACAGGATCAGTAAGTCTGTAGCAGGAATTGGGATGGATTCCCGTTGGCCCTGAAGCCTGGCGTGATGTTTCTCTAAGCGTGAAACTAAACTTTCTTAATTCATGCCCTCATTCATTCATTCAATAAATATTTATTGAATATCAGTTGGTGGCAGAGGCTGTACTAGATGTTGGGAATAACAAACGGAAGAAGACAAAAGTCCCAGTACTATCAGTGATCAAAGTTGAGTCAGAGAGCAGATTTTTTTTTTTTTTTTTTTTTTTTTGAGGCGGAGTTTCGCTCTGTTGCCCAGGCTGGAGTACAGTGGCGCAATCTCGACTCACTGCAAGCTCCGCCTCCCGGGTTCATGCCGTTCTCCTGCCTCAGCCTCCCGAGTAGCTGGGACTGCAGGCGCATGCCACCACACCAGGCTAATTTTTTTGTATTTTTAGTAGAGACGGGGTTTCACCGTGTTGGCCAGGATGGTCTCGATCTCCTGACCTCGTGATCCGCCCACCTCGGCCCCCCAAAGTGCTGGGATTACAGGCGTGAGCCACCGCGGGTGTACACACTAGGAGCCGTGAGGAGAGAGGAGCAAGGTTCAGGGGCCCACAGAGGCAGGCTTGCTCACTTTGTCTAGGAGAAACAGATGGGGCTTTGCACGGAGAAAACGTTTCAGTGGGACATCAGAGGAGAGGTGGGAATTAGCCAGGCAGGGGTGGGAAACAGGCATGGAATAATGTAGGGAAAGAATGTGGGCACACCCTGGGGTATTTCACTTTGGCAGGTGCATTGGCTGTGTGCTAGGCACTGTAGATGAAAATGCATGAATATTCAAGGCACAGAAAGCAGAAAGGATGGAGCTGATGAGGACTGGATTGTAAAATGCTTGTAGGCCATAGTTAAAACCCTTTCATGGGGACGTGTAATGGTTAAGGGCACAGACTTACTGCATTGTTGAATGCAAAAGACTACAGAGCATGTTCCCTTTGTGTAAAACTATGTACCTACACCATTCAGTCGTTCAACAGATTAACAAATACTAACTATACAAAACACTGGGGATACAGAAGCAAGTAGGACAGAATCCCTATCTCTGGGCGAAACATACCAATAAAGTGTAACAAATGTTTGATTACAGGAACGCCAAGCAGGAAGACAAATCTGGAGGATTTGGGCCAGGAGGGAATGGGCCAGGGAAGACCTCCCAGGGGAGGTGACATGTTAAGCTGAATCTTTTTTTTTTGGTGGTGGTGGGGTTGGGGGGGCACGGACAGAGCCTTGCTCTGTCACTCAGGCTAGAGTGCAGTGGCACGATCTTGGCTCACTGCAAACTCCGCCTCCTGGGTTCAAGCGATTCTCCTGCCTCAGCCCCCGAGGTAGCTGGGACTACAGTTGTGCACCACGTCACCAGGCTTATTTTTTGTATTTTTAGTAGAGACAGGGTTTCACCATGTTGGCCAGGCTGGTCTCAAACTCCTAATCTCAGGTGATCTGCCTGCCTCAGTCTCCCAAAGTGCTGGGATTACAGGCATTAGCCACCGCGCCCGGCCATTAAGCTGAATCTTTAAGGGTGACTACGAACTGTCCGGGTGACTCTAGTAGGAAGTATTCTAAGCAGAAATACGGGTGAAGGCCTGGAGATCTGAGGAGGTAACTGAGACTTTATCATGGCTGCCATGCAGTGTTCCGGGTGGGGGTCTATGGTAAAGAGTTTGGGTTTCACCCCAAGGGAAGCTGTTGCTGGATTTTGAGCAGGTGAGCAGTATGATAAGCTTTGTATTTTGGATATGCATATCTATATCCATGTAATGCACATGTCTCACCTCATCAGCTTGGTGTGCAAAATAAAGACACCCTTCCTTAATACTCAAGTCATAATGCCCAGGAGCCCCCACCCATTCAAATTGGAGGGAGGATTATATCTCTGAGATTCACTTCTCCAGATATTTCTGAAGATTCGTCTATGAATCAGACCCTTCAGGCTTACCTTGGCTGCCACCTCCCAAAGAACATGAACTTGGCTGTGTCCTTGTAGGCTGACCCCTCCATCGATGACCTGCTTCTGCTGGCTGTGTCCAGGGTGGCCTCCCTGAAGCCACCGGAGCAGAGGCCTGGTATCTTCTCAGAGCAGCAGCCAACCAGGCAGCTGGAGGAAACCCCTGGTCTCTTTTGCAGCCAAGTGAGTGTCTTCAGGACTCTACTTGCTGCCTCTGTATTGGCTGGTGCAGGCCTATTTCACCTCAGTGTCTCCCCAAGAGAAAAGGGGAGACCCTCCTCCCATGTCACATTCAGAAGAGGCCTCCTAGTAACTGGCCTGTAACTGTGACAACTCTGGTGGATCTAGGCACATAAGCAGATAGCCATTCATCAGAAGGCATGACCAAATCATCACGTGGCCATGTCGGGAGAGGCTGTAAGCTCAGCTGCAGGCCCTGTCTGGAAGCAGTGTCCCCCTCTGACCTCAGGAGGGGACACAGCCATCCTCCTGTCCAAAGATCAGTCCCAATTTCTTTCACGGCTGTCCAGGGGGAGAGCTGTTCAGGAGGATAGAGACCATTATTACCCATGCCTCTTACTTGCCATCCACATTTTGGGAGGCTGGCTGCCTGCAGCTGTCAGGGCAGCTCCTTCCCATCACAGGAACCACGTTGAGCCTCCCAAGGCCGGTCCTGGGCCTGCCCCCTCCTCCCTCAGCCCTCAGACTGGCCTAATTCCCTGCCCAGGATTATCCACTTTTCAGAATGAGTGACAATAGAAGCATCCACTTCCTGCAGGGATGCAGTACCTCCCCCATAACCTCACAGCCGACTGACTTTGGCATATTTTGCATGATTTGGTAAATGGTATATATGCATAGAGAAACTTCTGGAGTGTTGTTTTCTCAAATTTTAATAGCAGTGTCTCTGGAACTCAGGAGTTTTTACAATCTTCATTGTACTTTACTATGATATTTGATTTTTTTTCATTATAACTGTGCATCATACTTATAGGAAAATAATTTAAGCCTTGGAATCAGATAGCCTTTGGCAAATCAGATCATCCATTTCCTTATCTATTAAGTGGGAAAAATAATATTTCACAAGGTTATTGAGAAAAAAATCAATGCCATTTTTATTTTCATTCCTCATAACTGACATAATTGCATATATACACATCGTGTGATTATATTGTATACCCTGGTGGGTTTCCTTAAAACAGATTCCATTTTCCCTTTCTCTTTATTTTCCCCTCCCTCCCCTTCTAGTCTGTTCCACTCATGTCATGGCTCCAGGCTGAACCTGGGCCCATGACACAACCCACACAACCATGTTGACAACCTTGAATGCACCTTCCAAGTTTTTTTTTTTTTCCTTTTTTTTTTTTTTTAGACAGAGTCTCTCTGTCACCCTGGCTAGAGTACAGTGGCGCAATCACGGCTCACTGCAGCCTTGATCTATCCAAGCCCAGGTGATCTTCCCACCTCAACTTCCTGAGTAGCTGGAACTACAGGCGTGAACCACGAAGCCCAGCTAATTTTTTAATTGTTTGTAGAGATGAGGGTCTCGCTTTGTTGCCCAGGCTGGTCTCAAACTCCTGGGCCTCAAGTGATCCTCCTGCCTTGGCCTCCCTCTTCCATGTTTTTTTCCATGGTAATTCAATAATAAAAGTATATAGCTATATTCCCACATATAAATGGTTTTTTGATCATTTTAAAAAAGAAATCGGCCAGGTGCAGTGGCTCACAACTGTAATCCCAGCACTTTGGGAGGCTGAGGCAGGTGGATCACCTGAGGTCAGGATTTTGAGATCAGCCTGACCAATATGGTGAAAGCCCATCTCTACTAAAAATACAAAAATTAGCTGGGGCGTGGTGGCAGGTGACGGTAGTCCCAGCTACTCAGGAGGCTGAGGGAGGAGAATTGCTTGAATCCGGGAGGCGGAGGTTGCAGTGAGCTGAGATTGTGCCACTGCACTCCAGCCTCAGTGACAGAGCGAGACTCCATCTCAAAAAAAAAAAAAAAAAGAAATCATATTATACTCAATTCCATGTATCCTATGTATCCTGCTTTTCTCACTCAACAATACTTTTTGTAACTTCATCCTAGTCACGTGGCAAAGCTCTGATTTTAATGGCTGGATTCTGTTTCATAATTTGGAGATATAATTTGTCATCTGTGCCCATGTTATCAATATTCACTTTGTTTCTAGTTTTTGCCACTATGAACAATACTACAACATGTGTGTGCACTTACATACACACACTCACACTCACACACACACTCACACCCACACACACTCACACCCCCCCCCACACTCACACCCACACACACACACTCCTTTGTTATACTGATGATTTTATTTCTTTGTAATAGGCTTTCAGAAATGGGATTTCTGGGGAAAATATAGCCAGTCAACAATATTTCCAGTGTGTGCTAAGCACTAAGTGTCTTTTACATAGTAATTGCTTAATAAAGTGATGTTTGCTATTATTCTTGTTATAAGCTGGGGAGTCATATTTTGAAAAAGTGTAGTCATTTATGGGAGTCCTACTTATTTAAGATACATTTACTTTAAAGACACAGGTTATCTGTAATAACTGAACTAACAACTGTCCTTTCCTTGTTTATACAAAGTCCAAAGGAAATAGGACTGCATTGGAAAACTAAAATAGACATGAAAGTTTGCCTCCTCATTTCCTCCTTGCCATTTCAAATCCATTTCCTCAGTGAGACAGGAACCCAGAAGCTGAAGATTTTGCTCCCATAATTGGAGATTCTTGTTTCGCATTTTTAAAAAAAATTGTTATGAGCTTCTTTGCATATCTGATTTGAAAAACAAAAAGAGAGCTCATTAAAGAGTTTTTCTATTATGGAGAGGCAATAAGGAACCAACTCGTAGCTTTTCAATGAGATGAATGAATAAGTGCCTGTGTCTGCAGCCCCACATCTGCCTTCTCAGGGCAGAAGTTTGCAGGAGAAATCAGGCAATTTCTAGTCTGAAGGTTCTCCTTGTTATATTCAGCTACTCACAATGAGAATTGAGGCTGCAGCTTGTGAAGAGAGGGCAGTTTTGCAAAATGCACATTTGGTGGATTCTGGACATGAGCCATTTGACCAAAACGTCAAAGCATGACAGATTTCTAACTCCGGACTGAAATGGAAGCTTGTGCATTGGCTGAAAGCCAGTCCTGGACTCCTGGACACAGCCGAGAGCCCAGAATGTGAGGGAAATTCTGTGTGAGAAAAGGCATACCCACAGTTTTAATGAGAAGGGAAATTGGAGCTTCCATTTTCCTACTGCCTTGTTCGCTTTTTGTCTGGACACCTTTGAGCCAAAGGAAGCTGGGGAGGCCCATGTGGGTGCCCTTCCGATTCTGAGCCGTCAAACTGGCACGCTGTCCACACGGGTGGAGGCAAGCGTCAGAGTCCCGGGCTGTTTCTCAGCAATTGTCCAGCTCTTTCTGCTCTCTTGCTTTCTGTCTGGTTTGCATTTCAGTGAATGCCTAACTTCTTGTTTTCTGGCTTTTAGGCCCATTTTTGGCCCCATAATAACCTCTTGGACAGAATTGTTTTCCTAGTTTGACCCTCATCAGTCAGATTTTTTCATTTTATTTTAATCGTTTTTATTTTTATTTTTTTGAGATGGGATCACTCTATCACCCAGGCTGGAGTGCAATGGCAAGATCATGGCTCACTGCAGCCTTGATTGCCCAGGCTCAGACAATCCTCCTGCCTCAGCCTCTCCAGTAGCTGGAACTATAGGCACCACTGCCCTTGACTATTTTTAAAATTTTTTTGTAGAGATGAGGGGAATCTCGCTATGTAGCACAGACTGGTCTTGAACTCCTGGCCAGAAGTGGTCCTTCTGCCTCAGCCTCCCAAATTGTTGGGATTACAGTCGTGAGCCACTGTGCCCAGCCTGATTTTCCTGTTTTGATCCAACTCCAGTTCTAAAACCCTATTTATCTCCCAGCATCGGGTTGTCCTCTTGAAAGGGAAATTGGAAGTTACAGTGATGGGGTCAAGGGCTCAGTTTTCAAGGTGGAGGCTTAGACAGAACTCATTTCAGACCTGAAGAAGGAAAAGCTGATTGATGCTCACATGCCAACTTTGTTTCCTAGCTTGTCCTACATCCAATCTACCTTGTCTTAAAGAGGTTCAAAAGTTTGGTCCTTATCTATGGAGCAGCTACTCTGGGCAAGGCCAGGACTTATATTAACCTTGTTAGGTGCCAAGAATGGCCAGGCCTCAAAGTATCAGACCAGATAAATCCCTGTCTCCAAGGAGCTCGCAGCCTGAATTTGAAGACCCAAATATTCAGAGGAGAAATGTCTCAGTTCAAAGTTAGCTGAGTTAGCGGCCAATGGTAGGAGGATGGAGGAAATTGTGTAAGAATTCAGAGGAGGAGAATGTCCTTGGGGGCTGGAGTAGGGAGGACATAGGATCACAGCCCACCCTTGACAGGTGAGGAAAGGAAGAGATGCAACAGTTACTAAGTGCCTACTAGGTGCCAGTGTTAGCGTAAGAGATTTGGCTGGTTATCTCTGGTTATTCTTAGGACTGGGGTTGGAGGGAAGAGTGCAGTAGGCATTTCCATCAGGGAAATGGTGCAATTAAACTACTGACAGCCTGGTCTGAGCCATAGCTGACTCTATTCAAGATAGGTGCTTACCAAATACACTTCTCTGCCAGGGTAGAAACAGCCACAATCTGCGTGTATTCAAGAGCTAAGGAGCATGTTTCATTGGCTTGCTCCACAGTCACGATGAATTGTTTGAGCACCTGCAATGCTTTGAGTGCTTTGTAAATTATGAAGTGGGAGGAGATCACTGTGGATCCAGGGATCTGCTGAGGGTCTTAGCCTCACTTCACAGGCAGATGCTCAGTGGTTTCAGGGTGAGAAAGATTATGGGAACTTTTGTGGCTTTATTGAAAAATCTCACCCAAAACACCACTTCTCATCTCTTATCTAGCAAGAAGAGCAATGAAAAACAACAAAGGAGAAAATTTTAAAAATCAGACCATGTATGTTTAAGTTCTTAATACCTGTATTTATTCCTATAGTTTGTTCAACAAGTGTTTTCTCAGATGCTTCCTAAATGCTGTGGTAAACAAAATTGACAGGGCTCTGGACCTTGTGTTTACAGTCTAGTTGGAAAGGTAGACATTAAAAAAGGCAACACACAAGCGTGTGATTACAAAGCATTCTGTAAATTAAAAAAACAAAAACAAAAAAGGCCAGGCATGGTGGCTCACACCTGTAATCCTAGCATTTTGGGAGGCCGAGGTGGAAGGATTGCTTGAGCCCAGGAGTTCAATTCCAGCCTGGACAACATAGGGAGACCCCACCTCTACAAAAAATTTTTAAAAATTAGCCAAGTATGGTGGCGTGTGCCTGTAGTCCTAGGTACTAGAGAGGCTGAGGCGGGAGGATCACTAGAGTCAGGAGGTCAAGGCTGCAGTGAATTGTGATCGTGCCACTGTACTCTGGCCTGGGAGACAGAGCAGGAGAAGGCACCTGGGAGGCCTCCCTGAGAAGGTGATGTTTCACATGAGACCTCGCCAATGAGAGGATTCAAACAGGCCAAGTAGGGCATGGCACGTGCTCTTGGCCTGGTCACGTGACCCATTGGAACTAGTGAAATGGAGATAACCTGAGGCCTGAGCCCCAGGGTTGTCATGGAGATGAAACTATTTAATGTGTATAAGTCACCTGGCCCCGTGCCTAGTACATCCTGGAGGCACCGAGCAAATGTTTGCTGAATCTGGTTGGCAAGTCCCTCCCTGCCCTTGCATTCCAGGGTTCCCCATTTCTCTGTGACTTTGACCCCAGGGAACCCCACCCTTGCTGTAGATGCTTGCTGTGGCCTCTCTGGCTACCTGTAGAAACAGAGACCAGTTGGGAGCAGGGATCTGCCTGGACCCATGACCCTGGCTTCCTTGCGATGCTCGTTGATGCCTGGAGTCAGCACCTCTGTCAGCAAAGCAGTCACAGGCTGCTTCTCTCCAGAAGGAAAACTGTCAGCTCTGTCCCACCCATCCACATGAATGACAACAATACTGAACTAGAGGCAGATGATATTGGGGAATTCGTACATAGAGCAAATCATCTCTTCATTGTGCTTTATGGTTACACATACACATCTGTTTTATATCAACTGACCATCACTTGTAACTTTGTGAGCCAGACGGGCAGGTCCCAAACCATGCTGTTTCACAGCAGAAATGGAGACTCGCATGCTTGTGTGGAAAAGTGACTTGCTAAGAGTCACGCAGGTTGTCAGAGATGCAGACCTGGGCATCTGCCTCTCCTTACACCATGACATACCTTGTTGAATGACTGAGACACCAGTGACACCGGTGACAGGACGCAGGAGAGGACTTGGGGCAGGGAGGCGCCTGCTCATAACCCTCTCTGACTTCCAACTGCAAACCCTTACTGGCTGTTGTCCTCTGCCAGGCACTGTGCTGAGCCCCATGGAGGCACCAGCCTCTTCGATGGTGGCATTTTAAGGCCTACAATGGCAGAGAAACGTCGTGGAGGAGTGAGGGTATTTCCAGCCATGGCTGGAAACTGACCCTGAATCCGAGCGTTCTCTGGTCTGGACAGAGTGCCAGGCCTGTGGCAAAGCAGGTAACCTTTGAAACGGAATCTGATCTGCTGTCGGCCACTGCCCAGGCCACAGTCTGCCAAAGGGACAGCTGAACGAAAGGCTCAACTTCCTCCTTCATCAGCTCCAAGTTCCAGGACAAGAGGCAGAACCAGGTGCCACCGAGCCTGCCACAGGTAAAGCTGCTTCTCTGTCTTAGGCCTCCCTGCTCTCGTCCTCAGGGCACTTCTCACCCCCTCCATCCCTGCTGACGCTGAGTGCTATCACCCCCAAGGAAGGACGCTTCCTGGAATGCCCAGCCTGCCACCCAAGAGACTCCCCTCAGGGCACCCACTGCTGGATCCAACAGGTCTGCCCCAGTGCCAGCCCCTAGAACCACAGGCTTCTGTAAGCTTCGACTTCCACATGCAAACCAAGTACGCTCAGCCTTTTAAAGTGCAATCCTCTTTGTTCAGAATGTTCTTCCTCCTGTGGCCAGGCTGACTCCTTTTCTCAATCCTCAGGTCCCAGGAGGGCTGTCACTGCCCAGCACCTCTCCCCAACCTCCTGTGTGCTCTCTGAGCATTGTGTACCCGCTCCTGGTGCCACACAGACTCTTGCCATGACCTCTTCTTTGTCTCTGTTTCCATTGGCTGTGTCTCATTCTCCATTGCATCTGCAGCACCCAGCCCTGCACCTGGCACATAGAAGACCCTCAGTGGTATTTCATCAATAAATGGGAATGGTCTTACCCTTCCATGCCCACAGACACACTTGCACCCAGACCTCTGCAGCCCCTGCCCTCCCAATGACCTTGCCTTGGAGACTCTGCAGTTCTCACCTTTGACAGCTTTCTGAGAATTCGACCGTCCCCAGGCTGTCCTCTTCATTGATGCCTTTGCCACTTAAACCAAAATATGCTGTGCTTTTCTAGGTTTCTGCTTCTTGCCAAGTGTCTATCTCTTACTCTACCGACCATCACCATTGACGTGTGTGAGGGGACATCTGGAAGCACAGTCCTCTAAGGTGTGTGTGTCAAGATAGGGTTTGGGTGGCAGAGGGAGGCCCAAGTGCTGGTGGGTTCACCCACAAGGATTTGCTGACAGCTAGCTACACACCTTCCTGTTCTTTGAGAATTTCAAACGTGAGTAGATCAGCCCTTGCCATCCAAGAGCTTAGGTTGAGGGTCTGAGGGTGGAAAACACAATGAACACAAAGCTTAATTCCAGAATGGATGCCAATAATGGCACATACCATCTGCTAAGCACCTACTGTGTGTGGGCATTTAACGGTCACTGTCTTCCATTTATATAACAACCTTGCGATTTATGAATTAGAGAACCATCTTACAGGTTACAAAATTGAGATAAGTGAGCTGCCGTCTATATCAGAGAATAGAAGGTTCTGAGACCAAGATTTGAAACCAGACCTTGCCAAGGAATGACCAAAATTCATTCCTTACCAAGATGTCACTTTGGGGGCCTTATCTTAAAAGTGCTTTTCTGCCAGTTTCAATGCTCTTGAGAGGACAGTCTCCCCCTCGAAGGCTCCTAGCAACATCGCTGGGCAGGCTGGGCTGCTAAGAACACCTGTGTTTAATTTAGGTGGTGACTCAGAAGTCCCATGCCCAAAATAGGTGACACAGGCACACATAAACTGTGGCCTCCTTTTTCTACCTCCAGCCCTAACCTCTGACCCTACTGTCTGTGATTGGAAAGAAACGAAACAGTGGTACTGGGAAGAGCTGTTCCCGACCTAAACCTTGCACACAAATGGTGTCAGCAGGCACAAATCAACATGAAGATTATTAAGGGGAAACAAGCGGAAAAAATACAACTCACTAGGAATTCCTAAGTGGAGGGGCTGGGGTGTGTGTTTGTGTGTTTGTGTGTGTGTTTGTGTACATGTTTTTAACTCATCCAGATTGGAAAAAAAATGTGCCTGCAAAGGTTTCACCTTTACTTTCTCAAACCAAAAGAGATCATGTCAAGATGCCAGTCAATTGGGAGGAACTGAGGGTGAAGCCCCAGCAGGAGGGCCCTCTCTTTTCTCTTTTGAAACTTGGTGATGGCCAGGTACAGTGGCTTATGCCTGTAATCCCAGCACTTTGGGAGGCCGAGGCAGGTGGATCACCTGAGGTCAGGAGTTCCAGACCAGCCTGGCCAACATGGGGAAACCCCATCTCTACTAAGAATACAAAAATTAGCCAGACATGGTGGCACGCGCCTGTAATCAAAGCTACTCAGGAGGTTGAGGCATGAGAATTGCTTGAACCCAGGAGGCGGAGGTTGCAGTGAGATGAGATCACACCACTGCACTCCAGCCTGGGTGACACAGTGAGACTCGTGAAAGAAGGAAAGAAAGAAAGAAGGAAAGAAAGAAAGAAAGAAAGAGAGAGAGAGAGAGAGAGAGAGAGAGAAAGAAAGAAAGAAGGAAAGAAGGAAAGAAAGAAAGAAAGAGAAAGAAAGAAAAGAAAGAAAGAAAGAGAAAGAAAAGAAAGAAAGAAAGAAAGAAAGAAAGAAAGAAAGAAAGAAAGAAAGAAAGAAAGAAAGAAAGAAAGAAAGAGAAAGAAACTTGGTGTCCCCAGTGCATGCCTCAGCAGCTGTGGGATTGAAAAGTTATACATATTTTTTCCCATTGAGTAAACAAGTCTACCATTAGAAGCAGGACTTCCTTCTTGATATACTTGGATGGAGACGATTTGTTTGAAAATGAGTCTGTTTAAAATGAACACAGCCGCTCCCCCCGCGAATCTGCGGGCAATCTGACATCTTTGGAGCTCACTCAGAATGACACACTGAGCAAAATTCCACCACGTTAAATTCGAGTAGACTTGACATGGTGGAAAGATCACAGGCCTGGGGCAGAGGGCCTGGCCCCTGCCCTCGCCCCTGGGGCCCTGTGAGAGCCAGGACAGGCCCTCCCCTCATCCAGCGGCCGTGGAGCCCTGGGTCTCTTCCTGCAGCTCGTTTCTCTCGTGTGAGGCAGACACAGTGCAGCGCTCTCTTGAGGTCTCTGTGGCATTTCTGGAATGTCCTTCTTCCCCAGTTCTGCTGTTCTTTCTCCCTAGCGTGAAGGCAGGGAAATAAAGAGGCCTATTTATAGTGGGCTGGGCCAAGGCAAGCTCATCTCAAAGCTGAGTATTTATGACTGTTAGTGTCTCAGAGACAACCTGTGAATGGCCTGGCGTCTCTCCAACGGTGTGGTGTGGACTTGGCACCACTTCGCACGGCACTGGAGCTGGGTGCTGCCTTCCAGCTGGGCGTGTGAAGGGCCCGTGCAAAGCCTCTGCCTCCCCTACCCCGGCTCTCAGGGCCCTGAGGAGCTTACGGGCTGGAAATGGCCACTTCCTGAAGAACGGTAACCAGCCCCTGTGTAGGCAACAACTCACGCGCGCCCACGGAAACTCAGAGGCGTGGCTGTTACTATCCATATTTTAAAACGCAGTGATGGCTCCAATGCATTTGTTCTGTGTAAGGTAACGGGCTATTCTAGACAAGCTTTGGGGTATCTGCCTCTCCAACTTATGCCCTTTACTTTGTGAACGAATCCCACCCACAGCCATGATCACTCAGTGTGACTTCGTTACCCTGGCCTTGGTTAATTGGACCAGCGATGGGCCGGTGACCCAGGCTAAGCCAATAACATATTCTCTCCGAAAGTTTTGCTTCCAGATTCCCTTCTTAGCCTCTGTTGGGCCCTTGACTGGGGAGCCCAGTGAGGCCAGGCCTGGGCAGCTGAGCTTGTCATCTCAAACAGAAGCAAAGGAAGCTTCTCTGCAGAGCAGTCAATGAAACTGTCACACAATGACCCCAGAAGTCCTGACAGATGGTTCTGCCAGCTTCCCTGTTCCAGTCACTCTCGAAGCCTTTGGTTCCCGGAGATTCTACTGCTCTATCTTTTTGAAACAGAATGTTCTATTAGGGTTTAAATTTATGTAACACAATAGCCTATTGGAAGATTTTTTAAAAAAAAAACTTACTGGAAAAATCTACCAGCTGCTATCTGGAGACACAAAGACAGAAGGTCCCTAGAGGGCAGATCCTGAGTAGCCTCACTTAGACGGGGAGGCAGGGGCAAGCCCCGACATGGCAAAGCCAGCCCCTCCGTATGTCCCAGCCAAAACCAGCGTTGGAGAAGGGCAGTGGGGCCGCTGATGGCTATCGTGTGTGAGAGCCAGGGCCGGAGCCAGCTATGGTGCTTCCCTCATGACTTAGAAAGCAGCTCCTGTGAGCATCCAGGTACTTCTGGGCAGTTGGATTTTCCAGGTTAAGGCAGTGAGACTGGGCTCTCCCATTCCTTCCAGCCTCCCCACCCATACTGCCTGTCACATGGGGCTTTCTGGACTTAGAAGGGGAATCCACTGGCTTCATAAAGTAAATATTGCCATCTGAGACCTGGCTTCAAACTCTGAAGTAGAACACCCCAGTTACACTTCCAGTAACTTTCCCTTTCTTGCTTAAACTACTTTGGGTGAGACTTTGTTCTTGTGATGGAAAGAGCTTCGTTGAAGTGACAAATGCTGGGGGATGCTGAGTCCACATCCCGGTCTGTCTGACTCCAAATCTGAGTGACTCTGAGTCCAGAGGTCATTCGACTTCACATCAAGGCCTCTCTGATGCCGCCTCGCATCCCCTGAGAGCTTGGCAGACCTGGAGGCTCTCGTCAGAATTCCCCAACAAAATCTGTGTTTTAACAAGTTCCCTGGTACCCCTGGGGGGGCACTGATCTGATTCACCCACCAGCCTCCCAAGGCCCTGTAGTGCTGAGCTGTGGACCTCACTAGGACGCTCTCCTTGTCCCTGCCACTAGCTCCAGTGGGATCTCAGGCCAAGACCTCTCCTACCCTTGGCTCCCATTAACTTCTTTATAAAACAAAAGGCCCTCCCTGGTCCTGAGCTGAGGTGGCATCAGCTGTTCCCTTCAAAAAAGTGGCCCAGAGAAGCGGGGAGTAGAGAGTGACTGCTAATAGGTACAGGATTTCTTTTTAGAGTAATAAAAATATTTTAGAATTAGACAATGGTGATGGTTATCCAACTCTGTGACTGCACTAAAAACCATTGACTTGTACAACTTAAAAGGGGGACATTTTATAGTATGTGAACTATAGCTTAATAAAGCTGTTATTAAAAAACAATGGTACAGTACTTGAGAAAGAGAAACAATAAACCTTGGTAAAAAATAGGTTCAGTTTTATCTCAAAGCCCTATGGCTTCTCTACAGGAAGCCTTTGCTTTTGTTCTGTATCTCATGGTTTCTCTTCACAAGGCCGTTATGAAGCTCAGATGGCGCAATGGCTCAGAAGAGATTTGCAAAGGAATAAGCGAGAGATCAGAGCAGGGAACGCAGGTCAACAGCAGCCCCTCCTCCCTGTCTGCCTTCCCCTGAACCTCCGTGCAACCAGAGCCTCTGGGGAGAGGCAGGTACATCTTGTGTTTCTTTTCAGTGCAACTGTAGCTGGCCGGATGCCACAGGACATTTACTTTAAAAGAATATTTAAAAAATTTTTTTAGAAAAATGAAGGTCTCGGGACTGGGCACGTGGCTCATGCCTGTAATCCCAGCACTTTGGGAGGCGCAGGCGGGAGGATCACTTGAGGCCAGGACTTCAAGACCAGCCGGGGCAACATAATGATACCCCGTCTCTACAAAAACTTTTAAAAAATAGTCAGGTGCAGTGGTGAGTGCCTGTAGTCCCAGCTACGAGGGAGGCTGAGGCAGGAGAGTGGCTTGAGTCCAGCAGTTTAAGGTTGCAGTGAGCTGTAATCACACCACTGCACTCCCGCCTGGGCGACAGAATGAGAAAGAAAAAATGTTTTTAAAAAATTTGTCTCTAAGAAAAAATGTTTTTAAAAAACATTTTTTTAATGAAGGTCTAGTCATCAAGACCCAAGACCCCACTGTCTGGCAGGTCATCTTGGGGAATTCCTATCCATTTAGCTTCCCCAGGTCCAGGAACTTCCTTGGACCTCCTGGGTTGACTGCCCCCATGTTGCCCCGGCCAATGCTCAGTAACATTTGTTGAATGCCTGATTGTGGCCCACATTTAGAATTATTAGAGAAAGGCCGGGCGCAGTGGCTCATGCCTGTAATTCCAGCACTTTGGGAGGCTGAGGTGGGCAGATCACTTGAGGTCAGGAGTTCGAGAACAGCCTGGCCAACATGGTGAAACCCTGTCTCTACTAAACATACAAAAATTAGCTAGGCATGGTGGCACACACCTGTAATCCCAGCTACTCGGGGGGCCAAGACAGGAGACTGTCTCAAAACAAACAAACAACAAAACAGAATTATTAGAGAAAGAACATTTAAGGAAGTGAGAAAATGTGGTAAGGTATGAAACCTTGGCCTGTTGAAAGCCAAAATCACCTTCTGATTAGGAGGGGCCTGGCCTCCAACCTCCCTGGAGAACGGTTTGTTCCCCTCCTTTGCAGCCAGGTTGCAAACATTTATGACCCATTTAATCATGCTCAGTGTTTGGAGCCACACAGAGAGGGCTTCTGCAGGCTCGGACGTCATCTCGGGGCGAAGGGTGGTGTTTGATGTGTCACGCGATGAAATGCTCCCCACTCCACTCATGGTTATTATTTTTTTGCCTTTAAGCAGACAGAGTCCATCAGAGATTAGAACTCTGCCAGAGTTTCTGGGTTGAGTGATGAAGCACAAATGTTTCCCTTTCCAACGCTCTCGGAACTGTCAGCCTTATTTCTATGGCTGTCATTCTCTTATTCACAAAAACGAAACCGGGCTAAGCTGCCCTTCCTCCCTGGGCTTTTTCCAGCCTGAAGTCTCTGAAATAGCCATGTTTGTTGTAGCAGCAAGTGGGAATGTTGTCTGCTGTGATAAATGGCCCGTCCCTTCCCCTAAAATAGCCACTGGACTTCCTGGGAACTTTCCTCTCAGTCCTCTGATGAGGGAGGGTCTCGGTGGGCCTGTGGGGACTCAGCAGGGGCTACCTGGTTCAGGCTGGCTCCTTCTCCTTAAAAGCAGAACGAGGGCCCATTCGAGTCAGAATGAGCCCCTGCAGAGCTTCTTAACCGTATACAACCCCGGGCAAGCTATTTTGCCTCTCTGAGCCTCGTTTTCTCACCACATTTGGGCCAAGGAGAAGACTAAATGAGATACTATATGAAAGGTGCTGGGCCCAGATCAGACCCTTAATAAACAAGAATTCAGGCAGGCAGCGGTGAGGTTCTTGCCTGCTCCCTTTCACCCATAGATGCCTCCTGTCACTGCCTAGTGGCTGAGCTCTGGGAAGGGAGGCAGGGGACCCACCTCACTCCCTGCCCTGTGCGTACAGCCTAAGCCAGGCTCACTGAGTCCCTCACCACCTCCTTTGTTCAGTAAACATTGACTGGGCATCTGCTGTGCCCCAGAGCCTGCAGGAGGCCATGGGGACAAGGACAAGTCAGACATGGCTCTGGCCCTCAGTACAGAGATCTCTACAGGATGCAAGGGACCCTAATTGATCTGTTGTACAGTGGGAGTTCGAAATGCCATGGGCAGGAGAGAGAGAAGCCTGGCATTGACTGGAAGCTTCCAGAAAGGTTGCTTCTCTTACTGAGGCTGGGCCACACCCTGGGCTGTTGGGAGCCCCCCACCATGCCTTGTTTTGTTCAGCTCTGGCATACGGTAACCATGTATTACCAGCAGGAATTAAAGGAGCTTTAGGAAATCAGTGATCATTGAGACAGGGTCTTGCTCTGTCACCCACGCTGGAGTGCAGTGGCGTCATCATGGCTACACGTCATCATGGCTACATCATGGCATCACTGCAGCCTAGACCTTCTGGGTTCAAGCAATTCTCCCACCTCAGCCTCCCGAGACGCTGGAACTACAGTCATGCATCACCACACTTGGCTAATTTTTTATTTTTTGTAGAGACAGAATCTCACTATGTTGCCCAGACTGGTCTCGAACTCCTGGGGAGCCCAGCAGTTCTAAAAGCTGATTACCATAAAGGCATCTTGAGTTTGGGTCTGAATTCCCTGGCAGCTAAAACAAAGGGAGGAACATATTGAGTTACATAGTTTTCTTTTTCTGACAAAAGAATGCATACAAATTGACTTGAAGAGCCGGGCATTTTCCTGGAATGAAGTGCCTGCCAAAACATGCTGAGGGTAAAAGAGACACTGGGTTGTGGAATGGACCGAGGCTTCCACCACAGTATTGCAAAAGACCCACAGACGCTGCTCAAACAGACGATGCTTGTAGGACATTCCCAAAAAGGCAGAGGCCACCAGGAACATCATAACTCAGGGAAGGCACTTCTACCTTTGATGTCCCTGTTCTCTTAGGACAAGTACAAGAAGAACCCAATGAAAATATGGCTTCACCTACATCCCCAAACCACAGCAGAGCCCTCAGAGTGGCTTCACTGCAAGGATCCAGCATCTCCATTCATGGTCTGTGGATGGTTGACATTTGAAGAAAACACCCAACCACATATGCATATGTGTATCCATGTACACATTATATGTATGTGTGTGTATACACATGCAGTTTTTTATGATTGTAAAACTAGTGCTAGTGTTCTTTGCAGAAAATTTTGAAATATAGAAAAACATGAAAAAAGTATATGCCAGTAACAGCAATTCAGAAAGATAACCTCAATTAGACCTTGCTATATTTATCTGTAGTCATTTATCTACATGTGAGATATATATACATATATCTCTGAATGTGACCCTAGGGTCATTGGGTCATTCTCTGCGCCTTTTTTTAATCTCAAACTTTTTCATTTAACAAGATTTTACATATATATATATATACGTATATATATGTATATATATATATACGTATATATACGTATATATATGTATATATATATACGTATATATACGTATATATATATGTATATATATACGTATATATACGTATATATACGTATATATGTATATATATACGTATATATACGTGTATATATACGTGTATATATACATATATATATACGTGTATATATACGTGTATATATACATATATATATACGTGTATATATACGTGTATATATACATATATATATACGTGTATATATACGTGTATATATACATATATATACATATATTTAGGCAGGGTCATGCTGTGTCACCCAAGCTGGAGTGCAGTGGTGCAATCATGGCTCTCAGCAAACATGACCTCTCGGGCTCAACTCATCCTCCCATCTCAGCCTCTTGAGTAGCTGGGACTATAGATGGGCACCATCATGCCTGGCTAATTTTTTAAAAAAAGTTTTGTAGTGATGGAGTTTTGCCACATTGCCCAGGCTCAAGTGATCCTTCCACTTTAGCAGTCCAAAATGCTGGGATTACAGGCATGGGCCACCATGCTGGGCTAAGGTGGGGCATTCTAAAATTCAAGAGGAAAGACTTTATTGAAAGTATTTTTGTTGCAATGATTAGAAAAATCATATTTTTAAAACACTAAGCTAAATTATAAAAACTAAACTGTTATGAATGAACTGAGAGTTAAAACAAACAGTACATTAAAAAATTCATTGTGTGTTTTTTTTTAAATTTTCCCTGTGAAGTGTAATTTATGTACAGAGAAGGGCACAAAATAAATGTATAGCTTAGTCAATATCCATCATCTGGGTCAATAAATAGACATTGCCAGAACCGGAAATACCTCCTCATGCCTCCTGCCAGTCACTACTTCCTTCCTCCTTCTCAAAAGTAAACACTTACCCTGATTCTATTATTCATTACTTCTTAGTTTTGCCTGTTTTTTAAACAACTTTTTTTTTTCCTTTTTTTTTTTTTTGAGACAGAGTCTCGCTCTGTCGCCCAGGCTGGAGTGCAGTGGCGCGCTCTCGGCTCACTGCAACCTCCGCCTCCCGGGTTCACGCCATTCTCCTGCCTCAGCCTCCCGAATAGCTGGGACTACAGGCGCCCGCCACTACGCCCAGCTAATTTTTTGTATTTTTAGTAGAGACGGGGTTTCACCGTGTTAGCCAGGATGGCCTCGATCTCCTGACCTCGTGATCCTCCTGCCTCGGCCTCCCAAAGTGCTGGGATTACAGGCATGAGCCATGGCGCCCGGCCAAAACAACTTTTTATACTTAGAATCGAATGTGTGTATTCTTTTGCATCTGCTTTCTTTTGCTGCATACTACGCTTGTGAGAATCCGTACATTGTTGCATTAACCGTACGTAGTTCCTTCATTTTCCTTGCTGCATAGTATTCTATTGTGTGAGTCCACCATAATTATTTTTATTACTTTACCTCTGATGGAAGTTTAAGTTGTTTCCAGCTTGGGGGTACTTATAAATAATGCTGCTCTAAATATTCCACATGCCTCTTGGCCTCTTGGTAAGCATACGTTTCTGGTGAATACTTACTTAGGAGTAAAATTGCTGGATGTAGGGTATGTCTGTCTTCAGTTTTAGTGGATAAAGCCGAACTGTTTTCCAGAGTGACTGCATCTGTTCATATTCTCACTGTGAGAAAGCTCCTGTTGCTCTACACCTTATGAACAATTGCTATTATCAGATTTTTAAGCTTTATTCATTCTGGTGAATGTGGTTTTATTAAATAATTTGCATATCCCTAGTAACTAATGAGGCTAAGCACTTTTTCATATGCTTAATGACCAATCACATATCTGATCGTGAAGGATCCGTTCTGATCTCTTGACCGTGTTTCTAATGGTTTGTCTTTTCCTTATTGATTTATGGGAATTCTTTACATATTTTGGATACTCTGTTGTATTCATTTCCTATTGCTGCTGTAATAAATTACTACAAACTAAGTTAAAACCCTGCAAATGTATTCCCTTATTGTCTGCAGGTGAGAAGTCCAAAATCATTCTCAAGGGGTTGAAATCGAGGGGAGAACTGTTCCCTTGCCTTTTCTAACTTCTAGAAGTCACCTGCATTCTCCAGCCTGTGGCCCTTTCCACACATCACTCTAATCTCTTGCTTCTGTTGTCACATCTTCTGCTACATCTCTGCCTCCTTCTTATAAGAACTCTCATGATGCACTTGGAGGACCACCTAAATAATCCAGTCTAGTCTTCCCATTGCAGGATTCTCAGCTTAACCACATCTGCAAAGTACCTTTTTCCATGTAAGGTAAAACAGTCACAGGTTCTGGGCATCTGGATGTGGACATCTTTGGGGGGTCATTATTCTGACTACCACGTCTAGTATACAAAGCTAACAAAAAATAAATTTTTTTCAAATCAAACTACTACTAAGGTACCAAATCAAAGTGTCAATTTGAAAAGATAATAGTAACACCCAGTGCTGGTCAGAAGAGTGAATTACTAGCCTCTTGGAGAGCATTAGACAACACCTATGAAAGGCCTTAAAAAGGCCTATTCCTTTCGACCCTCTAATTCCACTTCCAGGACTTTGGCATCATCAGACACTGGGGAAGGGTGCAGCCATTAAAAACCATACTTAAAAGATACTTAATGGGCTGGGCGCAGTGGCTTATGCCTGTAATCTCAGCACTTTGGGAGGCCAAGGCGCGCAGATCATCTGAGGTCAAGAGTTTGAGACCAGCCTGGCCAACATGGCAAAACCCCATCTCTACTAAACATACAAAAATTAGCCAGGCGTGGTGGCATGTGTCTGTAATCCCAGCTACTCAGGAGGCTGAGGCAGGAGAATTGCTTGAACCTGGGAGGCAGAGGTTGCAACGAGCCGAGATGGAGCCACTGCACCCCAGCCTGGGTGACAAAGTGAGACTCCATCTCAAAAAAATAAAAATTAAAATTAAAAATAAAATAAAAAGATAAAAATGAAAGATACTTAATGGCATGATACACATTACAAGATATACCACAATATGTTAAGTGCCATTTACCTAAGTGTGTTTCTCAGAACATTAGTTCTATATAACTTCTACAGTAAAATGTTCCATACATATATTTGGGGAATATTGCACCCTTACCCTTCTTTCAGAAATGTATGATAATATTAGAATATTAAAGCCTCCAACAAGTCCTAGAAGAAGAAAAACATAACTACTTAACCCGATATTTCCCAAACTTATTTGACTACAGCTCTCTTTCTTTATGGAATACTTACTAAAATCTTGCAAAACTAGAGTCCATGTAACATACAGAAAATCTTATTGGCCAGGCATGGTGGCCCATGCCTGTAATTCCAGCGCTTTGGGAGGCTGAGATGGGAGTATGACTTGAGACCAGGAGTTCAAAACCAGCCTGGGCAACATAGCAAGATCCCATTTATAATTTTTTTTTTTTGAGCAGAGTTTTGCTCTTGATGCCCAGGCTGGAGGGCAATGGCATGATCTCGGATCACCGCAACCTCCGCCTGCCGGGTTCAAGCAAGTCTCCTGCCTCAGCCTCCCAAGTAGCTGAGATTACAGGCATGTGCCACCACACCTAGCTTATTATAAAAAAAATTTTTTTTTTAAATTAGTGAGGCATGGTGGTGTGCACCTGTAGCCCTGGCCACTCGGGAGGCTGAGGTGGGAAGATCGCATAAGCTGGGAGGCTGAGGCTCCAGGAAGCTATGATCACACCATTCACTTCAGCCTGGGCAATGGAGACAGAACCTTTCTCAAAAGAAAAAAAAAAGAATGCCCCGTTTCACACTGTATGGTCTATCGCATATAAGACAGCTATCTGTTTTGTCTTGTCATTTAAACTTTTTAAAAAAAATTAAATTTTATTTTGTTTTATTTTTTGAGATGGTGTCTCGCTCTGTTGCCCAGGCTGGAGTGCAGTGGCGTGACTTCGGCTCACTGCAACCTCCACCTCCTGGTGGCGATCCTCCCACCTCAGCCTTCCAAGTAGCTGGGACTACAAGGTGCATGCCACCACATCTGGCTGATATTTTTGCATTTTTCGTGGAGACAGGGTTTCACCATGTTGCCCAGGCTGGTCTCAAACTCCTGAGCTCAAGCGACCTGCCTGTCTCGGCCTCCCAAAGTGCTGGGATTACAGGCATGAGCCACTGCGCCCGGCCTAAACTTTTTAAATATATGCATTTACATAAAGTAGCCCACGCAGAAAAGTACTGATGTTCTTTCAAAACCATCAGGAACATGAGCTTTTATTTGAATGAACAGAAAAAAGAAACTGATTGCTATTCTTTGAAAAGAGGACTCTGTTGTATACATACCATAGCCCCCTGTTAACTACTCATTAAAAGTCTTTGAGATTTCTGCAGTAAAACAAGGTGATTACATCTTTGATAATCTAATGCTTCCTAAAATTATTTGATCAGGTAAGCTTTTCTTTGGTATAGAATATATATTTAAAAATCTCACACTCTTAGTGTTCCATGAAACACTCTTTGAGAAACATTGAATTAATTCATTTTTCAAATTTTCCAGTTATAGAAACTAAAGCCAGAGGAGAGAAGTGACAATCCCAAGGTCACCCAGTAAGTTATAGTTAGAGCCCCTCTACGCCAGGCTGCCTCGAAAGGAGAGGTCACTCAGACAGCAGTCACACTTACCTGTAACTGTGGGTTTATAATAAAAAATGGCAAGAATAACATAAATGTCCAGATATTCACCACTCAGCTTACAAACTACAGTTTTGCAAATATAGTCCAAGTCTTCTAAGTACCCCTCTCTGGTCCCATCTCACTTCCTTATAGAGGTAACCACTGTTTTAAAGCTGGTGTTTATCTTTTCTATGCATGTCTTTCTACATATACCACTGTGTTGATTTGCTAGGGATGCCTTAGCAAAGTACCATAAACTGTGGGGCCTAAGCAACAGAAAGTAGTTCTCTCATAGCTCTGGAGGCTGAAGTCCAAGACCAAGGTGTGAGCAGGCTGGTTCCTTTCCCTCTGTCTCCACATGGCCGGCCCTCTGTATGTGTCTCTCCTAATGGCTTCTTCTTCTAAGGATGCCAGTCCGATGGAATCTGGGCCCACCTTAATGACCTCATTTTAATTTAACAACCTCTTTGAAGGCCCTGTCTCCACATACAGTCACATTCTGAGAGTGCTGGGTTAGGGCTTCAACATATGAATTTTGGGGGGCACATTTATTTTGGCCTGTAACAACCTCCTACATGCTCTTTCTCCTACAGATAATTTTTTGGGAGATAATCAACAATGCTGCAATGAATATTCTCACACAAGGTTCGGTGTCACATTTGCTAACTAGAGCTGAGTGTATGTGCCTGGGAGTGAAATTGCTGGGTTATTCGGGTTGTTTATTGACTAGACCATCCTTTTCTCATTGATCCATAATGTTATATGTCAAGTTGCCAAAGACACATGGGAAATGTCTGGGCTTACCAGCCTGTGGGTCTGTTTGTCCCTCTGGACTAATTCACAAAGGAGAGCCCTCTGTTAGGGACTGAATTGTGTCCCTCCAGCTCCCAAATTCATGCTCTGAAGTCCTGATCCCCAGGACCTCAGAATGTGACCTAATTTGGAAATAGGGTTGTTTCAGATGTGATAAGTGGAGATGAGGTCATCTTGGAGTCGGGTGGGTGCCTCATCCAATATGCCTGGTGTCCTTACAGAAGGGGGAAATTTGGACACAGACATACACAGAAGGACACCGTGTGAAGATGAAGATGGCCACCTGTGAGCCAAGGAAAGAGCCCTGGAATGAAGCAACGCTGCCTACACCTTGCCTTCAGATTTCTAGCCTCCGGAGCTGTAGGGAAATAAATTCCTGCTGTTTAAGCCCTTCAGTTTGTGGTGCCTCGATACGGCAGCCCTGGGGAAATGGATACAGCCTCCATTCCACTTTCCCACTTCCGACCCTTCTTCCCCATCTCTCTTCACTGCTTGCAAAGCCAGAAATAGCACAGGATGGTGAGTCAGGACTGGCACTGCTCAAGAGCACTGCCAGCCACACCCCGGCCGCCTACCCCCACGATTAAGAGAAAGCACAGGGCAGTGCCATGGACTGGGACTCCGACCCCCACTCAACCAGCCACAATGGCCTGTGTGTCTTTAACAAGTTACCAGCCCTCTCTGGGCTTTAGTTTCCTTGGCTGTAAAATCAGGCTGCTGCTTGGGATTTTCAACTGTTCTGTTTATAACATAGCATTTTTAGGTCACCAGAAATAAAAATATTCTGCTTGCCTCCCACTTTCAGCAAACTTGGGTGGCAAAGATGACTTCAATTCTTCTAATTATCAGAGCCACAAATGGCTCTGTCTCATCCTCAAGATGAGTTTGGTTTTTATGTTTTAATCTGAGCTCTGCCCATTTTGCAGATAGTTATCTGTGAGGCTGTCTGTGTGTGTGTGTGTGTGTGTGTGTGTGTGTGTGTGTGTGTGTGTGTGTTGGATTGCTTGTAGTAGCTGCTTACTTGATTTCACAAGGATGCTGTCTGACCAGGGTCTCTCAGAATGACTGAGTCCAGGTGGACCTTGGCCAGATTTGAACCAGCACCCAAGATAAAGTATTTAATTCTTCTCTATCTCTAGACCAAGGGTGATGGAAATCATCAGACACCAAGCAGCTCATGCGTTCCAGAGGTTTCAGGACTGAACGTTGGTTCTGTGGTTCCCCGTTTGGCATCTGGCTTTCATTAGGCCATAAAAAACAGTTTACGGCCCTTCTGGTTGGAACAATAACTTTCACAGTATCCGTAGTGGCTGAGTGGTTATCAGAGGAAGAAAGACCACTAGCAGTCTGCGTCCTTGCTGTCTGTCATGGGCGGTGCCAGCCTACGTGTTAACCTATTCATCTCGCTTCAACCTTACACGGGTAGGTATTGGGACTGCCATTTTTAGATTTGGCTCAGACAGGCTTAGAGATTTTACCAAGGTCACATAGCCAGCAGAGCCTGGATTCAAATTTAGGCTTTCTAATTCCTCAACCAGCATCTTTTTTCTTTTTTTTTTCTTTTTGTTGAGACAGAGTTTCACTCTTGTTGCCCAGGCTGGAGGGCAATGATGCGATTTCAGCTCACTGCAACCTCCGCTTCCCGGGTTCAAGTGATTCTCCTACCTCAGCCTCCCGAGTAGCTGGGATTACAGGCATGTGCCACCACACCCAGCTGATTTTGTATTTTTTAGTAGAGATGGGGTTTCTCCATGTTGGCCAGGCTGGTCTCAAACTTCTGGCCTTCGGTGATCCGCCCACCTCAACCTCCCAAAGTGTTGGGATTACAGGCGTGAGCCACCGTGCCCAGCCAACCAGCATCTTTGTTTAAAAAAATCTTACCTAGACAATTTTGGTGAGAGTTTTACTTGTTAAAATTTTATTTGAGCTCCTATGCCTCTATAGACTAGATGCCTGGCACACAGTGGGGAGTAAAATACTTCTGTGTTTGAACTGTTCCACTATCTACTCTGGACAGGAACTGTGTTTATCAAGTGTTTGGCAAAGGGATAGTGTATATGGGCGCTTTGTACATATAGGTTCAATGTTAAAAGTAAACATGGGCACATTAGGATTTTAACAAGTTTATTTGAACATTAAGCTCAGCAATTCATGTATCAGGCAGCACCCGACTGCTAGCTGTTCAGGATTCCGTCGAGGCCACGCAAGGGGAAAACCTTTATAAGGTGTTTGCACAACGAAGACAAATAAAATATTTGATTAGTTAAAGTGAAAAGCCTGTAGTTAGAGATTCGCTGGCAGTTTGCGATTGGTTAAGCATAAGTTTCATTTTACTCTTTTCACTGAGTTGGGCTTTTCTTTGCTTAGGAACCTGAGGTGTTGGAGCTCTCTCAGCCTAATAGCCTCCCCACTAATTCTAATAAAAAGAGGACAAGCAGCTGCAGCCAGTACAGCAGCCTGCACCAGGATCTGGCTTCCTGTAGTTTCCTCCGAGTGGTTTCTGTTCTGCCTTCTGCAGGGGGTACCTTAGGTGGACACTGTGATGTGTCACCCAGACGCCCCTTCGCCAAAAAACTTGCTTCCCTGGCTCGTGGGAATGCTGTCTACAGACAAAGCTGTCAGCCCCTTCAGGATTTGCCTCAGCTGCAGAGAGCTGGTTGGCCCAAGGTCATGCCCTTTTGGGGTGGCCCACATCCAATGGGGAAGGTATAAGGGCTTGGTCAGCTGGGCTCACCAGCTGTGAGGGCCATTCTAGCTTCTGGGCTTTCTGTGGTCAGCGAGTCTGTCATTGGGCCTCACCTTCTCCTTTTGCCCAATCCTGCTTCCTTCCTCCCTCTTTTCCAGGGCAGGTGCAGATGGCACTCCTTAACAAACATCCTGCCTATAAACGACCTGTACCAGCTCCTCCCTCCCACTCCTTCCTCGAGACAGTCCTTCAGAGGCAGGAAAGGTGGCCCTGCACCCCTGAGCCTCCTCCCTCTGAGCCCCATGACCTTTGGCCTGGTGCTGACTTCTTGATGGGCCGTCATCTTGGGCACTTTCCTGAGTGCTTCTGAATCCCCATCCTGGAGGGTGGTGGGGATGGATGGCTGGTTTTCTGGGGCAATCCCCAAACCCTGGGCTTTTCTCATTGATTATGGTGACTATCACAGACAGCTTCCAGCATAGAGGGAAGCATTGCTTGCTGCTTCCACAGGAACTAATTTAGTCAGAAACCCTAACCGCGGCAGGCAGTACATGGGTGCATTTCATATTTTGCTTTCCAGATCTTTCCTGCACCCGGAGGGCATTGAGCTTATCAGGCAACAGTGAAAACCAGTAACTGCTTAAATGCGGTTGCTGAGGCTTCGAAAAGTGGTGTCAGTCTGCCTTTGCAGAGGTCCCTCTGCTGAGGAGGATCTGCTATGAGAAAAGGTCATGATAATCCCTTTGCTCAGCATGTGAGAGTTTCTTTATTATTATTTAAACGAAAGCCTGAGGAGTAGAACCTTGGTTAATCAAATTCTTTCAACGTATCGCAGCACAGCCCTGCCCTTCATAGGCCATCTCCCTTCTCTTGGTGGCAAATAGTAGAAATAAACTTGACCTAGTTTAACGACAATAACAAAATCCAGAAGGAAGAATGTATTTTAAGGTATTTCACCAAACCCAAGGTCAGAAATGCTCCCAGGACCCAGAAAGGATCAGACACATGATCTGGGATATCTGTCCCTGAATTCTGCATCTGTGTATTCGTGCGTGCGTGTGTGTGCACTTGTGTGAATGTATGTGCGCATGCGTGTGTGTCTTTCCCTGGATCAAGTGCCTGGATCAAGTGGCCAATGGCCAATTCTGCATTCCAAGCTTTATATATAAACATTTTAACCACATCAAGATACTAACTAAACTCTCTCTTGGACTCAATCCCAAATTCCTAGGAGATACAAGTTCATTGGCGGGTTTTGGTCACATATTAACTTTCCATGCTGTTAGGCAGGGGCACCAGGGAGGACCATGCAATCCAAACCTGCAGCCAGGGACCCACCCCTGTGGCTGTGACCAATGGCCCCAAGATGGGCACTCCCAGACAGCCCTGCAGATTTGAGCCAGGCAGCTTGCTTTGCTGTCTGGCCTAGAGAGTGATGATTCAGCTGAAGACTAAAATAATTACCTGCGTGTGAGGCAAGCAAGAGCCTGCACTGACGTCAGCAACACATTCCTGAGCTCACCTTGTCACAGAACCCTGTGCAGCCCGATTCCGCCACGGGGCATCCACCCCAATGGGGGACTAACGAGAACGGTGATGAGCTCGTCTGTGTTTAATAAGAAAGGCTACCACGTGTTGAATGACTTCTAACGTACCAGGTGTTATACATACAGCACCTCTCAGCTTCGCAAGGAATCTGTCAAGAGATAGCATTACGTGCCCCTCTTACAGATCAGGAAAACTGATGCTCAAAGAGGTTAATGAAGTCATCCAAACTCACATTTTAGAATGAAGTGGGTGGAATTTAGAATTTGATTATAAATCAGGTTAGTTCTAAAGCTGGTAAGTCTTCCGAGAATGATGATGTGTCACCTTCTAAATAACGACTAGATCACACAAGTGAAACTTTAATAATGTGTAAATTGTATGATTGAGGAATGCTGGGAGAGGTTACATGATGCAAAAACCACTCACTGAAACGTGAAGCCCTCTGTCAGTCACCGGCAGCCCAGCCTTCAGTGGAGACTAATTCCCAGTAATCACGGAATGGGGAGACTTCACTGAATTTGCTCAGTCTTCCCTTTTTGTGCTTCTTAATTGCTTTGAGAATCATCTAGATGCTTGTGTGGCCTTGGTCCAGGCCTATGGTGCAAACCAAGTGACATGGGGCAGGAGTAGGGGCTGATACTCTGCTTTCAGGGTCTCTGATCGAGGTGAGGAAAGCAGGCCCAGCTGGTGGCCAAGTGTATACCATTCGAGGGGGGGGTGTAGGTGTGTGGTGAAAAGAGCACTGAACTCTGGGTCCACATGCCTGACTTCTCACTCCAGCACCAGCTCTTGACGATGGTGGGACTCAGGCTGACCCACTTACCAACCCTGACCTCCAGCTTCCTCATCTCCAAGATGGCCTTATTTTTATTTATTTATTTTTTTTGAGACGGAGTTTCGCTCTTGTTGCCCAGGCTAGAGTGCAATAGTGCCATCTCGGCTCACTGCAACCTCCGCCTCCGGGGTTCAAGTGATTCTCCTGCCTCAGCCTCCCGAGTAGCTGGCATAATAGGCGCCTGCCACTACGCCCGCCTAATTTTTGTATTTTTAGTAGAGACAGGGTTTTGCCATGTTGGCCAGGCTGGTCTCGAACTCCCGACCTCAGGCGATCCATCCGCCTCGGCCTCCCAAAGTGCTGGGATTACAGGTGTGAGCCACCACGCCTGGCCCAAGATGGCTTTATTAACCTGCCTTGCCTCCCTCTCTGCACTGTACTGACACGGGTTATTAGTCTGTAATAGCAATAGTTACCATGTAATCATCATGGTTCAAATTGACTCCCACTCACCACAAGCTAAGCACTTCACATTTCCTTTCCTCATAACCCTAACGAGTTGATCCTATGATTAGCCCCATTTTACAGATGAGGCAACAGAGCCTGAAGGGTGAAATAACATGCCCCAGACCGAGTGTGCCTGGACCCACAGTCCGAACAGAGCACTGCCTCACTGGCCCTGAGAGTGTCTGTCATCTGGAAGGTTTTGCTATTATTGTCATGCATGGTCCTAATCCAGGCAGCCCAGGATGTGAGCTAGGCAGGGTAACTGGTGTGGGGAACAGATCCCTGGAGCCCTGCCGCCTCTACCTTCCCGGTATCACCAAGGAAACCACAGCGCCTTTGTTGTTGCCATGGCAACCATCTAAACTCTCTCTTTCCCTTGGTTTCACCATGGAGACAGCCAACGGGAAAGAAGTTCCTGAGTGGGAGGCAGTACAGCAGGGAGAGGTGAGAACGCGCCTCCAGGAACCAGGACTGGAAATTCCCACTCTGCTGAGGAATGCAGAGGCATTCCTGGAGCTGCACAGAAGTACATTGTCGAAGCCGGGATGTCCCTGGGGAAACATAGGTTGAAAGAATTGTTTTCTGAATTTATTTCTAGAGGTTGCCTTTCCTGTAGTCAGCCATTGTCCAAACCAAAGGAAATTCCCAAATTTTCATATCTCACAGATGCTGAAATTCTACTCGGCCAGGTCTTTTCCCTGTCTAATTTTGCTTCCAACTTGCTGGATGACATTGGGTAACTCAAGTACATCTCCCCAAGCAAGTGTCAGATGAATCTGACAAGTTACACCAATGGCATTCAGGCCTCCAGACTTCTAGGCCAGGATAAGTTCTTTAAGAAAACACAAGGTTCCAACCCAGGGTTGCCACACTTTTTAAATTTCTATTTTTTTAAGACAGAGTCTTGCTCTGTCACCCAGGCTGGAGTGCAGTGGCACATTCTTGGCTCACTGCAGCCTCCGCCTCTGAGGTTCAAGCCATCCTCTCACCTCAGCCTCCTGAGGAGCTGGGACTATAGGCACATGCCACTATGCCCAACTAATTTTTGTATTTTTTGTAGAGACAGGGATTCACAGACTGTTGCCCAGGCTGGTCTCGAACTCCTGAGCTCAAGCCATCTGCCTGCCTCAACCTCCCAAAATGCTGGGATTACAGGCATGAGCTGCAACACCCGGCCACCACACTTTTACTTGGGGAGATCAGGATGTCAGAATTGAAAACTGCATTTAATCTACAGAGGCAGGGCGATGTGACAGTTAAGAGCGGGCACAAGGAAATCAGACCTGCCGAGTTCAGGTCCCAACTCTGTGACATGCTGCTGTGTGACTTGTACCAGTTTGATCTCCCCTAGCCTTAGTTTATTCAGAAGAAAAAGTGGGTTAATAATTAGGCCAGGCGCAGTGGCTCATGCCTGTAATCCCAGCACTTTGGGAGGCTGAGGTGGGCAGATCACGAGGTCAGGAGTTCGAGACCAGCCTGGCCAACATGGCGAAACCCTGTCTCTACCAAAAAATACAAAAATTAGCTGGGTGTGCTGGTGGGTTCCTGTAATCCCAGCTACACAGGAGGCTGAGGCAGGAGAATCACTTAAACCCGAGAGGCGGAGGCTGCAGTGAGCCAAGATCACGCCACTGCACTCCAGCCTGGGTGACAGAGCAAGACTCCATTCCAGAAAATAAATAAATAAATAAATAAACAAATTAGCCGGGCATGGTGGTGTGTGCCTGTAGTCCCAGCTACTTGGGAGGCTGAGGCAGGAGAATCACTTGAACCCAGGAGGCGGAGGTTGCAGTGAGCCAAGATCCCGCAACTGCACTTCAGCCTGGGTGACAGAGACTCTGTCTCAAAAAAAACCAAAATTGTGTCTTTCTCTTAAGGTTCTTATGGTGATTGAGATACACTGTGCAAGGCTTTTTAACACAATGCCCAGAACATGGCAACACTCAATAAATACTAGCAAATATCACCACCATTATTTCCATCATTTCACTGAAGACATTTTAACAACAGAAAAATATATATCTTGGCCAAAATGATAGTTTAAATTGCATGCATTGAGCTTTTGGAAGTGTCACTCATTGATTCTCTGTTTCTTCAGGGTGGACCTAAGAATCCCTGGATTCAGTGATCTTGGGATTCTTTCTGCTCTAAGACGCAACGCTTTTGGGGTTGTTAACAGCCTTGATTAGCAAAGGAATGTTCATGGCCCATGGCTAAAGATAAGTGATAAATCAGGTGCCCTTAGTGGCCATCCTGAACTTGGATTAGACTCCGACTCTGCACAGAGACCTTTCATGCAGGGCTGGACTATTTCAGGAAATCAGAACCACAGATATGTAATCCTTCCCTACTCTCCTCCTTGTCTCTGTTGGTGACGTCAGGCTTCAGCTACACTAGCCGTTAACTGAGGTCCGAGGGTCCTGGCCTGGGATCCGGAGCCCCTAACTGCCTGTTCTGCCTTCCTGCAAAAGCTGGTTGTTTGGGCCAGTTGGTTTTTGGTTTCTGTGCGGCCACTCCCACCCCCACCCCAGCTCCCTGACCACGGGCTGCGGAAGAGTGGGACGTTATGGAACCTTCTCAGCTTATTCAGAGAGGCTTCTTCTTCCTATTTAGTCTCCCTCTGGCTTTCCCTGCTGGGATCTGGGTGGTAGAAGCAGCAGGGGGATCAACGAACAGGCTGAGCGCCAAGAAGCCTGAAGATTCCAGAATCTAGCGGGAAAAGCATTCAGAGTCAGAATGAGTAAGCAACTTCATCTCCTGGCCTTTACTTTTCTGTAAAACAGAGGCAATTCTATCTCCCTCATGGATGTGATAAAATAATACTTTGACTAGTAATAATAATATTCATTCAGGAGTGGATCTGGGTGTTGTGGGGCCTGAAGCTTATTCAGTGTGGAGGGTCCTTTTTAAGAAAGAAGAATACAAATTTACAAACACATCAAATATAAAAGGGGATATTTACTTAGGAGAAAAAAATCACAACAAATTACAATTAAAAAGAAAAACTGGGCCAGGCACAGTGGCTCATGCCTATAATCCCAACACTTCAGGAGGTGGAGACGGGCAGATCACTTGAGTCCAGGAATTCCAGACCAGCCTGGGCAACGTGGTGAAACTCCACCTCTATAAAAAATGCAAAAATTAGCCAGGCGTGGTAGCACACGCCTGTAGTCCCAGCTACTCAGGAGGCTGAGGTGCGAGGATCACCTGAGCTTGAGAGGTTGAGGCTGCAGTGAGCTGTGATCACGCCACTGTGCTCCAGCCTGAGTAACAGAGTGAGATCCTGTCTCAAGAAAAAAGAAAAAAGAAAAACTGAACAAATACTACAAATATCACAAAATCTAGAAAAATAATGTACTACATTTTATTAATTGTCTTCTATGCTTCTAATACCTTTTTCCTACATTTTTTGGCTGCATGCATTTTAGTAGCTTCTTCCTATGGCAATGGTTTTGTGGTAGTATTTTCTGTTTCTATAAAGAGATTATAAAGTTAATTCAGTCTTTTCCTTAGCACAGTTGGTCAAAATTTGTTTTTTATTATTGATGGCTTCAACTAGGTATCAATGACAAGCAAATTCTCTGCTTGCAATTGCCATTACATATTCATGATTGGAAGCATTTCCTTCAACCTTGCCCTGCCTTGCTTCATCCCCACAAACCCATCCTTTTACAGCCAGAATGCATTTGTTTCAGTGTGACTTTGAGCACTGCACTTTCTGTCATGATGCCTGGTGAGTGGGCACCACAGGCCTCAGGAGGATTTCTAGAAACCACTCTTCCACCAGGATGGCTAGCAACAAGCTGATGAAAGTGATTTTGAAATGCATCAGTATATCCCATTTACCCAAATAAATGAATCTCCAGGCCAGGCCTACTCCTAACAAATGCATAGCCCAGGACGAGACTAGAAAGGAGGTCCCCTTTTCATATGTTTAAAATAAATTCCTGAAAGTCATCAATCACGCTAACAAACCGTTAAATACACTGTGTCCCATCCTTCTACCCTGACAATTTGAAAGGCCAGATTCAAATTTAGAATTCTCAGAATCCTGGGTTCCATCGGGAATGTGTTGTGTGGGGAAAGCTGGCCCTGCCCCCTGGCTGGCTGCCGGTTCTCCTTCTCCAGGAGGAAGCACTTTGCAGCCTGAGGGCTGTGGCACGTGTGTGGATAGCCCAGGCTCATGGCTAAGATCGACCATTCCCGTGTACACAGCATTTTGGCAGCCCCTCAGGCCTGGGGTTGCACACCAGTGTGAGCCGGCCTTTGGGAGGACGTGGGCAGCGGTCCTGACGGGCCCTGGTAGCATGACTGATGTTGGCAAGGGTCTCTGGGCCTGGAGTATCAATCCAGGTCTTCTGATAAGCAGATCCAGGAATGGAATTGGGGATGCAAGAGGGTTCCTGAGGAGAGACATTTTTGAAAGATAAAAAGTGACAGAGGAGGGTTGGTTGGGGAAGGCTTCAGATCACAATGCTGATCTGAAATGTGTCGAGGGCAAAAATGGGCAGGGAGAGCCCCACACTGTCCTGGAGATCATTTACAATGTGGTCAACCCGATGGGCAGTTCTGGTGCAGACTGCCCATCAGAGGGGTCCTGCTTTGGGCATAGAAAGCTCCCAGCATGCTCACTGCTGGCCGGGCCGCCCAGGAGGGGCTGTAGTGAATTGTGAAGGGGCTTCAGCTGGATGCTGCCAGCTAACTACTCTCCTTGCCGCTGACCAGCAAGTTCCTTCTGGAAGGGAGATCTGAGCCACACTCCTCCCTGACTGCCACGGTGCACAATAGCCAGATTGGCTTTAGTAAGTGGGAGTTCATGCTGCTGGGCCCATATGTCATCTCTGCTTCTGCCAGTTCATAGCTCATGGCATATGCTAGCTGACATCCGTGGCTGAGCTATTTTGCCTACTTGGCTATTTCGTGCCCCTTTCGTGACTAACGCTTTCAGGTAGTTGATATATAATGCAAAGATCACCATTCTTTATGTCAATTTCCATATATCCATGAACTGCCTCTCCCCCAGACCTCCTGGTCTCTGATCATTCATTCTTCTAGGCTGGCCCCTGACCAGTCTGCCAAGTCAGGTGATAAGGTGAACTCTTGCCACTGCCATGAGTTCAGATTTTTTTCACCTTTGGCAAAGATTCCTTCCACACAAAGTGCATGACCAGGGACAATGCTGGAATCCCCCTGATCAGAAGGGTTTCCCCTGGCCACTGTCTTTAGCACTCTGTCCCTGAGTGTCGCTGTAAGGCAGCTGCTCTCCAGTTTCTGCTTGTTTCCGCACACAGCACCCAGCCAAACCATCTGCAAATTAAATTCAGGCCCTTTCTCCACTCTCAGCCGGGTATAGAAGGCACCCCCGCCCACTCCCACCGACGGGATGGCCATGGGGGTGTGCTGAGGGAGGGGTGATGGTGCAGCTGTGGCAGATGACATGGGGTCTGGGACACCTGCTCATACAACTTCCTTGTGCTCCCTCACCCCCAGCTCAGGCTTCATCCCAGGTGAACCTTTTCCATCACTCTGTGAGAGCCCAGATCATGCTGGGTATTTCTAGATGCATTCACTTAGATCCCCTGGGCAACTCTCCCATTCCCATCAGGGCTCAATAACACACCGAGAGCTGCTTTTCGAAAAGCATGTATTCTCTGCTGCAGATGGCATGGCCTTGCTCCGGGCCCCCAGGAGCCTGTGTTGTGATGCTCCCATGGCGGCTTGTCATTAGCTCTACACTGCATCCTCCTCCACCATTGACACCTCCAGCACCGCAGGGACTGCTGGATCAAATGGCCCAAGCGGCAGGGCTGCCTGCACCACAGCCTGAACCTGCTGCAGGCCCCACTCTGCTCTTGGCCACTCAGAGCTGGCAGCCTTCCATGTCACTTACCAGATGGTCTGGAATAGCCTTCGTTAAGTGTGGAGTGTATTGCCTCTAGAACCCAAGAGGCGTATCAGGCATCGTGCCTCCTTCTTTGCAATAGGGGTTATAAAATGCAGCAATTTGTCTTTTACTTTGGAGAGGATGCCCTGGCATGCCCCTGATCACTTCATCCCTAAAAACTTTATTGATATGCCAGTCTCTGAATCTTCATAGAGTTTCTTCCCCACCCTCAAGAGCACATGTACTTTACCAAGTCCTCTACAGGCCAGCTACTTCTTTCTCATCCTGCCAAATTAGAAAGATGTCATCAATTTCATGGATCAATATGATGCTCTGTGGGATGCCCAAACAATCCAGATCTCTCTAGACTATGTTAAGACAGAAAGCAAGTGAGTGAGTCAAAGAGCCCTGGGGCAAAACTGTAAATATGTGTTGTCTGTTCCATGTGAATGCAGAATATTTCTGATTCTCTTTTCTGATCAGGATAAAAAAGAATGCACTCATTAAATCAATGGCCGTAGTAATCTGCTCTGGCAAAGATACTACATTGGTCGTGGTAACTGGGGCTATTACTATTTGGGTTTGTGGTGGTCCACAGTTCTCCGGGTTCCCTCTGGTTCCTGCAGGGGCCAGTTTGGTCAACTAAATAGAAATACGGGGGAGACCTCCAGCCATGCCTCCTTGAGTTCCATAAGGGTGGCATTAATCTCTAGCAGCCCCCAGGATGCGATATTGTTTGTATTTTCCTCTCTTGGCTGAGGTTCAGGGTGGGAGTAGTATCAAGAGTTTTCACTTGGCTTTCCCCAGTATGACAGCTTTTACTCTACAGGCCAAAAACCCAATGTGCGAGTTTTTCCAATGCCAATTATACGTTCAGGGACTGAGAAAATGACCTTAGGATGGATCCACGGAGCCAGTGGACCCACTCTCAGCTGGACTTCAGCCAGCACTCGCTTTCTTCCCTGGCTTTTTGCACGGCCCTACTCTAAGAGATGGGCTAGGAGGAGTCTTCGGATCTCTGGATGTCAATGTCAATTCAGATCTTCAGATAGTCCTTCAAATAGCTGAGCAACCCTCTTTCCCCAGCAAAAAGTCACTCTAGTAAATGGTCATAGGTCCTGTTGTTTATCTGAAATCTCTACTTTAAAAACTGTCATGTCACAGGATTCTTTCTCCTGGGTACCCAGCCACCTCTTCAGTCAATAGTTCTCCGTTCTGGAAACCGACTCCAGTCAGGGGCTGTGTCTCATGCCTGTAATCCCAGCTACTCGGCAGGCTGAGTTGGGAGACTCGTTTGAGCCCAGGAGATCGAAACCAACCTGGGCAATGTAGTGAGAGCCCGTCTCAAAAAAAACAAATAAATAAAATGACATTGAGTAAACTAAAAAGTCATATTTTTCAAAAAGCTAACTCCAGTCCAGTTTATATATACACACGTAAATACACACACACACACACACACACACACAGCAGTCCACGTATGGGCCGCCCCTCACTAGCATTGCTGTATTCTGTCAACATCTCCTTCACTCTGGAAGTCAAGCCCTGTTGGCTGCCACTCCAGCCTTGCCAGTTGTTACAATGGGTGTGACCTTCTGGCTCCCGGCGATTAAGCACTTACCATGTGCCTCTCCTGCTTCAGGGCACCACGCCAGCCTATAAGCAGCCGCAGGGGTTGAGCCCTGCAGAGCCCCAGAGGCAGAGCTGCCCAAGGCTTTGGGAGCCCACCTCTTGCATCACTGTGCCCTGGATGTGAGACGTGGAATCAAGGAGATTATTTTGGAGCTTTAAGACGTAATGGCACCCTGCTGGGTTTCAGACTTGAGTGGAGCCTGCAGCCTTTCTTTCGGCCGGTTTCTCCCTTTTGGAACGGGAGTATTTACCCAATGCCTGTACCCCCATGGTACGTTGGAAGTAACTAATTGTTTTTGATTTTACAGGTTCATAGGTGGAAGGGACTAACTAGCCTTGTCTCAGATGAGACTTTGGACTGTGGACTTTTGAGCTAATGCTGGAATGAGTTAAGACTTTGGGGAAGGAACAGTTGAGAAGGCATGATTGGATTTTGCAATGTGAGAAGGACATGAGATTTGGGAGCGGCCGGGGTGGAATGATACCGTTTGGATCTGTATGGATCTGTGTCTCCATCCACATCTCATGTCAAACTGTAATCCTCAATGTTGGCGGAGGAGCCTGGTGGGAGGCGATTGGATCATGGGGGCAGGTTCTCATGAATGCGTTAGCACCGTCTCCCCAGTGCGGCTCTCATGATAGAGTTCTCACAAGATCTGGTTGTCTAAAAGTGTGTAGCACCTCCTCCCCCTCTCTCTCTCTTCCTCCTGCTCTGGCATGTAAGACGTGCCCGTGTCCCCTTCCTCCACCACAAGATTGTAAGTTTTCTGGAGCCTCCCCAGAAGCTGAGAAGAAGCTGCTATGCTTCCTGTTCAGCCTGCAGAACCGTGAGCCAATTAAACCTCTTTTCTTTATAAATTACCCAGTCTCAGGTAGTTCTTTATAGAAGTATGAGAATGAACTAATAAACCTGGTCTTAAGCCCCACCCTGATCAACACCCTCCCTGCCTGGACCCCCCTTAGCGCCCACTGGTCTATGGCAGTCCACTCTTGCAGCACCTTTGGGGGCTCTTGCTTTCCTCCCTTATCAAGCCTAGCCTGTCCCCAGCTGGGTTATGCTGCCATTTAATCCTACTTATTGGCTTTGCAGCCAGGAAAGGAGATGGGGGCAGATCCTGAGGGGGGCCCTGCTATCGTGTAGGGGAGAGACCTCTACAGGGTGGGGAAAGGGCTGACTCTTGAGAGAAGTGGCAATCCCTGCCAGCACTGAGGGCTCAGAGGGGTCTTGGGAACCAAAGTCATCAGGGGCATCCGCCACCTGGGTCTTCCCATCAGAGCAATTTCCCAAGTCAGCATCACTGAAAGCATAGCAATTGGGTTGCTGTGTCATCCTAGGCACCCCTCTGTGCCTCCCAGACCACCTGGGATGGAGCCCTCATGCTAGCTGATCAAGGTGCCACGCCCTCTCTTTATTGTTTTCTCAGGCCACTTCCAGCATCGATGGTGTCAGGTCAGGTCCTCTGGGTAGAAGAAATGGAGTCAGTTAGGAGTGCTGGAGACTGAGTAAGAGGTAAGCCTTGTTAACGTGATAGGAGGATGAAGCAGGATTGGGCAGAAAAAGACTTCATATCCCAATGCCAATCTGAACCTGTGAAAGGAACTAGAGAAGGAGCAGAGTAAGCAGGTAGAGGCTCAGAGTGAGATGCCATCTGATGAAACCTGGTCCAACCCAATAGGGAGCTATAGTGAAAGACTGCCCATGAGAAGGCTCTCCCACTGGCAGAGCTGGCCAGCCACTAGGATTCCTGCTGTGGTCCCTCTTTAGCTGAAGGCTGCCTGGTGGAAGTGTGGCCTTGACTCAGACAGTGTGGCAGATCCTGATGCTGTTCTAGCTGGAGGTCTCAGCTAACTGCAGCCCTTGCTGCTGACAGCATGCTCTTCTTTTTTTTTTTCCTGTGGTTTTTTTTTTTTTTTTTTTTTTTTTTTTTGAGACAGAGTCTCTCTCTGTTGCCAGGCTGGAGTGCAGTGGCGCAATCTCGACTCACTGCAACCTCTGCCTCCCGGCTTCAAGTGATTCTCCTGCCTCAGCCTCCCAAGTAGCTGGGACTGCAGGTGTGCACCACCAGGCCCAGGTAATTTTTGTATTTTTAGTAGAGATGGGGTTTCACCATGTTGGCCAGGCTGGTCTCGATCTCTTGACCTTATGATCTGCCCACCTCAGCCTCCCAGAGTGCTGGGATTACAGGCGTGAGACACTGCACCCAGTCCCTCATGCTCTTCTTCAAGGAAGCTCTGAGAGGCAGATTCCCATGGCTGCCGCACCTGAGGAGTAGCCTGGAAGAGGGTGAAGCTCCCTTTGGCCCTGTAGACTCCTTGCCCTTAGGGTAGAAATGCAGCTAGAGAAGGACAAGAGAGGAGCTTCTGAAAGTAGAGGGTGTGCACTGCCCTAGTCCAGGCTGAGGATGTTACTGTGTAGACCCAGTTCGACTTCCCTTCGGCTAAAGCCCCAAAGAGCCGCATCACCACCCAATACAAGCAGATGTGTGGTGGAAACGAAGTCTGAGTGGGAGATGTGGGCTTCAGGAATTGTTAAAATATTATATCTTGATTTTTGCATATTTTTTAAAAACATGCTGCGCCGGGCACGGTGGCTCACGCCTGTAATCCCAGTACTTTGGGAGGCCCAGGCGGGCGGATCACGAGGTCAGGAGATCGAGACCATCCTAGCTAACACGGTGAAACCCTGTCTCTACTAAAAATACAAAAAATTAGCCGGGCGTGGTGGTGGGTGCCTGTAGTCCCAGCTACTCAGGAGGCTGAGGCAGGAGAATGGCATGAACCCGGGAGGCAGAGCTTGCAGTGAGCCGAGATTGTGCCACTCCACTCCAGCCTGGGAAACAGAGTGAGACTCTGTCTCAAAAAAAAAAAAAAAAAAAAAAAACCCAAAACAACAATAACAACAAAAAAAACCATGTTAATCTATTGCTTGAGTCCTCCCAAGGTTGGGGAAGCAGCTCTTCCAAGGGAGGCCTGAAATTTAAGCTGCATTATCTTCGTGATGATTCCATTTCTGCATTAACTATTGCTATGGTTTTCATATTGGGTAGTTCCTGTAATTTGAGATCCTTCTTTTTCAGGTGGCAGCTGAGGCTTACTACCCCAGGAAAGGGATGCCACCAGAGAAGGCAGACAACCAAGATGGCGACTCTCAATTTTTGAGCTCCTAATTTTCTCATGTCAGACATAAGAAAAAAAAATATTTTTTAAAGAAAAAGCTTTAGGTTGCAAAAATCTAGGCCTTTCAACTTTAAAATCCTATTCTTGCAAGCCTTGGAGAATAAAGCTTATGCATAAACAGTAGATTTGGAAACAGAAATATGCCTAATTACCCAGAGCCATTCTTTCAATACGCCAGTGATTGTTTAAAGATTCTATAGGCTGGAGTCAATGGCAGGAGGCGGGTGGGAAAAGAGTCAAGAGGGAGGAGAGAAGAAGCAAGAGGGTTGGGTAGATATTGTCACATGACCCTGAGAGGAGGATTCTGGGTCAAACCCCTAGGGGGTTGTGTGTAATGGAGACTCCAGATCCATTTGGGAATCTGGCTCCAAAGAAGACTTCACCTTGCCTTCTGAGTGGAGCCCTGAAGTGGCAAGACTCATAGAATTCCCCCACGGGTCCACACAAGAGAGAATGAATAGAGAAGGCTGCGTGCTGGCTGGACCAAGGCAGCCTCGGGTGACACCACCACCACCACCGCCGCTGCCGCCATCGCCATCACCACTGCCGCTGCCATCACCGCCACCACCACCACCATCACCACCACCATCACCACATTATGGACAATAGCCCAATGTTTCCTGAGTTCCCTAGAGGGTTGAAAGAGAATAGGACCTAGAGAGATCACATAGTTGGGACAGGCACTCATTAATTTGATCCAATGACAAGAGACCAGATGGGAAGAAGGATGCCTTGAGAGATGTCAGTGTGCACCCATGGATAGAAGCAGCTGGTGACTGGGTACTTGGGAAGCCACATGGACACACACAAAGCTCCTGGAAGACGTTTTCAAGGAGTTGGGCTGTGCTGGGATCCAGAACTGGCTGAAGAAACCATGAGCTGACATAAAATTTCTGCCACCTAGCAGAATGGAGGCTCCATTTGGAAATTAAATTATATACTTAAAAAAACTATAATTGCTTCATTTCTTTTTTTTGAGATGGAGTTTCACTCTTGTTGCCCAGGCTGTAGTGCAATGGCACCATCTCAGCTCACTGCAAACTCCGCTCCCGGGTTCAAGAGGTGATCCTGCCTCAGCCTCCCGAGTAGCTAGGATTACAGGTGTGCGGCCACCATGCCCCGCTAATTTTGTATTTTCAGTAGAGACGGGGTTTTACCATGTTGGTCAAGCTGGTCTCAAACTCCTGACCTCAAATGATCCACCCACTTTGGCCTCCCAAAGTGCCAGGATTACAGGCATGAGCCACTGCGTGAAGCCAAATGCTTCATTTCTTTTTTTCTTTTTTTTTGTTGAGAGGGAGTCTCACTCTGCCGCCCAGGCTGGAGTGCAGTGCCGCAATCTCGGCTCACTGCAAGCTCCCGCGTTCACGCCATTCTCCTGCCTCAGCCTCCCGAGTAGCTGGGACTACGGGCGCCCGCCACCACGCCTAGCTAATTTTGTTTTGTACTTTTAGTAGAGCCGGGGTTTCACCGTGTTAGCCAGGACGGTCTCGATCTCCTGACCTCGTGATCCGCCCGCCTGGGCCTCCCAAAGTGCTGGGATTACAGGCGTGAGCCACCGCGCCCGGCCTGCTTCATTCCTTATACATCTGAGTTGGCCATCTGAGATTTTGTTTCTACTACACAGCACTACGGCAAGGATTACGCGAAACCACCTAGTCCCTAGTATGGTTCCTGCCATGTAATCAGGACACAGCAGATCGCAGCTGGGTATTTTCCATTTTCCTCCGGATCTGCTCTGCACCCTTCTCCACTGGCCCTCAGCTGTGGGAAGCTGACCTCATGGACTGCAGGCAATGCGCGTAATTGCCCTATGGGAGGCACCAACAGGAAATGGGAGGGGCTGGGAGGGAAGAGCTATGAGGTATTCACTCTGTGGGTCTGGCAATGGCTGTGTTTCTCTCAGCTCCTGCCTGGTGGCCCCCTCCTACCGGCAAATCTCTCACTGAGGTTCTGCCCGCTCTCTCTGCTCCTCCAGGCGTCGGGGTGGCAGGGCATTCCTGCTCTTGCTGGCCTCAGATGCTTCCCTTCTTGTGTACCCTTAACCTGTGCCCACTTCTGTAAATAGTCCCTTCATTACACTCTTAGGAACTACCTCTTTGGAGAATGCCACTGTTTCCTGCGGGGACCCTAGATGATACAACTGTTATTAGTATTACCTTTAGTTTGAGATCACATCTGATTCTCTGTGTGATCCTGTGGAGTCGGTGACCCTTTCTGAGCCTCAGTTTCTTCATTTCTTAAATGTGAATCCAATACCCCCAGCTTTCGCTTTCCTACTTCAGAGGGATATTGTGGGAATTAAACGAGTCAATACAGGTGACAATACTCTGGGAAAAAAATACAATTGTGACCCTATTATTAGAATTATTAAAAGTAACAATAGTAGTAAGATTGTTCCTGCCCAGAGATCTCTTCTGATCCCCCTCTCTTCACTCCAGCACAATAGCAGTGACTCAGTCTTTGGTCCTTGGCAAAGCCACTGTCCTTTTCTGCAAAGTCTTATGCTGCGGAAAGATGAAACTTTGTGATCAGATACAGCACACAATTCTCAGAGCTGCTGCCACCATTTGACAAATGCCACGGGGTTCTAGGCTGTGCTGCAGCCCCTCAGAGCAGACCCAGGCCTGCCCTTGCAACCTCTGGGCTCTGTTTGCTGCTCACAGAAGACTGCTGAGAACCAGCCTGTGGCCCTGGCTGAAGCCACTGAGCATCCAGGATCCCTCCCACCTGAGTAGCAGGTGGATAAGGCCTAGCTTAGTGAGAGCTGGTGTGGACTCAGGTTGCTCCAAGCTCCTGGCAGGAAGAAAATTGCTAGTGGGGCATGCATGGCCGGTGAGCTGGGATAGCCCCAGAGCGGAGAGCGAGGACAGCAGCCCTGCTGGGGGCAGTTTCACTTTGCTGTGCCTATTTTAAAACAAGAGCATGTCCCTTGAGAGCTTCTCCTGCCTCTCCTTCCAGCCACTTAATCCATCCGGTGTTTCCACGATCTCCTCTTCCCAATCCAACCCGCCACCAGGCCTGTCAAGGGACACCTGGAGTAGCAAATCTCATTGGTGGCCTCTGCGTGATCAAGATCTTGCCCGGTGTGGTGGCTCACACCTGTAATCCCAGCACCCTGGGAGGCCAAGGCGGGCAGATCACCTGAGGTCAGGAGTTCAAGACCAGCCTGGCTAACATGGTGAAACCTCGTTTCTACTAAAAATACAAAAATTAGCTGGGCGTGGTGGCATGTGCCTGTAATCCCAGCTACTTGGCAGGAGAATTGTTTGAACCTGGAAGCTGGGGGTTGCAGTGAGCGGAGATTGTGCCACTGCACTCCAGGCCTGGGCAACAGAGCGAGACTGTCTCCAAAAAAAAAAAAAGTTAAAAAAGAGATATGTGGGCCCCCAGTTGTTTAAAATCAGGAGTCAGTACCCCTGGAGCTGCAGAAAGAACTCTCCTGAATCAGTTTAGGACTATGTTCTGTCGCATGATGCAGAACGGTGCCTACAGTGGGTTCTTTGAACAGCTTTCTCTTTTCTTATTTCTTGCCCCACTTTCTGCTTGTAAAAAGGCCTAGAGGTAAGCAGCCCTGGACTGTTGCAGCTACTCAAGAAGGTGTGGCCTTTGCTTCCTGGCACTCAGATGGCAGCTGACCTCTAGGTATGCATCATTCACATCTGAGACAGGAAAGAGAGGGAAGGACCAAGGGTGAGGGGCTAAATGAAACAGCCAGTGAGGTCCACTCCCTTTCAAAAGCTGACCTGAAGCCTCAACCCAGGACATCACTAGCACATCTGGGTCACATGGGCTTCTACGGTCTGGCCTGGGAATCTAGACCCTCATTAACTGCATGGTACCCATTGGGAAGTCTGTTCTAATCCCACACTCAGATCCAGTTGACATTTTTGACATGGACCAGACATCAGATTTGACACGTTTGATTATAGTTGATACAGGGAAATGCCTGTATCAACTATAATCAGATTTATCAAGTCCAGCCGTGAGGCTGGACTTTGGAACCTGGGTGGGGTCTGGAGAGGGAGAGAAGGAAGGAGAGAAATGTAGGTGGAGCAACAGTGTAACAAGGCTGGGGAAAGTTCTGAGACTGATGGCTACTTTCTGAGGTGGTCCCCTACAGTTTCAAAGCTTCCCGGAGCTCCACCTCTGCTGAGAAACCCCTCACCGAGCTTCCCTTTCTGTCTGGTTCTGTTGAACGCAAACGACATCTGCTTCCCACTCCCTGAAACTTCTCTTCAGGGTTCCCGTCATTGGCTCAAGCTATGGGAGAGGGCGTGTGAGACCCAGGCCTTCCGGAGGCTTCCAGAGTTAAAGCACTCCCACGGACAGGAGACAGAACTGCCTGTGGAGAATTGCATTATAGCCAAGCGCCGGGATATATATTTATCTGTGCCTGACATTCTCATCTCTTTTTAAAGGAAAAGCCACACATTTGGCCAAAAGATGAAGTGGAAAAAATGTACTGTTGAACAAATATCCAGGATGGTTGCTCAGAATGTATAAAATGATGAACTGTGTGGAAAAATCATGCCTGTGGCAAATTGTCAGCAGGCTATATTTGGGGGTCCGAATGCAGGGCCCCTGCCAACTGAGTTCACAGAGCCTTAGTGTTTTTCCACTTCTATTTATAGCGATGCACACATTCACACACAAAAAATGCAGGGGACATTGGACTTCGTTTTTAAATGATGAAAATGTTCGAAATGTATCTGGTTTCAGCACGTGAGAGCCGCTCTGCTGTCTACGATCAGCCTTGCTTACTGAAGAAGGGATTAATCAACGTGGGGAAAACAACGTAATAGGATCCTTTGGGAATCTGAAAGTCTGAAAACAACTTTTTTCTCTATTTCCTTTTTAAAATGTAATTCACTTCAACAAAACTTTATTGAGCACCAACGATGCAAAATGTTGAAATGGACATCTGATTGTTGTCTCTCAGCCTCCATTCCTCCTGCCCCTTTTCCAGCAGCCATTGCTTCTAGTTGGAGAACCACGTGTTTCCAGTGAGGGAGATTCTTCTTTCCAGCTTCAGATGTTGAACACAAGACCTGGCTTGGCCAATCAGGGCAAGCCATCCCCCTGGGCACAGTGATTGGCTCAGGCCCACCCCGAGCTGGACCAATCAGAGTGAAGAGTGAGACTTTGGCCAGGAATGCTGAAACAAAGACTGAGCCTTAGTGTTGGATTTGAAGGAAGAAGCCCCAGGAGCTGCTGAGAGCTGTTTTATAACCATGAGGTGAGTCAGCCTTCCAATAAGGCTAACTGCAGAAGGTGAATGGAGAGACAGAAATAAACTAGAACCACCAAAATATTTCTTACCTAATGCCATTCTTATTCTGGGGTTTTCAGCCATGTGAAACTATAAATTCCTCTCATTGTCTAAGTCAGCCGGAGTTAGGTATTTTTGCACTCCCAACCAAAAGCATCCTTGGTGATACAGGATGGATTAGGGTGTACTTCCTGGAGGAAGTGGCGCAGAACCTAAAACTTGAGGACGGGTTGGATTTGGATGGGAGAGGACAAGAATGTCCTGGCGACTGAACAGTTGCATGTGGCTGGGAGAGGAATGAATCCTATTCCAACGCAGCTGACCCTAGAAACACTGGGCTGGTGAGATCTTGGCATGTAGTGAAGGACACACTAAAGAATTCGGTCTTAATCTTGCAGGCAGTGTTTGTGTGGGTGTGATGGGAGGTTGTTCTCTTCTTTCTCAAATCCCTCCTCAGGTACCAGTTCATTCATCGCATTCACATTTGCTGTTCACAGCTCAAACTTTATAGCAAGACAAAGCCAGAATGTTCAGGTGAAGAAGCAGAGAATGGCTGTGTGAGTTTCCTAGGCTGTCGGAACAGAGAGCCACAAACTGGGTGTCTTCAATCCATACAAATGTAATTATCTCACAGTTCTGGAAGCTGGAAGTCTGAAATCAAGGTGTCAGCGGGGCTATGCTTCCTCTAAAGCCTCTAGGTAGGAAATTCCTTGCCTCTCCAGCTTTTGGTAGATAAGTTTTTGGCTTATCCCAGCTTACTCCAATCTCTGCCCTGTCTTCACATGGCCTTCTCATGTCTCTGTGTCCTGGCCTGTTCTTCCAAGGATGCCAATCATTGGGATTAGGGTCAGTCTAAATCCAGGATGATTTCATCGCACAACACTTGACTAATTACATCTACAAAGATCCTATTTCCAAATAAGGTCATATTCTGAAGGTTCTGGTGGCATAAATTTTGGGGGACACTATTCAGCCCACTACATTGACCAATAACAAAGCCAACTGACGCGCCATAATTTATGTCAGCTAAACTATGGAGCCCCTCCTGATGTCTGTGCTGGGACCCCCGGTGGCATTGCTGGACTCTCAGTCTTCCTGTGAACCTAACCAGCTGTGTCCTCTCTTTTAAAAATTTATTTTTGTTTGAGATGGGGTCTCACTATGTTGCCCAGACTGAGTACAGTGGCTGTTCACAGGAGTGATCACAGTACACGGCAGCCTCAAACTCCTGGGCTGAAGTGATCCTCCTGCCTCAGCCTCCCAGGTAGCTGGGACTACAAGAGCATGCCACTGTGCCTGGCTTTGTGCTCTCTCTTAATAATTAGAATAACTAACTTACTATGGAGGAAGTACTGTGACAAAAGCTTCTTGCAAACTTAGACACTCTCCTTGGCTTTTGACATGTCAAGGATTTTCAAGTAAGGAAAAAAGAGAGAAAGAAGAATGGGCGAGGAAGGGACGATAACCCCACTTTTCAGATACGACTGTAAAAAACTGAAGCAACTTGCTCAGAGAATGGGACAATGCTGAGATGTGAGGGCACTCTTTCTAACTCCAAATGTGTGCTTTTTAACCTCTTACTTCTTTCTTGGCTCAGAAGGAAAATAAATAAAATATAGCATGAAAGCCTAATGAATTATGTTGAGGCTGGGCTATCCAAGATGGCCAATTAAAGGAGAAAAAGAGAAGTTCACTGTGCAGTATGTTTAAGCCCTGAGCTCCACCTATGAATTTACAATTTTTGCTTACAAGAACCTTCACTTGCATCATGTTGGGAAAGAATAAGCCCGAAGGAGACTAATCTGATGCCTTCAGGACCTTTTGTTTTCAGGCTGAGCAGTAGCCTGACAGTGGTGGGGGCAAATGGAAAGGAAAGCCATTTGGTGGCAGGGATCATCCAGTTTATAAGTATAAAAAAGTTGTGACTCAGCTTTTGACAGGGACCCAGGAGAGGGACTTTGAATTGAGTCATTATGGATTATTCTCTGAATCCAGTAGGCCAATAGGCCAATGTGTTTTATGGCTCAAGAGGTTAAACTAGTCTGGGACATGATTTCTTAAGATTTTAGAAACAAACCAAAATATATCACTCTTCTCATGTGCAAAGTCATGGTGCATTTGTGCCTGGCATTCTGTGTGTGTTTCTGGGGGTTTAATCTCAAGAAAACTACTGTAATTCCTCATTTGTTTTACTGATAGGGAAAAAGATCTCCATATAAATGAAATTTCCAGGTATTTGAAGAGTAACCAACTGAGAACTAAAACATTTTAACTTTGAGCCTTTGGGAAGGGCTCTTTCCAAATGGTAGTATACATCTGTGCACTTTTCTAAGACTAGGAAATGACAGGATGATTTAGGGTCACCAGTAGGAACACCATTTATCATATGGACTAGACACAGTGATGATGTCAGTGGCAAGATACTAGAGTGGACAGAGTCTGAGCTTTGAAGTCGCCCTGACCAGCTTTGAATTCCAGCTGCCTCCTAGCAGCTATACAATCTTGTAGGAGTGACCTAACCTCTCAGCCTCAGTTTCCTTATATATAAAATGGGGGTAATAATTCTTACCTCCTGGGGTCATTGTGAGGATTAAATGAGATAATATGTATCTATTAGATACATAGTGTGTACATAAAACTTTCAGCAGCATACCTGACAAATAGAATGTGCTCACATCATTATTATCAACAATACAAAAAAGTCAGCTGTTGTCGTTATTGTCCCTACAATAATGCTACGCTAACTATCCCAAGATTGTTATTTTCATCGTAAGGACATGGAGTTCATTGGGTTTTATATCCATTTGTGTTTTTTTTAAATGTTTGCTTTTTAGGGGGCGGGGGTGGTCTGGTTACTTTCTTGCTGCAGCTCTCTTCCTGTGTGGGAGTACTTGCCAAAACATGACTTCCCCATCCTTTCTCATTCCATTCATTTATCCAACATGCATTGGTGACACAATGCAATGTGAGAAAACACATGCCAGAAGAGTCCCAAATACAATGTTTTGAGAACTGAGAGGAAAGGGGGATGAATAAATGAAGAATGGATGCATGAGCGTGTCACAAATGAAGAAATTGACAGGAAGGCCATAAGAGCAAGGGGCAAACACCAGAGCGCTTTCCATATGCCTGATAGAGTCTTCCCAAAAGCACACACCTCATTTTCCATTGTCATCAAATATCAGCATACACCATCATAGGGTTTGCCTTTGGCATGAATGATCTGGAAGAATCTCGGAGGTCCTCAAGCCCCTACCCTTCAAGATGCAGTAATGGAAACATTGGTGTCTCAAACCCAACAGGTCCAAAGTACGTATGTGTCACATTCACGGCCAAAGCAGCCCCTCTTCCCTCTATGCCTATTTCATATGCTGATGATACATCCAGGAAGACTGCAACAAATCTGAGAGGCATTGGGAATCGAAATTTCCACTGCCTCCCACCTCCAGTTATCCCAGTGCAGATAACTCCAAGCAGGGACGACCAGATGAGTGGATCCTCAGCACACAGGCTGAGGATGACCATCAGACAACTAGGAACAGCCAACACCTTGAACTGGAGGTACTCCAAGAGTTGTGTTTTTAATTTTTGATGTTAGTTGTAAGATGCATTCCTTTAGAGCTATTAATTATGTAAGTAATAGTAGACAAACATGGACCCTGAGGAAGGGAACCAAGGGAAGGGGGCCTGAATTTTCTGCTCTTTTGGGCGGGTGATGACTCCAAGTCATTACAATCTAGATGCATCCTTATTTTGCAGCCACAGCTTGCTGAGATCTGAGCACATAATCAGATACACTGACATGGATGTTACCGTGTGGACAAGGAATGAGCAACCTTGAAAAATGTATTTTTCTATATGCTGTTTTGGTTTTAAGATCTTGAGAAAGAAGTCCAGGAATTCACAAGCTTGAAAAGGAGATGCTGAGGCCACTGTGAAGACTTGAATACTTTTGCCTTGGAGGCAGTCCCAGGCCCACCACTCTCAGCAAAGGTCTCCTCCTGCCCTTTCCCAGATCTAACACAGGACAGCAGGCGGAGAGGAACCACCCCCTTTTCCTTCTCACTATTCTGGCTCTTGTTAGAGTGACAGTGGGATGGGAACTAGGACTCTTTGTCATTGCCAGGGGTTGCCTTGAAGGACTGGAGTCTGAGAGTAAGCAAACTTTATGACCCACAAAAAAAAAACCAGCTTCAGGAAAGCTTAATGGAGTTCCTGGTGTGAACTTAGAAGCAAGGTTTGATAATTAATTCTGACCTGGCTATTTGTGAATAAACAAAGATTAATACAGTGATTTCCATTTTGCTGAGTATTTTTCGGCCTCTGAACAGGACGGTCACATGGTTTTGCTCTTGTTTGCATGAAGCGAAATTCTGGGGTCCTCTCAATAAACCCACAAGAGTTTCTATCTCATAATGAGAGCTGGCTTCTTGTGTTTTTGAGGCAGAATTTTGACAGTGTTTCTTGTGCATTCTTCACCATCATTTGGAGCCACCACCTTGGCAACGTCTGTAGACAAGGAGATAAGGGACTCTCAAATCTATCCTTGAAGAGGAAGTGGCCCCAGAGTTCCGATAAAATCCTGCCGTATACGGGCTGTATAAAAGCAATTTGACCACTTGCGATTTTGAGTCTTAAGAATCTTTCAATTTCTCAGCCTCTGGCAGGAGTAAGAGAATAATATCCTGGATGTTTATAAAATTCGATAACCTTTTAAATCCATCCCACTTGAAGGAATAGCTAGATTTCTGGACCCCCATTTTCTGAGGCTTTCCAGGATGGACGCATGCTATCAGCTCCCCCTGCAGGTCTGACTCTTTCCTGACAGGGAATTCCTGGAGGTCCACTGAGAAAATGGATTCTGGAAGGGCTCTAAATTGTGTCGCACAGACGAAATGCTTCGACTGCTTGGAAATGACCCACCTTTCTGCTGGAAGCCACATGTCCTGGGAATGCACCAAAGTCTGAATCTGTCAGTACCTTACTATGCTGCAGGAAAACAAAGTCCCACCCAGAACTCCAGTGCCCAGGCAGGACCTTCCTTGCGCTAAACGCGCTTTAGAATGTTCAATTCTCTCTCTTCTTTGTAAGCACTGTGGCCCTGTGGTAAATCCATCACAGATAAAATGGCCTCTACATGAGCCATGTGCTAAAAAAGGATACGTACACCCATTGTGTGTTGAGTCTAAAAGTTGTTTCTCAAAAAGTTTTGGATTGTCCCAAATTTTATATGTGAGTTTGCTGATTCAGTCATTCAATAAATATTGTGATAGACATTCTGCTATGTGATTGATATGCGATAGACATTGTTTTAGGCACCCTGGATAAAGCAAGGGACCAAGGCAGGCTAAGACCCCATCCTCATGGAGCTTCAGGAACAGCAGTGACGACATACAGTAAACAAGTGCATGAACATGTGTGGTGTGATTTCATGTGGAGATGGTGCTATAAAGAAGAGTAAAACAGGATAGGCTGGGCATGGTGGCTCACGCCTGTAATCCCAGCACTTTGGGAAGATGAGGCAGACAGATCACTTGAGGTCAGGAGTTTGAGACCAGCCTGGCCAACATGGTGAAACCCCATCTCTACGAAAAAATACAAAAAAATTAACCAGGCATGGTGGCACATCCCTGTAGTACCAGTTACTTGGGAGGCTGAGACAGGAGAATCACTTGAATCTGGGAGGTGGAGGTTGCAGTGAGCTGAGGTCGCACCACTGCACTCCAGCCTAAGCAACAGAGTGAGACTCTGTCTAAAAAAAAAAAAAAAAAAAAAAAAAAAGCTGGGTGCAGTGGCTCATGCCTGTAATTCCAGCACTTTGGGAAGCCAAGGTGGGCAGATCACAAGGTCAAGAGATTGAGACCATCCTGGCCAATATGGTGAAACCCCATCTCTACTAAAAACACAAAAATTAGCTGGGTGTGGTGGTGGGCACATGTAATCCCAGCTACTGGGGAGGCTGAGGCAGGAGAATCGCTTGAACCCGGAAGGCAGATGTTGAGCTGAGATTGTGCCACTGCACTTCAGCCTGGTGACAGAGCAACACTCCATCTCAAAAAAAAAAAAAAAAAAAGAGTAAAGCAGGATAAAGAATTGGAGTGATTGGGGTGTACTCTTTTTGAAAGACTGGTCAAGGTAGGTTCAGTTAGAAACCTACATAAAGGAAGACAACAACCAACCCATGTGAAGATGTGGGTGGAGAGCATTTCAGGAGAGGAGGCGGCAAGTGCAAATGACCTGAGATGGAAATGAGCTTGGTGCGCTCCAGGAAAAGCAAAAAGGCCAAGAGAGACAGGACTGCAGAGTGCTAGGGAGTCAGTAGGAGGAGATGGAGCCCAAGAAGTAGGCAGGGTACACTGTGTAAAGAATATGGTAAGGAGTTTGGATTTTATTGTGAGATGGGCAACCGTTGGAGCCCTTTCAGTAGAAGAGTGAAGTGATCTAATTTACGGTTTCAAAACTTCCCTTCTGGCTACTATGTGCAGAAAAGACTCAAGAAAGACAGGTGTGGAGCCAGGGAATCTCAGTGGGGGGCTATTTTATAATAGAAGCCCTCTGAGAGGTGCTGGTGTCTTGGTAGTGGTGAGACGTAGGCAATTTCTGGCTGTATTTTGAGGACAGAGCCACAGGACGTGTTGGTTAATTGGATGTAGGAAGTGAGATAAAAGAAATAAATCCGGCTGGGAGCCATGGCTCATGCCTGTAATCCCAGCACTTTGGGAGGCCGAGGTGGGCGAATCATGAGGTCAGGAGATCGAGACCATCCTGGCCAACATGGTGAAACCCTGTCTCTACTAAAAATATAAAAATTAGCTGGATGTGGTGGCGCACGCCTGTAATCCCAGCTACTTGGGAGGCTGAGGCAGGAGAATCGTTTGAACCGGGGAGGCAGAGATTGTAGTGAGCCGAGACTGCGCCACTGCACTCCAGCCTGGGTGACAGAGTGAGACTCTGTCTCAAAAAAAAAAAAAAAAAAGAAAGAAAGAAAAGAAAAAGAAAAAAGAAATAAATCAAATATGACTCCTGGGTTTTTGGCCTGGGCAACTGGGCAATTAACTGAGATTGGGAGGACCGGGGGAAGAACACATTTGGGTGGGTGGCATCAAGAGTTCTGCTTGGACAAGTTAAGTTTAAGAAACTTATTAGTCATCCATCTGGAGATGTCAAGCAGGCAGTCTGGAACACATGCTCGATGCAGGAATAACGAGGAGAAAACTATTTATGGAAAGAGGAGCTCCGTTCTGTAATACATTGTGACACCTGGTTGTGAGCCTTCTCCTCTCCTAGGTCTTGGTTTTCTGTTTTGTAAAATGATGGGCTTGGCTGGTCTCTGAGGGTCTTTTCGGTCATGCAAGTAGAAAAGAGAAGATTCGCATTGAAATTCACTGAGCAACAGGAGAGGGCTAGGCCTGCTGCTGGCCGGACATAAAACCGTGAGACGGAAGACCCCAAGAAGACTGGCAGCTTATCTTAGGAATCTGAATTGGAAATGAGTCTTTGCAAAGCAATCACAGGCTTGTTCGAAAGTGGGAGTTCTGGGGCAGGCAGCAGTTTAGCAGCAGCAGATGAATTTGCTCAAAGCAAAGCGGTATAAAACTTGGTATAAACAGGATTTGCAGGGAAGACAGTGAAGTGATGCTACTTCACTTCCTGGATCCTCTATCACTGTAACAGGTAAATATGGGCACCTGTGTCTGCCAGGAACATTGACGTTTAATAGAGAATTTTTTGTTTTGCTTTTTGCTTTACCTGTTTTTCTTTTTTTTTTTTTTTTTTGAGACTGAGTCTCGCCCTGTCGCCCAGGCTAGAGTGCGGTGGCACGATCTCGGCTCACTGCACCCTCTGCCTCCCAGATTCAAGCAATTCTCCCGCCTCAGCCTTCTGAGCAGCTGGGATTACAGGTGGGCGCCACCACGCCCGGCTAATTTTTGTATTTTTAGTAGAGACGGGGTTTCACCATGTTGGTCAGGGTGGTCTCAAACTCCTAACTTCGTGATCCACCCGCCTCGGCCTCCCAAAGTGCTGGGACTACAGGTGTGAGCCACCGCGCCCAGCCCTTACTTTACCTTTTTTGACACTGGCCTACATTGCCTGGATATACACGTAGCTTATTTTGTTTTTTTTCTTTCATTTTTCTGTTCATATTTAGTCTTCTCACTGTACAAAGTGCTTTCATATTTCTGAACACCACATTGGGTCAGCATAACAGCCCTGTGGCTAGGAACATAATTAGATAATCCTGTTTTGGAGATAAATAAACTGAAGTTCAGAGAGGTTGAGTAACTCGCTCAAGACCACCCAGACACCATAAGGATGAACCTATTTTGAACCCGGGTTTTATGGATCCCTATGATTTCCTCTTTCTCATTATTCCATTTGGTCTTCCAAATGGAGAGGCTTACTAAAGATTACTTGACCAATTCCTGGATACTCTACGGCACAGTTGATTATTTTGTGCTTTTCTTTTCAGATGGGAATATAAAAATGACACTGGTTTAGGTTTTCATGTTGCTTTATAAAGCCTCCCTGGTATTAAGTAGTGAGGCATGTGGTACACTTCTGAACTAGTGTTTTTTTGTTTTTGTCTTTTAAAGTCTTTCAAATACAACTCTTAGACACTATAACAAGTTTAGGAGTATTTGGGTTTTCTCTTCCACAGTGATGTTCAGCAGAGGGGAAGGAAGATCTTAGCAATACTGTCAGTGGAGGGAAGGCTAAAGTGGAAGCTTATGCTTTTCAGCTTCTATGATTTGGATGATGAGATGGCCAGGTGATTCTAATCCAGAAGTGCTTTCTAATTTGTTGTAATTACTATTGCTGTGTAACCAATTATCCCTAAACTAAGCAGCTTATAACAACCATTTGACTACCCTCACAGATTCTGTGGTCAGAAATTGGACATGGCAGTGGGATGGCTTGGGAGCCTCAGCTGGGAAGACTTAATGGCTAAGAGTGACTCAAGAGCTGGGGGTTGGAATCCCAGGAGACATCACCACTTACTGTCTGGTGGTTGATCTGGCTGTTGGGCGGAACCTCACTCAGCCAGGGCTGTTGATTAGGGAACCCACATGTGGCCTTTCCAGAAGGCCTGGGCTTCCTCACAGTGTGGAGGTTCAAGGTAGTGGTACTTTTCATACGGAGACTCATGGCTCCAAAAGCATGAGCCCCAAGGAACAGGGAAGAAACTGCATTGCCTTTTTTTTTTTTTTTTTTTCTTTTTGAGATGGAGTCTCACACTCTCGCCCAGGCTGGAGTGCAATGGCGCGATCTCGGCTCACTGCAAGCTCCACCTCCCGGGTTCACGCCATTCTCCTGCCTCAGCCTCCCGAGTACCTGGGACTACAGGCACCCACCACCACGCCCAGCTAATTTTTTGCATTTTTAGTAGAGATGAAGTTTCACCATGTTAGCCAGGATGGTCTCGATCTCCTGACCCTGTGATCCACCCACCTCAGCCTCCCAAAGTGCTGGGATTACAGGCGTGAGGCACCGCGCCCGGCCATTGCCTTTTTTAAGGTAGCCTCAGAGAGCATCACTTCTGCACATTCTATCAGTTGCAAGCAAGTCCCAAGCCTGCCTAGATTCAAGGATCCAGGACATAGACCCTGCCTCTTGATGGAAGGGTGGCAAGGTCACATTGTAGGAGAAGATGTGGGATGGGAGATATTGCCACAGTCATCTATGGAAAATACCATCTGCCATTCTAGTGAGGATGTGTCACCTCTGGGCTTTACTAACATTAGTGAAGGGACGTGCTCATCTGCCAAATGCCGTTAAAGTATTGCTGGGGCTGTAGCTCATGGCCAGTTACAGCTGCTTGGGTTTGAATCAGATCTCTCAACCAACCAACCAACCAACCAACCAATGCAGGAACCAGCCTATCTACAGCAATACCCTCTAAGAGTCAAATACTGGGCCAAGAGCCAAGTATGAATTAAAAAGGCCCCTACCCTCAAGGATCACCTGAATCTTAAATGTTAGTGTACATAGAGCTAGCTGGAGTAAAAGTTTAAACTACAGATGCCTGTCTGCCTTCCTTCATTCTAATTCAGTTGTCAGTTCCAGCTGGAGCACAGGAATCTGCGTTGTAACAAGCCCGTAGGTGGTTCTAGCATAAGAGATCCGAGGGGGGCACTTTGAGACTCACTGATCAGCAGAACTAGTGCTTTGAGACTGGGCATGGTGGCTCACACCTGTAATCTTAACACTTTGGGAGGCTGAAGCAGGTGGGTCACTTCAGGTCAGGAGTTCAAGACCAGCCTGGTCAACGTGGTGAAGCCCCGTCTCTACTAAAAATATAAAAATTAGCCAGGCATGGTGGCACACACCTGTAATTCCAGCTACTCAGGAGGCTGAGGTGGAAGGATCGCTTGAACCTGGGAGGTGGAGTTTGCAATAAGCCAAGATCATGCCATTGCACTCCGGCCTGGGCAACAGAGTGAGACTCTGTCTCAAAAAACAAAACAAAACAAAACAAAACAAAACAAAACAAAACAAAACAAAACAAAACAAAAAAAACTAGTGCTTTGGTCCAGAGAGTGAGCTTGGGTGCTTTTCATAAGTCATTAGCTTTCAGTTTGCCTGGCTTCTCTCCTTGAATCTTACTAGCTGTGGTAGGTTAGATTGTTGTGCCCGTTTTTGATTTATAGCCCGGCAGCCTCAAAACCATCCTTTTTGCCTGCTAGTGAAAATGAATCTGGGCCTTTTACATATTTTTTTTCTTCGCTAGCTGGCACAATTTTAAGCTTTGTCAGTAGAGGGCGCTAGAGAGATGCTGCAGACGAAAAACGGTTTGCTTCCTGGTTCCCACAGGCTTGACCCGCAGCCTGCTTTAAGGAGTGGCTTCTCCAGTGAACAGCTCCTAGAGCACACATAGCTTCTCAAGCACACAGCTCCTGCACAAACTGTGGTGCATCTATGCAGTGGAAAATTATTCAGCAACAAAAAAATGAGCTATCGAGCCACAAAAAGACATGGAAGAATCTTAAATGCATATTGCTAAGTTAAAGAAGCCAGTCTGAAAAGGTTACAATTGCATATCATTCTGGAAAAGGCAAAACTAGAGAGACAGTAAAAAGACCAGTGGTTGCCAGGAGTTAGGGGTAGGGAAGGGGAGATCAATAGGTGAAGCACAGGGGATTTTTAGGGTGGTGAAACTATTAGGTGTGATACTGTAGTGGTAGATACAAGACGTCATGCACTCAGCAAAACCTGTAGAGATGTACAACAGAAAGAGTGAATCCGAATGGAAACTATAGACTTAATAATAATGCATTAATGTCAGGTCATCAATTGCAACAGGTGTACTACATCAATTCAAGATGTCATTAATAGTAGGGGAAACTGTGCACAGAAAGAGGGGGTTATAATGGGAATTTTGTACTTTGCATCATTTTTCTGTAAACCTAAAACTACTCTAAAAATATAATCTATTTTTAAAAGTCATTGAAGGCAAAAATAAAAGGTTCAGCAAACACTGATTTTAGAATTTTAGGTCCCCCTCCTACAATTCTGCCTAGAGTATTTGATTATTTCTTTTCATATTTACAGTGGCACAAAGGGAAAATAATGGACACTTTATGTTTTACCTAAGACATTTTGCAGTTCTACATAGATACTCACATTTCATTTTCATTTTTATTTATTTATTTTTTTGAGACAGAGTCTTGCTCTGTTACCTAGGCTGGAGTGCAGTGGCGCAATCTTGGCTCACTGCAACCTCTGCCTCCTGGGTTCAAGCGATTTTTGTGCCTCAGCCTCCCGAGTAGCTGGGATTACAGGTGTGCACCTCCATGCCTGGCTAATATTTTGTATTTTTAGTAGAGACAGGGTTTCTCCATGTTGGCCAGGCTGGTCTCAAACTCCTGACCTCAAGTGATCTGCCTGCCTCAGCCTCCCAAAGTGCTGGGATTACAGACGTGAGCCATCATGCCTGGCCTTTTTTTTTTTTTAATCATATTCAACTCATCCATTCAAAATGCTGATGTATCAGCCAGGCACGGTGGCTCACACCTGTAATCCCAGCACTTTGGGAGGCCGAGGCTGGCGATCACCTGAGGTTAGGAGTTCAAGGCCAGCCTAGCCAACACAGTGAAACCCCATCTCTACTAAAAAACAAACAAAAAATATAAAAAAATTAGCCAGGTGTGGTGGTTCACGCCTGTAGTTCCAGCTACTCGGGAGGCTGAGGCAGGAGAATCACTTGAATTTGGGAGGCAGAAGTTACAGTGAGCTGAGATCGGGCCACTGCACTCCAGCCTGGGTGACAGAGTGAGACTCTGCCTCAAAAAACAGAAAAGAAAAAAAAAAGCGATCAATGTTTTCACTTTGTAAGCCATGGTTTTATGTACAGGGTGTACTAAAAAATCCTCATAGGAAAAGGAGAGTCCGTGGAAAAACTAAATTCTCCCTTTCAGATTTGTCCACTGTGTGGTAGTGGCAACAGCAATTTCTGAAAGAAAGGTCTTGGATAGCACTGCCAAGTTGCAGCTTCATAAACTATCAAGTGAGCTGTTTTCTGTGAGGACAACTCGCACACTTGCTATCACCATACACAGTGAGCTACTAAAGATACCGCAGCTCTCAGGGCTGACTTCAAGCGGATATGAGAATGCGACACAGCTGATTGCCTGCTCCAAGTCCCAAATTGGAAACATGAGCTTGCCCACATACGACATTCCAACTAACTCGACAAATGAATCCTCAAATGCTCCTCACGATCATTTGTTTTAAAAAGCTCAAGTGATTTTTCATTGTCTCAGACTGCTGCTGTGGAAGGCTGCCTATTGGAAAAAAAAAAACAAAAAACAAGGACAGAATCAAATGGAATATTTCCTAAGGCAGGGAGGAAAGAACAAAGTATTAAAAAGGACAAGAAGTCCCACTGCTGTAACAGAGATAGAGATTCCTGATCAAGAAGCCACATTTTTAGGAAAGTGGGATGTGCCGTTTTATTTTTAAAATGAGATGCAATCAATGACACACGCTGTACAGCATGTATTCTGTGTACTAGCCTCTCCCCTGGTTTCACATTATTTTCCTACCCTTATTTACCCTTTGCCCCAGTTTTCTTACTCTTTGAGAAAATACTGTATCTTTTCATAAGATGTTGGAAATCCTATTTGATACATTGTGAAGTGAAAATAAGTAGAAAATGCTATATTTTGAGCATTAATGATAACTTTCTAAATTTGCTGCAACGGATTATTTTTGGTGACTCTACTTAAAATACCTCAAATCAAATTCCTTACTTGAGTATAAGCATAAATATTCCAGATTTCTGAAATCAAGATTTAAAGAGTTATTCCAGCATACATGTATATACATACACATCCATGTAACTTTCATGAGACATGTATTACAAGCTGTTCGAACTACCGTTCCAGAGGTTCACTGACCAACGAAAATAACCTTAGTAGTGAAGTACAAAACCAAATCCAGAAAGCAGTCCAGGGGTTTAGTCAGATTGCTTCTTCTCACCGAGCAGCGTCATACAGTATGTATTCCTACCCATGCACACTGGTCAAGGGAAGAAAGAAGTGGTCAGTAGTAGGAGGAATGGGCTTAGGTAGTGATATGGTTTGGATTTGTGTCCCTGCCCAAATCTCGTGTCGAACTGTAATCCCCAGCGTTGGAAGTGGGGCCTGGTGGGAGGTGATGGGATCGTGGGGGCAGATTTTCCCCTTGCTGTTCTCATGATAGTGACTGAGTGCTTACGAGATCTGGTTGTTTACAAGTATGTACTGCCTCCTTCGCTCTCTTCCTCTTGCTCCAGCCATGTAAAATGTGCCTCCTTCGTCTTCTCATTCTGCCATGATTGTAAGTTTCCTGAGGTCTCCCCAGCCACGCTTCCTGAACAGCCTGCGGAACGGTGAGCCAACTAAACCTCTTTTCTTTATAAATTACCCAGCCTCAGGTCATTCCTTATAGCAATGCAACAAGGACAAACTAATCCAGGTGGTATGGTCATCATGAGTTAATGTTTGCCTGTTTGCCCCAACTGCTGAAGAGCTGTCTGACAATTAAGACCATCTCTAGTAACTACAGCACGAGCTGAAAGAATTTCACACCTCAAATTCCATAGCCTGACAAGGGGTCACCTTCATTTTTAAAGGGAATATGGCTTGTGAACCGTACTGTCTGGGGTCCGAATCCTGGCTCTAGTATTTCCCAGTTGTGGAGTTTTGGGCAAGCATGCCCTCATCCTCCTGAGCCTCAGCAACGACACTTATCTGACAAGGTAACACAAACATTAACTGTTTCTCCTAGTCCAGGGGCCGGCACCTGGTATGGGCTCAATAAATGGCAGTCATTATTATGAGTAGATAATTATAACAATAATAAAGTGTTAGAAAATTCATGAAAGTACAAGAGGCTTGAAATTTCTATAAACCACTCCCCAAACATGATATAATGTTTACCTACAACCCAGTTTTTCCTTTTGCACCAAATAAAATCCAGCTGTGCAGCTGAGAGGCAATGAAATTGAGAATGATTCTAAATTGTTGTAAATATATTTTCAAAGGATTGTAAATATATTTTCAAAGTTAAATGTAAAATGAGAGCCTGTTTGTAGACAACTGAGTTGGCTTGTGATGACATTTTTTACTAAAGCTGTCAGAGGATCTGAAAGAATTTTGCAAAGTACTGGACATGATGTTCAGCTTCTTTAGAAAGCTGATGAGCACTAAGCAATATGTTGCCTTGTTGTAAATAGCAAATCAGTGTCATGGTCTTTACTCTCCTTCACCAGATTATGTGATCGAATAAGTAACCACATGTTAGGTGGAAACAAATTGTAAAAGGCTTTTAACTAAGCAACGTTTCAATATTTGTTTGTTTTTTTGAGACGGTCTCTCTCTGTCACCCAGGCTGGAGTGCAGTGGTGCGATTATAGCTCACGGCAGCCTTGATCTTCTGGGCTCAAGTGATCCTCCCACCTCAGCCACCCGAAGTGCTGGTATTACAGGCGTGAGCCCCCATGCCCAGCTTCAATATTTCTTTTAAGTGTGGTTTGTTTTTTTCACTGCCAACACATTTTTATCTTAATGTTACCACCCAAGTCAACCAGAAGTCATTTAAGAAATAGCTGGTGTAGAAAATAATTTTGCAAAATGAGAAATCAGTTCAAAGGCTGGATTCCAAACTGGCATGAGCCTGTCCCCAGTGTTGGTGTCTCGTCTCCATGTGGTCTTTTGCCAACTCATCTGCTTTTGCCCCCGACCTGCCCTTGGGCAGAATCCAGTGCAGATCCTCATGCATTTAGGAAGGGTGTCTGAAGGCTTACTCAGCAGCCACCAGTCATCATGTCTTTTCTATTTTCTATTACCACATTCAGTTACAAACAGGTACACAAATATGAAGAGAAATGGAGGGCAAGGGACGTAAGATGGTGCATGTTTCTCCTGCCCTGGTAAAACGTCTTCTCTGGCAATATTATCTCCGTTGGTAGAATGGTTGCCTGTGACAGGAAGAGGTCGTGGGGGTAGGCAGAGCAGGGTAAGGTTTTAAACAAATTCTTTTTTGCAATATTTACTGATTATTTTATTTTTTCTCCATTGAAGAGACTCTTTTTTCTTTTTTTGCTCTATTCAGCCATTTTATGCTTTAACTCTGCAGACAATAACAAAAAATACACTAAACTACATTTAGACAGATGGGAAGAAATGGAGAAAAGAACAATTACTCAAAACACTAAGCTGAAGCTGAGTGTTGTGGCATGCACTCACAGTCCCAGCTACTCAGGCAGGAGGATCGCTTGAGCCCAGGAGTTCAAGGCCGCAGTGAGCCATGATTGCACCACAGCACTCCAGCCTGGGCAACAGAGCAAAACCCTGTCTCAAAAACAAAACAAAACAAAAAACCCCACTAAGTTGATGAAAATGGTCAACTTTTTTTGCCTATGGACATCTACATGCGCCCGCATCATTTGTTGAAAAGATTGACCTTTCCCCATTAAATTGTTTTATCAGTTACACATTAAGTTTCTATGAGAGTAAGAAGAACAATAGGTTTGGAAGAAGGTTTGAAGATACAAGTCAAAGTCTGAAAGAGACTTGTTCTAATGTGGAATAACTCATAAGTTTTTCTGATTAAACTGTTAATTTTCATAGAATTATAGACTCACATGCAGTTGTAAGAAATAATACAGAGAACTCCTGTGGATTCTTTACACAGTTTCCCCAGTGGTAAACTTGGAAAGTTATAGTAGAATATCACAGCCAGGATATTGACACTGATACAAAGTACAGGACAGTTTCACCATCATAAAGATCTTTTGTGTTGCTCTTCTAGATAGCCACACCTACCCCACCCCACCACTGTCCCTGGCCTCCGACAACCACTAATCTGTTTTCCATTCTTTAATTTTGCTACTTCAATAATGTTATATAAATAGGACAATACAGGATACAACCTTTTGCAACTGGCTTTTTTTTTTCCCACTCCATCCCGTTCCCTGGAGATCCATCCAAGTTATGTGTATCAATAGTTTGTTCCTTCTTACACACACTGGGGCCTGTAGGGGTTGGGGAGGGAGAGCATCAGGAAGAATAGCTAATGGATGCTGGGCTTAATACCTAGGTGATGGGATGATCCGTGCAGCAAACCACAATGGCACACGTTTACCTACGTAACAAACCTGCACATATTGCACCTGTATCCCGGAACTTAAAAGTTGAAGAAAAAAAATAGTTTGTTACTTCTTACTGCTGAGTGGTATTCCATGATATGGATGTGCCACAGTGTGTTGAACTGTTCCTCCTTCTCAGGACATCTGGTTGTTTCCAGGTTTTGGCTGTTACAGATACAGCTGTTATGAGCTTTCATGCACAGGCTTTTGTGTGGGCATAAGTTTTCATTTCTCTGGAACAAATGACCCCCAAAAGTGTAATTGTTGGGTCTTACAGTACTTGCCTCTAGTTTTATAAGAAACAAAACTGTTTTCCAGAGTGACTGTATCATTTTATATACCCACCAGCAATGAATGAGTAATCCAGTTTCCCTGCATCCTCACTAGCATTTGGTGTTGTCACTTTTTAAATTTTAGCTGCTTTTTTTTTTTTTTTGAGACGGAGTCTCACTCTGTTGTCCAGGCTGTAGTGCGGTGGTGCGATCTCGGCTCACTGCAACCTCCGCCTCCTTAGTTGAAGAATGTGTTGAATCAGGGAAAAGTTATTATAAAGTAAAAAATCTAGGAGTATCTGAAAGTCGTAATGGGGCTATGTGCCCCAAAGGGAAGCAGTGGCTTTGCTTCACCAAAATTGGACAATGGGGAGTAAACACTCAAGTGCTAGAGGACATAAAGAGAGAAAAGATGATAGCCAAGGCAAAAGCCAAAGCCAACAACTCCCCTCCACAACCACCCGTAGTATTTCCATCCCTTTATTAAAAACTACAAGCAGACGTATCCCTTCCCAAGCCAGGAAAAAACCTGTTTGTAGATCTAGGAGAACTTACCGCGCTTACCATGAATGTGTCCAATTGCCGGGTATGTGGGGGAGCCCGCATATGAGTGAACAGTGGCCATGGTTTGGGATAGACGTTCCTCCTTACTTACTAGCATCCCAAAACCCCAGCCTCACTTTCACTCTTCAGGAACGCCCGCAGTCCTGGACACTTACCAACCCAGTAAGAGGGACGGTGTGCATATCCCGCAAGTGGACTGATAAAACCCATCGTGCCATAGGTGCAAGCCCTTGTCACCAAACCTTAACAGTCAACGCCTCCACAGCCGAGTGGTGGCCAAGGTTACCCCACGGAGCCTGGTCTCCCTCTAACTTAAGCTGCCTCAACTGTGTTCCATCAAAAAGGGCCTGGAACTGTACAAACACCACCAACCCTTATGCCACATACCCCCACCTAAGTGCACGATGGGTCAATCCTATGAATACCAGCCTACAATGGACTGCCCCTGATGGATTCTTTTGGATATGTGGAACCCAGGCTTACTCATGGCTACCTTATCACTGGCGAGGTCCTTGCTTCCTAAGCACAATTAAACCCGTATTCTTTTTACTTCCAAAGCAGGCAGGCGACACCCTCGGAGTCCCTGTGTATGATAACTTAAACAGAGAAAAACGATCCTTAAAGGTAGGAGGAAGCCAAAGATGGCGAGAGGACGAGTGGCCTCCGCAACGGATCATCAAATATTATGGTCCTGCCACCTGGGCTGAGGATGGTTCATGGGGTTATCGCACTCCCATATATATGCTAAATAGAATAATTAGACTACAGGCTGTTCTAGAGATAATCACTAACCAAACCGCCTCAGCCCTGGAAATGCTCGCGCAACAACAAAACCAAATGCACGCGGCAATTTATCAAAACAGGCTGGCACTAGACACTTATTAGCAGAAGAGGGTGGGGTCTGTGGTAAGTTTAATATCTCCAATTGTTGTCTTAACATAGACAATAACGGAAAAGCAGTTCTAGAAATCGCTTCGAACATCAGAAAAGTAGCCCATGTACCGGTCCAAACCTGGAAAGGGTGGGACCCGGCAAACCTTCTAGAAGGTGGTTCTGTAATTTAGGAGGATGTAAAACGCTGGTAGGGACAGTAATCTTCATCACTGGGCTCCTCCTGTTTCTCCCCTGGGTTATCCACTAATAATAAAAGCCATTAAAACTCTTACAGTTAATCGCCAGACAATCCAGATGATGCTCCTGCTACAATGACGCAATGATACCAACCCGTCTCTCAAGAACGCCCCCAAAAATTAAAGTTTTCTTTTTCCAAGGTGCCCATGCCACCCCCTGTGTCACGCCTGAAGTAGTTATTGAGTAAGTTGCCCCTTTTCCTTTTTTTTTTTTTATAACCAAATAGGCAGGAATGAAAGATTCTCCCCAGTGCCTGAAAGCTTGAAGGGATGAATAACTCCTCCCTTCTCAGGCCCAGTCCCAAGGCACAAGACCACTTGTGCCAGCAGCCAGCAGCGTGCATCAGCAAGACAGCAGAAGCAGGAAGACAGCCTGCTGGAAGACACTTACCCTGGCCGGAAGACATGTACCCCTGAAGATGGAGAAAGAGGCCTTCCGGGTACTACGTAGCAGTCACGTCAGACCGGGACACTTCCTGTTTAGAGAGGACTATAAAACTCCGGTCCGGTAATCACTTGGGGCTGACGCCATTTTAGGCCTCATCCCGCCTGCACCCAGGCACTCATTAAAACAGCGTGTTGCCCCACACTGCCTCGTGTTGTCTGTTGGTGCGCTCTCGGGGTTCAAACCGATACAAGAACCTTTCAAATGGTAGTAAGATTAAAGGTTTTTACTAAGTTATTAATAACAAAAAAGGCACAGATCTTAAATGTGCAGTTATGAATTTTGGCAATTGTATACATTCATGTAATCACTACCCACAACAAAAATAGAATGTTTCCACCACCACAAAAAGTTTGCAACACCCCTGTACCTCTTTCTAGTGCATTTCCAATCATGTCCTCATACCTACCTACCCCACAACCATTTTTTAATCTCTTCCAGAGCTAACGCTTAATACATTGAATTTTACATAATCTTAGGATAGACTGTCCCACATAAAGGAGACTATCTGCAATAATTTATGTTGGAAGAATAAGATATTGATGTCAATTAATACATTTTGTGTCCTGGTTTAAAAATGCTCCTACTATTAATTAAAATTTTAAAGACATTTTCTTGTGAAAGTATAAAGGGATACTTTTTTCTATTTTGAACATTATGAGTTCAAAAGTTCATTCTGATAGAAAATTTTATTTTGTGTGTTTCAACTATGTATGGATGGAAATAAAACTAGGAAGAAATATAGATAATTCTTTATACTTCTTTGCATTTTCCAAATTTTATGCTACAACCATGTATTGCTTTTATTGGTACAATAAAGCAATATCATCAGTGTAAAATGTACTTATTTTTTCATAATTATGTTAAGTCTCTTTATATTTATTTTGATCAAAGTGTCTTAGAGATGTGTTTTCAATTAAGAAGTCCCAGGGTCTCCAAGCTCACTGGCACTGTCCTGTTTTTCCTCACACAAATACTAACTGCTATGGACAATGACACAGTTCTGGGAAAAACCCATGAGAGATCATTAGAGATAAGAGAGAATATTCACCATGTTTGTTTCACTCCCAGGAACAAGCAAAGTTTTGTTTCTCAAGGTTTTATTTTTATTTTTTTGAGACAGAGTCTTGCTCTGTCATCTAGGCTGGAGCAATTCTTCTGCCTCAGCCTCCCAAGTAGCTGTGATTACAGGCGCCAGCCACCACACCCAGCTAATTTTTTTGTATTTTTAGTAGAGACGGGGGTTTCGCCATGTTGGCCAGACTGGTCTTGAACTCCTGACCTCAAGTGATCTGCCCGCCTCGGCCTCCCAAACTGCTGGGATTACAGGTGTGAGCCACCATGCCCGGCCTCAAGGTTTTAATTTACACTCTTTCCATCTCATGATACGTAGTACCATAGAATTGTCTTTTTCTTTTTTTGAAGAAAAATGGTAGCAATTAAAAAAATAATGACAGCTTAGTATCATGACAACTATGATATGACAGACTTATCTGGCCATGTGCTGTTGAGATCTGAACACTCAAAATACCTCCAAACTGTTATCAATCAATCAATCACACTTCAGACAGCAAGCTAATTGTTGAATTCATATCTGCTTTACACGAATTCCCTATTTGTCATTACTATAAAATTAATTGCTAAAGTGCTTTATTGCTAACTGTGCTTACATAAATAAGCATAACTATTTTAATCGCTTAATGTCTGATTAGAATCACTATCATTAATCTTTGACACCAAAACATTTCTGATTAAATATTTTAAATAATGAAACGTAATTGGTAGAGCTCAGTTACAATGTAGTAACCTTTTTGGAGGGGGCATTATAATAAAAGTTTACAGCAGCACTGTTCACGAGAACTTTCTGTATGACAGAAATGTTCTCTGTGCTGTCCAGTGTGGCAGCCACTAGCCATATGTGGCTACTAGACACTTGAGATGTGGCTAGTGTGACTCAGGAATTGAATTTTACATTTCATTTCATTTTAAATTAATTATAATTTTGATTTAAATAGCCACATGTGGCTAGTGGCCACCATATTAGATGGTGCAGTTTTATAGAATAAGGCTTAAAACCAAAATAAAAGTCTGCTCCTACTATACACAAGTTTTTTTGCCTTGTATGAATTGGAAATTTAGTGTCTAAGAATCACTGATGTTCATAAATTTGTGATAAACAACAGACTTGTTGAGACCAAAGTACTAAAAGGATACTTAAATTCGTTTTCATCTTCAGTGTGATTTATGGGAATATTAGGCCAAAGAAGAATGTTTTCCTTTTCTGATACAAAAGGAAGAGATCAATTCAGCAGAATTCATATTGTTTTAATTCCCATATAGTTAGGAAGTTATTATTAGCCTCAAATGGCCTGAACATAATGACTAAGATGAATATTTGTGTGTTTTGGTGTCAGACTTATTTCCTTGTAATTACAGTCATGGGCCACGTCATTACATTTTGGTCAATGGCAGACCACATACACAATGGTGGTCCCATAAGATTGCAATACCATGTTTTTACTCTACCTTTTCTACGTTGAGATACGTTCAGATGCACAAATACTTACTGTTGTTACAGCTGTCTCCAGTATTCACTACAGTAGCCTGCGGTACAGCTTTGTAGCCTCGGAGCAATATGCTGTACCACACAGCCTAGTGTGTATGGGCTGTACCATCTAGGTGTGGATCAGTGCACCCCATGATGTTCACACGACAGAACTGGCCAACAATGCATTTCTCAGAACACGTCTCTGACATTAAGCAACACATGACTGTACTTAAAAAACTTGAAGTACGACTTCTCCTTAACGTTATTGAGAAAGGGACATTTTCCTTTTGAAAATTACACCAGGTCAAGAGCTGCACCATCCATTCTTTTTCTTTTCTTTTTTTTTTTTTGAGACAGAGTCTTGCTCTGCCGCCCAGGCTGGAGTGCAGTGGTGCCATCTTGGCTCACTGCAACCTCCGCCTTCTGGGTTCAAGCGATTCTCCTGTTTCAGCCTCCTGCGTAGCTGGGATTATAGGCACACGCCACCACGCCCAGCTAATTTTTATATTTTTAGTAGAGACGAGGTTTCTCCATGTTAGCCTCGACCTCCTGACTTTAGGTGATTCGCCCACCTTGACCTCTCGAAGTGCTGGGATTACAGGTGTGCGCCACTGCGCCCAGCCAGCAACATCCATTCTTAATGGAAGACTTACTTTCTTACTTTCATTTTTTTTTTTTTTTTTTTAGACACAGTCTTGCTCTGTCGCCCAGGCTGGAGTACAGTGGTGCCATCTCGGCTCACTGCAACCTCCGCCTCCTGGGTTCAAGCGATTCTCCTGCCTCAGCCTCCTGAGTAGCTGGGATTACAGGCACCCACCATCATGCCCAGCTAATTTTTGTATTTTTCGTAGAGACCAGGTTTTGCCATGTTGGCCAGGCTGGTCTTGAACTCCCAACTTCAGGTGATCTGCCTGCCCCGGCCTCCCAAAGTGCTGGAATTACAGGCATGAACCACCATGCCCGGCCTACTTTTATCATATTTTTCACACACTTTGACCTCTCCTTCCTACATTTTCTGTTGTATTCTCTGTTGCAGGGATGGAAACAGCTTCTGGGGAAGGCTCGCTTTGTGTTATTATCAAGATGACAATGTTCTAAGCCTCCAAGCGCAGTTTTGCAGTTGGAAAGGGCCTCAGTCCTGCCACCCCCACCCTGGTTGCTTTGCATTCAGGCCATTAGGCCTGGACAGCCCCATGGATGCCATTGCTTGGCCTCTGCCACCTTTCAACAGGGACTTGCAGTGAGATGAAGAACAGCCTCAAATCCTCACCTGTCATTCCACATACGGGTTCCTCATTTAGACACACAGACTGAAGAGCATCTGCGTTCACCTTCTCGGCTGCAGGTCTAGGTCTCCTTTGACTGGTAGGTCTAGGTCTCCTTTGACTGGTAGGTCTAGGTCTCCTTTGACTGGTAGGTCTAGGTCTCCTTTGACTGGTTGGCTCTCCTTCCCCAGCAGGGGCACATTTCTCAGCAGAGATTTATTTTTCTTTTTTTTTTTTTTTTGAGATGGAGTCTCGCTCTGTCACCCAGGCTGGAGTGCAGTGGCATGATCACTGCAAGCTCCGCCTCCCGGGTTCTCGCCATTCTCCTGCCTCAGCCTCCTGAGTAGGTGGGACTACAGGCACCCGCCACCATGCCCGGCTAATTTTTTGTATTTTTTAGTAGAGATGGGGTTTCACCGTGTTAGCCAGGATGGTCTCGATCTCCTGACCTCATGATCCACCAGCCTTGGCCTCCCAAAGTGCTGGGATTATAGGTGTGAGCCATTGCGCCCGGCCTCAGCAGAGATTTCTAAGGCAATCAACTGAAGACTTCACACCCGAGTAACCTACAAGTCCTTCCGGTTGGCTGCCTCCCAGATCTTGTGGAGCAAGATGCCTGAGCCTTCCCTGCTCCTGGGAATGGCTGGCTAGGAGGGCCTGTGCACCCACATTTTAAGTGTGGTTGAGAAAAGCCTTGGGCATCTTCAGAAGCCTTGACATAGTTTCGCTGCTTTCCTCTCCCTGGCAGGACTACAAGTATAGCCACAGAAAGCTCAGTGCACAAAGTAAAGACACACCCTTGAGACAGTACAGCCACAGCAAACTGTACTAATTAACCACAAAACCAGCTCTAACATATCCACCTCTTGGGCATAATGTTACTTATACAATGGGCTTAACAAAACTGATATGCAGACAAAGACGGCTTAGGTAGGCCCTTTTGACACTTATTCCTGAAGACAACAGCACTACGGCTGCTTTAGGAAAGTGACAGCAAACGTGTGAAAATTTCTCACCTTCTTAAAACCTGTGAATCACCATCTACTTCTCTGGGAGTGGGAAACTCATTTGGTTTTGGCTGGGGCTTTCAATGGGATAACAATCTGTTCATGGAAGGTCCGAATGCTGCAGAGAGCTTGATAGGTCACCTGTGCTAGCATGCAGATCAGCCAAGGATGCTTTAAAAGAAGAAGTGTGCCCTCCATCATGTAAAAAGACCCTATGGTGGATTAATGTAAGATTCTAAGTAAAAATATTCGTTCAGTTACAGCCATAACTAAAACAGAATTCAGACTAGCTTTAATTCTACTAATTAGAATTTTAATCAAATACTTATTGATACAGTTTGAATGCACAATCCTGCCAAATCTCATGTTGAATTGTAATCTCCAGTGTTGGAGGTGGGGCCTGGTAAGAGGTATTTGGATCCTGGGGGCGGATCCCTCATAAATGGCTTGGGTCATCCCCTTGGTAATGAGTGAGCTCTCTCTCTGAGTTCACATGAGATCTGGTCATTTAAAAGGGTGTGGCACCCCCCGCCCCACTCTCTCCCCTACTCCTGCTTTTGCCATGTGATGTGCGTGCTCCTGCTTCACCTTCCACAATGATTGAAAGCTCCCTGAGGCTTCATCAGAAGCCAGGCAGATGCCAGCACCATGCTTCCTGTAAAGCCTACAGAACTGAGCCAATTAGACCTCGTTTCTTTATAAATTATCCAGTCTCCATATTTTTTTAATAGCAATGCAAGAACGGCCTAAAACACTTACATCGTACTTACTGTATGCCAGGCTCTGTACATTAAAAATACCTTAAAAATAAGTACTTAAAAATACTAACTCAGCCAGGCACGGTGGCTCACGCCTGTAATCCCAGCACTTTGGGAGGCCGAGGCAAGCGGATCACTTGAGGTCAGGAGTTCATGACCAGCCTGGCCAACCCCATTTCTACTAAAAAGTACAAAAATTAGCTGGTGTGGTGGTGCATGCCTGTAATCCCAGCTATTTGGGAGGCTGAGGCAGGAGAATCACTTGAACCTGGGAGGTGGAGGTTGCAGTGAGCCAAGATCGTGCCATTGCACTCCAGCCTGGGCAACAGAGCGAGACTCCGTCTCAAAACAAAAACAAAAAAATTAACTCATTCAATCTTCATATAACAACCCTATGTATTTGAGTACTCTTTTGGGCACATGGTAAATAAATCTCCTTTTTATCTCACCAATCCAGTCCAGTTCCTAATGGATGCTAGAGCCAAACCATGAACACAAATCCCATTTGTGCTCCGAAGCAATCCTACACCACGTTTTGAAAATTAATCAAAATATTTGAAAGCAAAACGTCCTAGTCAATATAATCTGTACTTTTTCTAAAATAGCTGAACCAGTAAATAAAAATAATCTTGTTTCCTTGCTACTAGTAACTTCTCTCCTCAAGCTACCTTCAGTCCTAGAAGGGACAAAGTTGACATTTACTGAACACTTATTTTAAGCCAGAACATGCCTCCCTGTACCCCCTCCCCACTTAACATTTTAGCGGTAAGCCTGAGGCTCACAGAGGTTCAGCAAAGGAATTACGGTCTTAATGCTGGTAAGTGGAAGACAGAGAATCAAGCCCTATCAGTCTGAGGCCTTCTTCACTGTGGGACCTTGGTTGTTTCTCTTTGCATATCTAACACTTAGGAAATGTGCAACACATATTTGTTAAAGAAATGAAGGAATGAACAGATTCCCGTCTTGGTGACTGTAATTTAACACTTTCAATAGATTACTCTGCAGCCATCTTTCTTTTTTTATATATTTATATTTATTTAATAAATTCTCTATTTTTGGACATTTAGGGCAGCTAGAGGTATTATTGTAGATATTGCTGAGATGAATGTCCCTCTGACAATTGTCTGATTATTTTCTTTTTTGAAATTTTACTTTAAGTTCTGGGATACATGTGCTGAACGTGCGGGTTTGTTACATAGGTATACATGTGCCATGGTGGTTTGCTGCACCTATCAACCTGTCATCTAGGTTTTAAGACCCGAATGCATTAGGTGTCTGTCCTAATGCTCTGCCTCCCCTTGTCCCCCACCCCTTGACAGGCCCCGGTGTGTGATATTCCCCTCCCTGTATCCATGTGTTCTCATTATTCAGCTCCCACTTATGAGTGAGAACATGTGGTGTTTGGTTTTCTGTTCCTGTGTTAGTTTGCTGAGAATGATGGTTTCCAGCTTCATCCATGTCTCTGCAAAGGACATGAACTCATCCTTTTTTATGGCTGCATAGTATTCTATGGTGTATATGTGCCACATTTTCTTTATCCAGTCTATCATTGATGAGCATTTGGGTTGGTTCCAAGTCTTTGCTATTGTAAACAGTGCTCTGCAGCCATCTTTCTAAAATACAACTCTGACCCACTAATGACTGGTTAGATAAAAATCATCACCACCACCCCTGAAACGACAACTCTTTATCTTACAGGAATTGCAGACTTCCAGAAGCCCTAGCACCATGTTTTTCATACTGCAGCTTGTGACTGGTTAGGTCTTTACGTTGTCATTTTTGTAAATAAAATGGAATAAATAGAAAAGTATCTTGCAGGGCAGTTAGGTAATTATTTTGAGAAGTTCTTGTGTGTGCACTGGAAACCACGGACAATGTCTTCCTCACTGTGGGTCACAGGCAAGTTTGGAAACCACTGCTTTAGCACACTGAGTCCCTCTGGACACTCTTTGACTTCTCTGTTTTTGTATAGCTTTTCTCCTCAACTGGAAGGTTCTTCCCTTTTCTATGCCTGGGGAGCTTCTAGTCATCTTTCAAGTCCTAATTTAAATGTGTTAGTCACTCCGTGCTCACTCATTCTTTCCTCTGGTGGGCATCTGTTCCCATCGCGGGGTAGGTAGGTAGTTTTTCGTTTGCTGGTCTCCTCTCAAGCTGTGGTTAAAGGCAGGGAACATGCCATTTTTATTTTTGTCATTCAAATGCCCATAACAGAGTTTGATCTATAGAACAGACTCTAAAATGCTTACTATATTATAGAACCCTGTAATTAATTTTTATTGAACATACATTTAATCCATATGTTTTCTACGTTTTTTTTTAAGAGACAGGGTCTTGCTCCACTGCCCAGCCTGCAGCACAGTAGCGTGATCACGGCTCACTGCATCCTCGAACTCCTGGGCTCAAGCAATCTTCCCCCCTCAACCTCCCAAAGTGCTGAAATTACAGGTGTGAGCCAACACACCTGGTCCCAATTTCTAATTATTGTCATATGCAGATTTTTAAAAGCAACATCATTCCTATGTTAATGCTTAAAAACAGTGAAAAGTGTTAAGACAACTCACGTCCATTGACCGTGATGCTGGGGTCTGTTCTGAACAAGATGAACAGTATGCAACATGATTATGATGCAATATGCTCCTAGTTTTTCCCAATGTGGATACAATCTCATTTAAATCAACAATGCCATCAGGAGCAGATTTCAGAAGATCCATACAGACCTGGCAAGGTGGCTCACGCCCGTAAACCCAGCGCTTTGGGAAGCCGAGGTGAGAGGATTGCCTGAGCCCAGGAGATTGAGACCAGCCTGGCCAACACAACAAGATTCCGTTTCAAAAAGAAAGAAGACCCATACACATTTTATTACAAAGAGCAATGCATCAAAAGGAGGCTTATTAACTCCTGGTGGAATAAAGCAGAACACAAAGATTAGTAAAACTTAAATGCTTTGATTTCAACTAAATTTCTCTCTTTATAAACAGGCATCAATGGGGATTTAAAGGAAACAAGCCATATACGACTTGGATTAAATCGGAAAATAATTTTCCCCCATCAATTTTGCTGTGTTCTTTAGATTTTCATTTAGTCATTTACTTTTCCAGCTGCCTTTGGGAACACCTAGAATTCTAGAAGAAATGTGCAAAGTAGCTCAGTTCCTAATGTGACAGAGGGTGGGTGGTTTTCTTTTCTTTCCACCTCCACCGCACCGTGGGTGCTGCGCTTCATGACTGAAATGCTACAGAAATGCTTGGGAACAGCCCCCAGCCTCGACCACACAACCACTTCATGTGTGAGCTTCGCGGTTCTGTGTTGAGACACGTTCTGCTTCAAGACCAGTGGGTTTGCATTCTTGGCACAAAATTTCAGGACAGTATAAGCACTTGATGTTGCCACCTTTGTAGACACCACTGCCAGGTTTTAACCTGGCAAGTTAAAAGACTGTAAGGTTTTAACTTCTCTCACTATAGTTTCAGGCTATAAATAGAGGAGAACTAGGTAGGTGCTATTCCCTCAGCATGTGTGTGCACTGACTACAGTCGCAAAGAAAACGGAAGGTGACCTTGAGGACGAAAGGGCCATAAATCGCGACGGCAAATTATTGTACTAAATAAAGGAGAATGAAGCTGAGGAAAACAGTAGTACATCCAGGTGAGGCTGGTCTGTATTTACAGAAGTCAAATCATGTGACAAAATGTACCATCTAAGAAACAAATATTCCAGTTATCAACTTGGACTTGCAATCATCTTGGACGCAGATCTCAATTTAGTATCACAGAATATGAAAACTAAAAAGGAATTTGGCCAGGCTCGGTGGCTCATGCCTGTAATCCCAGCACTTTGGGAGGCTGAGGCGGGCGGATCACCTGAGGTCAGGAGTTTGAGACCAGCCTGGCCAACATGGTGAAACCCCGCCTCTATTAAAAACACAAAAAATTAGCTGGGTGTGGTGGCTGGCGCCTGTAATCCCAGCTACTCAGGAGGCTGAGACAGGAGAATTGCTTGAACCCAGGAGGCGGAGGCTGCAGTGAGCTGAGATCACGCCACTGCATTCCAGCCTGGGCAGCAGAGTGAAACTCCATCTCAAATAATAATAATAATAATAATAAATAAATAAATAAATAAATAAAAACAAAAAGGAATTTTACAATTATAATTTTATAATTTATATTTGTAAGATGTATCTAACATCATAGCCAGGGACAGAGCTGGGACTGCCACCCCATGGGGCCATGATGGGCAGGAAGCGAATGCTTGGTGTTTATTCTCTCTCAGATCCAAGTCCGCCCTTCTAGTTTCTATTCTGTGATCCTGGGACTGGCTCTCTGCAAACCCATTTCCTGTATTCCCTTGCTAGCTGGTAAGTTCTGACACTAGGAGGCAATGGTAAGAGAGTGGAAAGCGGGAGGAGGAGGAACTTTTCTTCCTTTTTCTAGTTCCCGTCTGTGTCCCTACAGCAATAGAAGATTGTGATGGCTCCAGTTTCCAGATTGTTTTGGCAGCTCAAGTATGTGGCTGTATCCGTCCGGGGTGGCACACCAGCTGTGCCATCCCCCAATCAGAGGATTGGGCCCCAGACATTTGGTGGGTGTCTCCTTCCCCACTGGAAGTCCAAGCACTGTGGTGGCATCTCCTCCGAGGTCTAAGTGCCAGCCGCGTGGGGACCTCTCCTATGAGCCCCTACGTTACGGTATCCCTACTTTTTCCTAGGGGTGGTAGTCACTTCCTGAATTTGTTTTTATTTTTTAAATAACTGCTCCTTGAGGAGCAGGGCTAACTCATAAGCAGTGTACCCAGAGTCGGCCCCTGAATGTATTCATATCTTACCTCAATATCCCCTTTCTGCTTCTTAGCCTTCCAACATCTGAGTAACCCATTTCCTGTCTTCACTCACCTCTGCTGTAATACCTACAACGGTTTTCTTACTGGACCCTGACTGATACAGACCTTGCTATCAAAAGTGCATTTACTGCCCCCTTGGCACACGTATGTCTTACGAAGACATCTGGGGTACTTGCTCCTTCCTGCTCGACAGGTCCAACGTCACAGAACAGTGTGATGTCCTGAGGAGGCTCAAAAGAATCAAGATCCCTGCAGACCAGATTATGGCAAGAACAGAAAAAATCACATGGCCAGGGTATTACGCTGACTTCTTGAGAGCAAGGACTTCTTTCTCACCAAGTTGATTCATTTAGATTTGATATATAAAAATCACATGAATTCATTTTGTTAACAAGAATGTGATCCAAAAATGTCTTTTTCAAGTCAATGCTATTCTTCAGCAGCATCTGTTTAATTGAAAGCAAGTGAAGAAATCTGAATAATCGTGAATTCTCTGCCAGATGGCAATCATCACCCAAATTTGTGTTAGGCACCCATTATACGAGTAGCAAATAAATGCATTCAGAGGGTCACTTTTCATTGAGCGACTAGTGCTTCAACTTTGCCCATCATAAGCAACTGTCAACAGTTCCGAGTGAGCCGAAGGCATTTATGACACTAGTTTGTGAGGCTATCTTGACTGCATTATTCTTTCCCTCACTGACCTGCGGCAGAGACTGCTAGTTGTCCCCAGACATATTAGTTAAGATGGGCTAAGTCATGTTGCAGTAAAAATTAACTTCAAATAAATCTCAGTGCTTTGATACAGTTCATGTTGCATGTAGATTGGCAGAGGCTCCATTCCCATTCAGTCTCTGAGGGATCCACGTCAGTGGAGGCTGCAGTGCCTTGTAGCTACATCTGGAACCTGTGGCTTCCTTGGCTGCCTTGGCAGGGGAGAGCTACTGGAGACTATAATCTTGTCACCACGTGTCACCTCCCGTCATAGCCAACTGGCTAGAACACACCAGATGGCCTCACTAATAGGTTCCATCTTTTGGTTCCCAGAAGGGGAGGGGAACCAGAACTTGATAGACACTTGAGTATCTACCATATCCAGTTCCTATTCTTCCCTTCTTGAATAGCAACAGAATTCTCGGTCGTTAGCTGGGCACGTGGCTGTCCCTCCCTCCTCTAAACACGACATTTCTAAGTCTAAGTGGCTAAACTGTGACCAATGGATGTCAGTTAAAAGTGTGGTCACAACCTGCTGGAAGTGTCCTTAAGGACAGGAATTGTACCCTTCTTCTCCTTCTTCATCCTTCCTGCTGGCTAGCATGTAAATAATACGTACTATTATGGGGTGGGCTCCAGCAGCTCCCTTGGATTTTGAAGTGACCTTGGGAATGGAAGCCAAGCATGAAGAACCAATACCTGGAAGGGGCCTTGGTTCCTGACCTCTTGGAGAACAATACCAACTCGGGACTGTCTCCTTCCTAAATGTGTGAGAGAAATAAACTTCTGTCTTGTTTAAGCCACCGTTGTGTGTTGTGTGCAGCTGAATTTAATCCTTACTAATATGGAGCCCCAGTGTAAAGTCTGTTCCGGATTCTTTTCTCAATAAGTAATATCCCTCTTCCCCTTCCATGGTCGGAATCAACTGATAGACATAAAAAGATAGAGGTAAAAATCTCCCTGCTATTACTAATAAAGCTGATGGGGATGTGGCTTTAGATTGGTGAGCAAAAGGGCTAGTTAGCACTTCCTCTTGAAATGGACAGATTATCTGCCTCTGTTACTGACCTAACTTAGGTCTCTTGGCCTCAGCACCATTGGCACGCTGGACCAGGTGACCGTCGCTGGGTTTATCCTGTACACTAGGTTTAGCAGCATCCCGTCCTCCACTCCTAGATGCCAACAGCACTCCAGTCATGATAATCAAAACTGTCTCCAGACATTGCCCAGTGTCCTCTGGGGAACAAAATGTCCCCAGCTGAGAACAACTGGCATAACTGAACAATTGCAGGAGCCCCCCTCAGGTCAATCTAGATGCGTATCTCCACAGGCAGGAAATTCCCGAACAGAGGAAAGCCAAAGTCACCAAGCCTTTCATGTCCAGTTCCCTTTTCCATACTCAGAGAAGCCACCCGCTTTGCTTCTAAAAGAGTGACTGAGGGAGTAGCAGAGGCCAACAGTGTCACTCTAATCCAGGTTCCTCTACACGGAAGCCTAATGCTAGCGTAGTTCTGAAAATGCTCCCTTCTTTTGTCATTAGCCCTGTGTACAGAGATTCATTTTTCCTGACAGCCTAAATTTTCACAAACATTAGCTAGAAATAATGTGAATGGTTGGATACAATTACCTTCATTCGAAATAAAAGAATGGGAACTAGAAAGGCTCAATGAGCAAGAATAAAGACATTGGGTCCAGCACTATATTTTTTTAAGGGTGGCTGGCCACTGCTTTGAGTCCATGTGTTTATCCTGAGAGTCACTGTGGGTGTTTGGAGAAAGGAGGGAGTGTATAGTGTGGGGGTGTGCACACAGGCCCCTCTTCAGCTCTCTCAAGAGGAGAGCTGCCTGTAGTTACAAGCCCTTGGATCCTTGGATAGAATAAGCTCGGGCCTCAGCACCTCCTTAAACTCTAAAACATTAAACACCCCACAAAGCTTTTGTTTATATATGTATTATACTGACTGATATGTAAAGTATTGCACATTAAAACTAGGAAATTATATAAGTATTGCAAATTAAAACTAGGAAATTATATAAGTATTTAATCCATCTAAAAATAAAAATAGTAAACACAATACATGTTAAATATTTTTATGGAAAAAACTATGTTTTCCAAGACAAAAACAATTTAGTGAAGATGACACTATTTTACATTTCACAAATCTCTTAAAGTCTGGCCTAATAGAAGACAGATGGATTTTCCCGTCAGCTTGTGTGAATTCTGCTGTGATACGTTTTGGTTTACATACATAAAGAAAAGCCCAGCCTCATATAAATACGTAGTTGGAAAATGGAAAGTTGTTTTAATAGCCTCTTCAGATCCCAAAGGCCATCCTTCCTTGAAACTACATCAGAACTCGCCAAGTGGTAGCTTCAAGGTGAGTTGCAACCCTCCACCTCTGGGCGCCTTGCCTTCGAGACCTGTGGTCTGGGGCTGCTCCTCCGGCTGCGGTGACGGCCACCTTGCCTGACCCATGCCTTGGCTTTGGAGACTCGCATCTCCCAGGCCATACTGTCACTCTTCATCACTTCTCCCACTGCTTCTCCTTTATACTGTGTCCCCCTTTCTTCTCTCCCTGTCCTGTCATCCTGGCTCTTTCCTCCTTTTGTTTTTTGCTCCTTTCTTTACCTTCTCTCAGCAGATCTTCCCTTGCTTCTCTGGGCCCTCGCCTCCTGTCCTCTGAAGGCCAGGCTGAAAGCCCCAAACATCATCCCTTTCCCACCTGACTGGAGTGACAATAGGGCCTAAGGCCAACAAGGCACCAGGTCTGTCTTTAGCAGTCAGAGAAACTACAAAAGCAAAACATAAAGCCAGGAGAAGGCACTGCCTTAATCTGCAGCTAACGCCTGGCAAGGCCGGGGTGCACCGCTTGGAGGGTGGGGTAAGCCAATCCTAATAGAATCAAAAAGCCAACTTCGAAACACTGTAATACAATGGGTTGCTTTTAATGACCCAGGTGGTTTTATTCTGATTTTCATTTTTAATTATGTTAATCGAGTGGCCCATTTCTGAGATATGAAGAAACAGTTTCATGTATGAAAGTGAAACGCTGGTTCTGTCTTAAGCCCCTCAAGCCCTCAGCAGCACCATCATTCACTTGCTAACCTTGGGCATTCACTTGACTCCGCCAATACATGCATCCCTGGGGCCAAAACCATCAAAAGGGAGGCACAAAAGGAGTCATAGCTGTCTCAAGTACAGGGGGGCTCATCTTTTGCTGAGGCAAAGGACAATTAGTTAGATGTGCTTTAACTTTTAGCAAAATGCAAATTTGGCAATCTTTTTTTCATTACAAATTCCGTTAGTTACTGAAGTCATCGTTTTTTTTTTATTTTTTATTTATTTATTTATTTTTTTAACTTTAGATGGAGTCTCGCTCTGTTGCCAGGCTGGAACGCAGTGGTGCAATCTCGGCTCACTGCAACCTCTACCTCCCAGGTTCAGGTGATTCTTCTGCCTCAGCCTCCTGAGTAGCTGGGACGACTGGTGCGTGCCACCAGGTCCGGCTAATTTTTGTATTTTTAGTACAGATGGGTTTCACCATGTTGGCTAGGATGGTCTTGATCTCTTGACCTTGTGACCTGCCTGCCTCAGCCTCCCAAAGTGCTGGGATTACAGGCGTGAGCCACCACGCTCGGCCTGAAGTCATCTTTTAAAAAAAATTCTCAGGGCCAGGTGTGGTGGCTCATGTCTGTAATCCCAGCACTTTGGGAGGCAGAGGCAGGCAGATCACTTGAGGTCAGGAGTTCGAGACCAGCCTGGCCAACGTGGTGAAATCCCACCTCTACTAAAAAAACACAAAAATTAGCCAGCTGTGGTGGCCCATGCCTGAAATCCCAGCTACTCTGGAGTCTGAGGCACGAGAATCACTTGAACCTGGGAGGCAGAGGTTGCAGTGAGCTGAGATCATACCACTGCACTCCAGCCTGTGTGACAGAGTGAGACTCCGTTACAAAAAAAAAAAAAAATTTCTTGGGAGTTGGGTCGAATGATGTAGTCAGGTCAGGTCACTTACCAACCAGCAACAACTTACTGAACATTGTATTAGTCCATTCTCATGCTGCTAATAAAGACATACCCAAGACTGGGTAATTTATAAAGGAAAGAGGTTTAATTGACTCACAGTTCAGCATGGCTGAGGCCTCAGGAAACTTACAATCATGGTGGAAGGGGAAGCAAACATGTCCTTCTTCACATAGTGGCAGGAGAGAGAAGAATGAGAGCCGATCCAAGGGGGAAGCCCCTTACAAAAGCATCGGATCTTGTGAGAACTTACTATCACGAGAACAGGATGGAGGAAACAGCCCCCATGATTCAATTTTCTCCATCTGGTCCCTCCCACAACATGTGGGGATTATGGGAACTATAATTCAAGATGAGATTGGGGTGAGAACACAGCCAAACCATATCATTCTGTCCCTGGCCCCTCCCAAATCTCATGTCCTCATAATTCCAAACATAACCCTGCCCTTCCAACAGTCACCCAAAGTCTTAGCTCATTCCAGCATTAACTCAAAACTCCAAGTCCAAAGTCTCATCTCAGACAAGGCAAGTCCCTTCCACCTATGGGCCTGTAAAACCAAAAGCAAGTTAGTTACTTCCTAGATACAATGGGGGTACAGGGATTGGGTAAATACACCCATTCCAAATGGGAGAAATTGGCCAAAACAAAGAGGCTACGGGTGCCATGCAAGTCCGAAATCCAATACGGCAGTCATTAAACCTTAAAGTTCCAAAATGATCTCCTTTGACTCCGTGTCTCCCATCCAGGTGATGTTGATGCAAGAGGTGGGCTCCCATGGCCTTGGGCAGCCCCACTCCTGTGGCTTTGCAGGGTATACCCCCACCCCCACCTTGGTTACTTTCACAGGCTGGTGTTGAGTGTCTGGGACTCTTCCGGGTGCACAGTGCAAGCTACCATTCTGGGGTCTGGAGGACGGTGGCCCTGTTCTCACAGCTCCACCAGGCAGTGCACCAATCGGGACTCTGTGTGGGGGATCCAACCCCGTATTTCCCTTCCACACTGCCCTAGCAGAGGTTCTCCAGAGAGCGAACTTCTGCCTGGACATCCAGGTGTTTCCATACATCCTCTGAAATCTAGGCAGAGGTTCCCAGACCTTAATTCTTGACTTCTGTGCACCCATAGGCCCAACACCATGTGTAAGCCAAGGCTTGGGGCTTGCACCCTCTGAAGCAACAGCCTGAGCTTTATGTTGGTCCCTTTTAGCCAAGGCTGGAGCTGAAGAAGCTAGGATGCAGGGCACCATGTCCCAATGCAGCATAGAGCGGGGGGTGGGGGGGGGGCCCTTATAGGCCCCCAGGCTTGTGATAGGAGGGGCTGCTGGAAGGTCTCTGACATGCCCTGGAGACATCTTCCCCATTCTCTTGGTGATTAACATTTGACGTTACTTATGCAAATTTCTGCAGCCAGCTTAAATTTCTCCCCAGAAAATGGAGTTTTCTTTTCTATCCCATCATCAGGCTGCAAAATTTTCCAAACTTTTATGCTCTGCTTCCTCTCGAACACTTTGCTGCTTAGAAATTTCTTCTGCCAGATACCCTAACTCATCTCTCTCAAAGTTCCATGCATCTCTACGGCAGAGGCAAAATGCTACCAGTCTCTTTCCATAGCAAGAGTGACCTTTACTCCCGCTTCCAATAGGTTCTTCATCTCCATCTTGACCACTTCAGCCTGGACTTCACTGTCCATATCACTATCAGCAATTTGTCAAAGCTATTCAACAAGTCTCTAGGAAGTTCTAAATGTTTCCCACATTTTCCTGTCTTCTTCTGAACCCTCCAAACTGTTCCAACCTCTGCCTGTTACTCAGTTCCAAAGTTGCTTCCACATTTTTGGGTATCTTTACAGCAGCACCCCACTCTCTGTGGTACCAATTTACTGTATTAGTCCATTCTCAAACTGCTAACAAAGACATACCCAAGGCTGGGTAATTTATAATGGAAACAGATTTAATTGACTCATAGTTCAGCATGGCTGGCTCAGGAAACTTACAATCATGGTGGAAGAGGAAGCAAATACGTCTTTCTTCATATGGTGGCAGGAGGGAGAATGAGAGCCGAGCGAAGGGAAAAGCCCTCTATTAAACCATTAGATCTCGTGAGAACTTACTATCACGAGAACAGGATGTAGGGAAACAGCTCCCATGATTCAGTTATCTCCACCTGGTCCCTCCCACGACACATGGGGATTATGGGAACTGCAATTCAAAATGAGATTTGGGTGGGGACACAGCCAAACCCTATCATACACTACATTAATATGAGAAATACCTATTAAGACATGAGCTTACACTCTGACAACATGGAATGGCAGCTGGGAACGTAGCCGCAGCAACTTATGAGGAAGGAAGATGGCCACCTGCGTGCTGTGTATAAACTGCATGCAGGGTAGGAGTAAAGGGGAGGCATGGGTGAAGCCAGGTCCAGAATAGGGATGCGATTTTGAAACACAGAGAACAGGAAGAGGATAGGATAAGAGCAAAGGCAGGGAGATGGGAAAGTTCACTGTGTGCTTCAGGTAGCGATGAGACCAATTTACTGGGGTGAAGGTCTGCAAGGCAGGTACCAAGGCAGGATTGGTAAGCAAGCCTTGGGCCCTTCTATATCCAGAGTCTGCACTTCGGCCTGAAGGAAACACGGATCGCTCAAGGTTTCTGAAGGAAGAAGCGGTGCGCACAGAGATGGGACAGTGAGGTTGGAAAGGTTAGGGTTAGTGAGGAGGAGGGGCCCAGAAACGAGTTCATGCTTATTTTATCCGTTTTAAGAATCAGAGACCCAACGCCAGAAGATGGAGTGACTCGAGAGATACTTCATTTATAACACACATCTGTAATTTACAAAGGATTTTCGTTTACATGATCTCATTTTACCTTCAGAACAATTTGTAAAGGAGAACATTTGCCACATTCACAAGTTAAGGAACTGCTGCTCAGAAATGATGGTATTACCTTTGGTAAAACCTTTGTTGGTTTTTGGGACACTGCCTTCTCCCTCCCCACCCGCCCCATTATTCCTTCTCAGGAGACTTCTTCTGTATTTCTCCTTAAATATAGATGCCCTTAGGCCTGCTGTACTCTTTAGATGACCTCTCCTACTCTTGTGGCTTAAACTATCGCATCTAAACTGACATCTGCCTGACGTACTACACAGCTCAGACTTTTCCGCTGAGCACCTGACCTACATACACACAACAACCTGCTCAACTCTTGCTTTCATCAAGCATGTCCCAAACCTAAGTTTTACCCTAGGCTTGCTCCTCCTCCTGTATTCCCTATTCTGTCAAACAGTACGACCCACCAGTCCAGTGATGATCAGCAGTGCCCCCTGCAGCTTTTCTTTGGCTAATTTCAAATAATAAAACAGAGGGAGGAAAAGCATTGAGGCTAACCGCTGGGGGAGGAGCACACTTCATCCCCAGGTGCACAGAAACACACCGGCAGGACTGCTGCAGGAAGGGCTGGTGCTCAGCAGAGGGACAGGACTGGCAAAAGCCACCAGAGCTCAGAGGTATGTGAATCCTAAACACTCAGCATTATTTTTTAATACTTTGATTTTGGATTCCGATTTTAAATCTTTTTAAACACAGTCTGAATTTGAAGTCGCTTCAAATATTTCTTTAAAAGCAATATTCAAACGATACAGGAATCTTGTACGATAGACAAACCAAATATTATTATTCTGATCTTACAATTCACTCACTCCACTCACTTATTTGTTCAGACATTTATTGAGCACTTCTTAAGGGCCAGGCATGGTGTGAGGCACTGGGATGTAACAGTGATTATGACAAAGTCCCTCAAGGAGCTCACAGTCTAATGGTAAACTACAGAGTAAACTGAGGCACAGAGTGGTAAATGACTTACCCAATGAGGTAGAAACAGCTAGGTATGTGAAAATGTGGGAGCAGAGCTGGAGAGAGGGCAAGGTACAACTTGTCCTAAGTAAAACCCCTTGGACTGACTCAACAGCAAGGCTGCATACACAAACATTACAAAATCTACTTGCAAAAACCTGAAAGGAGTTTCCAATTATCACCATGACTGAATTCATGTTTCACAATGAATTCAGCTATTTCCTGATGGCATTTCTATCCTTGCCCCCAAAGCCACTGGGCATGCCACCAGTCTGCTGGGAGACAGCAATTAGGTAGACAGCTTAAAACCAAGAAGTATCTGACTCCAATTTTAGCACTGAAAACCATATTAAAATACTTTAATTAAATCCACAAACATAAATGTGTAGCACATTTATGATACTTCTACATGTAGAAGTTTGGAAAAAGTCTCTTCTAACCCTCATCCAGAGGATTCTAATAAGTTATAGGTACCAAAGAGATTAGAGAATTTGTCTGTCACTTTCCATATATACATTATTTTGGCTGTACAAGGGTGAAAAGTGTCACTCAGACATATTTCGTAAGTAATCTCAACATTATACAGATATATACAAAGACATCACATTTAAATTCGTGTGTACATCTATGCAATGTACAACAGTAACTGCAAACATGAACCAGTGTAAGGCAATTTCTTTTGTGATATATGACATACTCCTTGAAGGGAAGGGTAGAGTCCACAAAGAACTGTCCATTTCAGCCTGACTGTCTGTCTTCATGACACTCTGTGATGAAGCTACTTCAGGAGGCAAGATGTCTATTTCACTGACAAAAAGCAGTGAATAATTATAAAAGGAGTTGTTTTCAAATGTGGAAACCACAATTACTCAGTAATCTAAGTGGTGAACTCCTCAAAGACACTACTGGCCATGATGCCGCTACTGAGAACGAGAGCACTTCATGGATAATTTATTGCTCTGAGAATCAAATTTGATGCGTAATTCTCCACGAAGATATTCCCAAAAAACTCAGTGATACATAAATTCTCAAATGCCATCAGTTGCTTACTTCAAGCAATTCTTCACTTTGCTGAGGATTTTCTTCTGGAAAAGAACACGAGAGAGAAATACACCTAAGTGAATACACCTAAGTGAAGGTCTGATAGGCAAATACGTAAAAGAATACACAATCTGACTACTTCAGAAAACCCTGAAGATGCCTGGTCAAGAACACGTATTCTCAGGTTAATGGCATAAGGCTAATTTTTTCAGCCTCTCAAGAATAAACTGGAACTCTAACTTGTACCTGAAAGCACCCGTCCGAGAATGGAGGAAACCTTCCCTTATTAGGGCTTTATTAGTTTCTTTTGGAGCCGTCACGACTCCCCCAGTCTTCGTAATCCTTGTGTCTTTGTGCTGTTGTCTGCATGTGGGCAACAGCCCCCTCTTCTGGTCATTACAGGTATTCTTCGTCAGTGAAAGCTTCCTATCGGTCCAGCCTGTGGCTCTGCAAGGGCCACCTGAAGACCACCCTGGCCCGCAGTGCTTGTCAAGTTCTCCAGTTGGCTGGGTCTTTGTTCGGATGTCGGTGGAGCTGTTGGCTGGGTACTGTGATGGCTTCTGCCCAGGCCGGTCACAGGATGCTGGTCCCCTGCTCAGGCAATTCCACTATTTGGGATCTGCTGTTGGACAGCACTGCAAGCTGGGTTCCGAGGTTAGATGGAGTCACTGCTCTGGCCAGATGGGTCCAGAGGCGACGTCCTTAGAAATGTGCAACTGAGGACTGACTCTTGTGGAGTGGGCTGTTGGCTGAGTTGAGTGGGTATTTGACTGCCTGGGTCAAGCAGGTCTAGCCCCTTCCCTTCTCCAAGATGTGCAGAAGGGGAAGTCTCCCGGCCAGGTCATGGGCAGGCTCTTTGGCCGAGTGGAGCTGCTGTTTGACTGAAAGCCTGCCCTATTCAGAGACCATCGCAAGTTGGTATCACCATGGGACCAAACAGAATTCTAAGTTTTCACTGCTACCAAAACTACAGAAATTTAACTATAATGTTCACAGAAATATTCTAAACTACAGTAAGAGTTATGCTGTAATTTTTTACTCATGTTTTTGTGGCTAGGAAGAGTAAAAATATCTTAAGGCCATAATACACATTAATAAAATTATGCATGCTTAATTAAAATACTGTCAGAATCACTGGTATATTTACCTTCCTCAGGGCCTTCTGGATGAGTGCTCTCAGATGAAGAGGTCCCGACACCTTCAGACCTTTTGTTACTGGTCTGACCCTGCTCCACTTCACACAAATAGACATCGATAGGTCCGTTGGTGCTCCTTATGTGCACTGTGATAGAGTCCTAGCAAAGGACACAGGAATCGTCAAGATGAATGAAATAATAAATCATATTTTTTCACTCACTAGAACTGCAAAAATTTCGAGACATTTGAGAAAATCACCTTAGCTGTAGTCACATTACAGCACTGGCCAATTCCCATGCTGAAGACAGCTACATGTGATCCTGCAGTAATGGCTTCAGAGCTATCATGTGAAAACCTCAGTACTCAAGAGCCTGTCTTTTTCTACTCAGGAGCTGACCCTTCAAGGAGGCCGTATTTCAGTCAAAAATCAGTGTTTTGATGACACAGAACTCCAGAATACCCTAGAGTCTCACAGGATAAATATGTGCTTGGATTTCCAGACCAATGAACAGGTCTTGAGATAATGGAAGGGCCATTCTTTTGTCCAGTTGAAAGAACAGGAAAAGATCAAAATATATCTCAAGTAAAATGTCAAAAAAATCGTTTACATTATTTATAAAGGACTAATTAACTCATTATGATATTCACATCCTTTGATTTCAGATTTCCTCAGGATTAATCAAAATACTTTTTTTCCGTAAGGTATCAGGCAACTTCAGTGCTTCTACTGGGAATTATGCTAAATTCTTAAGGAACAGCCCCAGTTATAAATGATTGCTTTAATTGGGAGCTGCTTCAACTATAACAAAGTCTGTTTTCTCCCCTTTAATGCAGTTAGGCCTGGGCTAGACACACATACACCACTGCTCCCTCCCACTCCACACCTCATTGTGATCTTATACCAGGGTGAGTCTGTGGAGATGCAGCCTCTCAGACGGTCTCAGAGCCTCACCTGCCCTTGCTATGACTTCCTGGTACTACAAGTGGGCTAGAGAACATCTGTGCTCAGCTTCTAGAGTGCCAGGTCACAACTGGTTTGAATGATAAATCCTGTACAATTTAATAGATATTTCTTAACAATAACATTCCACTAAATTAAGTGTTGTCAAACTTCCATAAAGGCTGAGATGGTAAATATTTTTGGCTTTGCAAGTCACACTATCCCTGTCACAACCTTTTAACTCTGCCACTATAGTATGAAAGCAGTCAGAAACAATATGTAAACAAATGTGCATGTGGCTGTGTCCTAATCAAATTATTTCTAAGAAAAAGGAGCAGGCCGGATCTGACCTGAGGGCCAGTTTGCCACCCATCACACTAGGTCCCCAGATCTTCACGGTCAGGCTCTGGCCAAGAGGGCCCATGTGCAGAGACTTTAAATAGGACTCTAAGAGAAGCCTCAGGTATGATCAAAGGCTCAGCCAGATTTAGCAATTACAGTCTGAAGCAGCTCACAGCATAGGGAAAAGCCAAAAATCCATTAGTCTCTGCAGAATGAATTATTATGCCCCAAAGTAAAGATGTGTTGATTGGCAGTTTCTTAAAAATAAAACAACTAGGAAACATCACCAAGAAATCATAACTTGAGTGTGACTGAGGTAAATGAAAGCCAGCCCTTACCCCATACACTGTGGAGTAATACAGGGCTCACTTGAACAGTGGTCTGCTGGGGACAAAAGGAAAAACAGGTCAAGAAAATATTCTTCGCTAGGCAGGAGGCAAACCCCCAGGGCAATGCAGAGGGCTGCACTGTGAGCACCGATGGGTCTATCAAGGCTGTCAGTCTTGAGGATGTGTCCCAAGAATGGCCACATTCCTTGGTTCTGATTCTGTCCTCATCAAGCAGCCTTCTGATGCAATTATCTTTCAATGCAAATTTTTCTGCAAGGGAAAGAACGCACTGAGCAGCTGGCGGCTGACAAAAATAATGTTCATTTACACAGAAATCCTACTTTTCCATTTTAAATTCAGAACCTAGCGTCCTGGTTTATTCATCAGTCTTTCAAGAGTTTGTTAATTCCCCAGTGCCTTGGCTGACACCAGACCTTACTTTTGCAACTTTAAGATGGGCCAATTCTTGGTGATTCTTCTAAGAAGCACTGCAGTACAATAGTGAAAAGCAAACTATGAAGCCACACTAACTGGGTTTGAATTCTGGTGATCCTGAAAAAGTTAACTCATCTTTGTGAGCTTTTGGTTCCTCATCTTTAAGATAATAATGACTACTTGACTTGTGTTAGTTGAAGCAAGTTAAATGTGTGAAGTGCCTTGAGCAGTATCGGATGTACAGTGCACGTGCACACAACGGCTCTTAAGTATGACTGCAATAAATCACAGCCTAAGCAGTCGGCCCTCATCCCTCTTTAAATCTTTTTAAAAATGCAGGGTTACCTACTTCTCTGGGAGCTGGAACATCCAATCTGGTTTCTGCTGGAGCTTTAACTGCAATGACGATCTGTTCATGGAAGGCCTGAATGCTATGAATGTCTTGATAGGTCACATATGCTAGTGTAAAACTCAGTCAAGGATCTCTACACAGAATGCTGTTTACTGGGGAGGTAATTTATCTCTAGTAATTCAGTTAACGCAAGGGTAATGTTAGAATGTTTTTAGTTTTTATGAGATACAAGTTCACCATTAAGGAAAGCAGTAAAAAAAAAAAAAATTCATTGATAATCTTTATTATTCACATAAAATTAAGATTTTTATGAAGGGTTTTACAATATTTACAACACAACCTAAAGAGTTTCTTTAAGCTCTACTATTATGATTATGATGGCAATTTCTGGAGAAAAATATTAATAAAGTCTGAGTCCCTAACACAAATACACCACATAAAGAAATTCAAATTTTCACCCTATTCCCTTTTCAGGTATAGTAAGCTAGATCTTACTATAACTTTGAGAAAAAACACTCAGGGCTTTGACAAGAATCCCCTAAAATGAAAGATGGAAAAAAATCTATAAAAAGGCATAAACGACTTAGAGATTAAGTTTCTCAAGACTATCATGTATGATGTTACTTCATCCAAAATTATTTTCCATCTCACTACCTGAGTCTTTTTCGTCTTGTCTCACTGTGTTGCCTCAAATTTTACCAATTAAGTGATTTACTGGATTTCTCTAGCATTTTTTTTTTCTGATTGGCTGCAGTAATGTTGGTGCTTATTTTTTCTTTTCCTTCCAGTACCTGTACTGTGGGAATAGAGGTTTTTGACTGCTGGAGAGAGTTTTAAGTAAATATGAGGTATGGGATAGCTCAGAATCAGTGAGCCCCTCAAAGGGTGCCACAGGGAACAGCACAGCATATAGGTTTAAGACACCCAGGAGGTCAGTACCAAAGACAAGGCTCCCCCAGCCCCACCCCCCAGCTCCCTGAGACACTGAGTTTCAAAGCAAAACTGCTACTAAGCAACAACGCGCTTCTGTGGACACAAATGGCAGTTTAAGCACCACTTCAATGGCAATTCACTGTTTCAGAAATCAACTTCCATTCACAAATTTCTAGGAAAAACATGAACTTCACAAAAGCCAACAAATATTTTATTATCCTTATAGTATTCAGACTATAAAAATGAATACTCACCATTTTAAGTGGTACCATCAACCTTGGTTTGGTACTGTACCCCTGAGGTCATCATCCAGAATTTAATCTAAGAAATGCCACACAGAAGTTAAAAAACCTACTGTTTGTGTATGTTTGAGGTTATACTACTACCAACTTTTACCTAACTTTTTTTTTTTTTTTTTTTGAGACGGAGTTTCGCTCCTGTTGCCCAGACTGGAGTGCAATGGCGCCATCTCCGCTCACAGCAACCTCGGCCTCCCAGATTCAAGCGATTCTCCTGCCTCAGCCTCCCAAGGAGCTGGGATTACAGCCATGTGTGCCACCACGCCTGGCTAATTTTGTATTTAACTTTCAATGGTCTAATTTTATATCTTAAATATATAAATTAAGTCCCCAAGCTGACTCTACTACTTAAGTAATCTGTTTTGGAAGCAGAAATTTTAAAAAGGTATAGACTTAAAGGATATCTTTCATTTTCTTTGTCATCTGTTAACTCAAACAGCTGCTGAGCACAATCCTTAATTAACTCATCCAAAGCATCTTCCATTGCTGATAAGTCAGAAAGTTCCTCCTGTAGCTTCTTTTGTTGGGGAACTGCTCCAAAATTGCTAAGATCAGATCCTCTTTAGAAGAAAAAAAATGTCAGCATCAATACCAACTAGGAGATAACAAAGTAATTTCAAGTTAGGTTATTGGAACTTCTCCAAATGTTTGCCATAAGTGTTTTCCACAACAATAGAAACTAGGGACTTTTAACTTCTGCCGTCTTTGTTCTAGACAGCCATTATTCCTTCTGTACATAAATTATTTATAGTTCTTCATCTTATACAGTCTTTTTCAAAAAAATACATTACAACCTAACAGAAATTAATAACAGCAGAGGCAGCCTAAGGAAATAAAAAGGGCACTGAACTAAGAGTCAATAACACCCAGCTTCAGCCTCAGTCCTAGTACTTACAACGCAGCTTCTGATAAGTTATAATCGTACAGTACTTGAGTTCCTACACATGAAAACATAGGGTGGGCTAAATGACAGTGCCTCTGCTAACATGTGAGGAGTCTGTATCTTTCCCTAGTGTACACATTCTGTCTGAATATAATGATTATATTCATCATTTAAAAAAAGACATTATTTTCAGGCCAGGCATGGTGGGTCACGCCTGTAATCCCAGCACTTTGGGAGGCTGAGGCAGGTGAATCAACTGAGGTCAGGAGTTATAGACCAGCCTGGCCAACATGGTGAAACCCCGTCTCTACTAAAAATACAAAAATTAGCCGGGCGTGGTGGTGTATGCCTGTAATCCCAGCTACTGGGGAGGCTGAGGCAGGAGAATCACTTGAACCCAGGAGGTGGAGGTTGCAGTGAGCCGAGATTGTGCCACTATACTCCAGCCTGGGTGACAGAGCAAGACCCCGTCTCAAAAGAAAAAAAAAAAAAAGACATATTTTCTTTAGTTATTAGTGCCTACTCCAATATGATATGACCAGGCAACAACTGATTTTCATTTTTTTCTTTCAATCTTAATGGAAAATAAATAGGGAAAGGTCCTTGCCTTTATCTTTTACTTGGTAGTTTTCAAATCTGATTCTAATTAGTGATTCACAATGCATGCCGATATAAACTCCTAAAGTGTTTTTTAGTGTTATTTAGTAAACATGCTCAAATTAGAATTCAACCTGTACTTCTGTACTATTGAAAAAATTACCTCCTTTATGAATCCCTTTCCTCTAATAACTAAGTTAATTATTTAGGGTCATTTTATGGTCTTTGCTGGTAGGTTTTCATTTGCCTGAGAGGTCACTATGTACTTATTTGCTGTAACTATTTCTCCCTGTCCCCAAATACTTGCCTATTCTAGGTACAACAGCATTCTCATGTGTGCACACACAGATACCTTTATCTATGTCAATGTCTTAAGCTTCCCTTTCCATTGGATTTCTCCTCATCATGTCAAGTCTTTAGCAACTGTCTTTTAGACACTGTCTGATTTTTTTTTTTTTTAATATTCAGGGCAGTATTTTAAACACCTCGCTACGTCATAATCTCCTGGGCTACCTGTTGAGAATGTACTTTCCTGCTTTCCCTCAGACCTACCGAATTACAACTCCAGAGGCAGTAAGCCTCTAGGTGTTTACTACACTTCTGTGTGAAAACCACTGTTTTACAACCTTAACAAATTTTCCCAATATCAATAATCAATTGGAACTGAGGAAATACTTTTTAAAAAATTTATGTACTCTCTAGGATGATGCAAGAAAATTTTATAGAATTCTCTTCTAACAAGAAGTCGTACCTTTGTATTATATTGTCAAAACACTGCCACTATCTAGTTTAAGCATGGAATTGTCACTTGATGAGAAGGAACAAAAGCCACGAAAAAGTTTGAAAGCAACTCACATCCATCTAATATGGTTCTTGGATTTCTTTTCAACGAGGTCGATTCCATCTAAGACATTGGTGATGTCATACACTCTCCGCTTTCGGACTCCCAGTTTCGTTGCAACCTTGTTTAAGTCAAGAATACCCCCGGGAGCAGATCTGACAAGATCCATAAATTTTCGAGTTAAATAAACCAGCGATACATCAAAACGAGGTCTCTTCACTTTTAGAGCTTCTGGGAAACAAAATAAACATATTTGTAAAATTTTAAATAACATTTCTCAACTCATTTTTAAAAATCATCTGTTTCCTCTTGATCAGATAGCAGACATCTACAGAAATGCCTACACATTGACCAAATCAAAGCTGGTTTCTATGAAATAAATCTCTTAAATTGGAGAAAAAATTCACTGGCCTATCCTGGCTCTAAACAAAGGCTTTAGATTTAAACAAAGGAGGATTTGAAATATGCAACCAGTGTCCACCGAACATGTGGACTTTCACAAGTCTACTGTATCTTCTCGGACAAAGCAGTGAGATTAATTTGCATCCATACCACTCTCAGGAATAGAATTACACATGATTTTTAAAATTAAATTTCTCATTTGGTCTTCAAGTTAAGGAATTCTTTACAAAGCAAAGGCAGAGAATTGGCGGCTTTTTTTCCCCTTTTAATGACTCTATCCATGTCATAGTGTAAGTTGTCTGATGAATTTTTTTGAAAGAGCCCAAACTAGTCTTCTATTAAGACAATTATGACATACCTCGAGCAACAGTGGTATCTCTCTCTTTTTTTTTTTTTTTTGAGAGAGTCTCGCTCTGTTGCCCAGGCTGGAGCTGGAGTGCAGTGGCGCGATCCTGGCTCACTGCAACCTCCGCCTCCAGGGTTCAAGTAATTCTCCTCCGGAGTAGCTGGGATTACAGGCATGCACCAGCACGCCTGGCTAATTGTTTTGCATTTTTAGTAGAGACGGGGTTTCACCATATTGGCCAGGCTGGTCTTGAATTCATTCCTGACCCTGTGATCCACCTGCCTCAGCCTCCCGAAGTACTGGGATTACAGGCATTAAGAGCCACCGCGGCTGGCCCAGTATCTCTATTTTTAAAAATATTCACTACCCTATATTAATTTAACAGATAGACAAAAAAAAAATCCCTTAATTCCCTCACTCACCTACTATAATGACTGGGGTTTTCATACACACACACACCTCTAACACATTCACACTTGTGTGCCAATCATATATATAGTTTTTAAAAACAAAAATAGGACCATGCAATTTTGCAACACGTTCTTTTAACTCCATATTGTGAACATCCTGACATGTCAACAAATGTATTTCAACATTATTCTTAATGGCTGCATGCTTAACTGTATGCAGTATTTGCTATTTATCCCAATATTAGAAATTAGACCATCTCCAACTTTACGATTTTGCTTCATATTTCAATGAACCTTTTTGTTGCGAAACTACTGTATGTCCCCTTAACTGGACATTTTTAAGGAATGTTGATATGTGCCGCTAAACTGCTCTGCAGGTTGTGGGTTCTATCCATTCTATGCAGTATACACGGGCCTCATCTCACATGCTCGCCAGAACTAAGTATCTTGTCATCTTTTCCAATTTGATACTAAGAAAAAGTTCTTATGGCTTGGTTTGCAGAAAAAATAATTTCTAAAATAACTTTGTCACTCTGGTGTGGAATATATGACTTTCTTTTTCTCTACTTCCACAGCACACCACAGTCAGTATGCCTCAAAGAAATGTCCATCCTACCTTCAGTCAGAAATGTCCTTACTCAGAACCTCCACAATGTCACATTTAGTTTAAAGACCACTGGCGGTTACTTCAGGAACAAAGGTACATATTTCATAATATAAATGTCTTCTCTCTGGAGCCCATTCCTACACTTAAGATTAAATAGGCGTAAATTAGGAATTTAAAAGGATTTTTAATCGGAAGTAGAGGGTCACAATTCTACAACAAACTCAGGAAGATTACAAATGAGAAATTCTAACTTTAAAAAGCATATATTTAATTATACTAATTATTAACAAGGCATGGTCTTATATGCTCAGGATAAGCATATTTCTATGTTATTTTATAAAGAACATGTACAACGGAACACCAAAAATGTGACAGTTGCTGAGGGGATATGAATAGGATTACAGAGGTCTTCACACCAAAGCAACTCCGTAGTCTAATAAGGAACTCTATTATATGTCCTGAGGTAAGTGCTAAGAGAGGTATTCAAAGTCACCCGATGGCAAGAAATCAAACCTTCACTGGAGGGGGAAACTGGGAAGGCCTCTTGATGGGAGTACACTGGGCATAGGGAACAGGAAGGCGAATGGGCGGTGTTTGCCCACTGTGACAGAGGGTGAGGGGCTGAAGTGAGGGAGAGGAAACCACACCTCAGAAGACAAAGCAGACTTAGAGAACCTGGGGTGCTTTGGGGATCACAGGTGGTGTAGCTTGTGCTGTGGAGGAGGGCGGCAGCATGCTGGAAGAAGAGGCTGCGGCATTAAGCAAGAAACAGCCTACAAGGGCCTGGTCTGCTCTGTCTACCCATTCTCTACTGCCTTGTTTCTTTTAATATGAAGTGGCTTATGAATTTAATGCAAACACTTAAAATCAAATATACAAGGAATCAGGGTTTTCTCTACATGTAAAAGAGCGTCACTGAAGAACTTAGGTTGAATGATATCATAATCCAATTTCTGTATTAGACAAATCCCCCTGGATTTTTCCAGCATCCAGGTTGGAAAGCCTGGAAGCTGACTGCCTTCTAAGAAGGAGACCCAGCAACTTCAGCTACAGAGGAAGTTAGACCCTGAACGAGAAGAAGCAATTCAACGTTGTGGTAAAGACTCTGGGCTCTTGCGTCAGAGAGGTAAGAGATTCAACCCTGACTCTGAGCAACTCACCTCAGCCTCTCTGGGCCTTTATAAAGTAAGAATTCTAATCCATACCTATATTTTGAAAGGTCATTGTGACAATCCATGCAGAGAGCTTAATGCAGTGCCAGGCACTGTATGAGCTCAATAAATGTTAGATATTATTATAAATTGGTGGTATGGGACAGATGCAAGAAACACATCAAAGGTGAAGCTGACCAAACTCAGTGACCAACTATGGGTGAGACTGGGGCAGGCACTGAGGCAAAACTAAGGGTGAGTATTTCTAAGATTCACACTGACTTATCGATGCACTATGTATCCACTGAGATTAGGAAGCTGAGGTGGGGCGGTCTATCATGGAAACTTCCAGAAGAGGGAACTAGAGCCATTTACATCCTATCGCCTCTAACAGATACCCTAAACATTAACCTAAGATAAGGGACAAGAAGGAAAGAGTACATTTCTCTCCCAGGAGGAATTCTGAGAAAATAGCCTTAAATACAGACTGTTCTATGGAGAATAAACTGGCATTTGTGCACATGATTCAACCCATAACCTCAGGAGTTGTTACTAAAACTTGCAACTTTACATTTCAGTGTACACATAACAAATTGTATTTCAGTTTCTCATCAACTCATACACTTAAACAAATCATTTTAATCATAAGAAGTTCAAACTAACAAAACCTAAAACCTATTCAGGAATCAACTTACTTCTCATGGACACATATTGTACATTATCTTCTAAATTAATCCTTATTTTTGATGGCTGAAAAAAAAGATAAAAAATTTAACTTAGTGATTTTAAAACAACAATGCAAACAAATAGCATTTTACTCAATAGTATAAAGGTCTGGGAATATGAATATGATAATTACTGGCTGGGCAGAGGCTCACGCCTGTAATCCCAGCACTTTGGGAGGCCGAGGCAGGTGCATCACTGAGGTGAGGAGTTCGAGACCAGCCTGGCCAACATGGTGAAACCCCATCTCGACTAAAAATACAAAAATTAGCCGGGCGTGGTGGCAGGCACCTGTAGTCCCAGCTACTTGGGAGGCTGTGGCAAGAGAATCGCTTGAATCTAGGAGGTGGAGGTTGCAGTGAGCCAAGATCATGCCACTGCACTCCAGCCTGGGCAACACAGCAAGACTCCGTCTCAAAAAACAAAACAAAACAAAAAAACATGCACACACACACAAAATATACTGAATACATCAGGTACGATCATTACAACACTGTCCCTGACTTGGGAAAGCTTAGTAGAGATAGAAGATCTATCTCAACCAACACATGCTCACTCCTTGCTATTATTAAGTACACGTGGTTCCCCAAAATTTGCTCACAAGCTTTCATAGGCAGCTATGCATTCCCATTATAATTAATGTAAAAACAGCAGCATTTCTAACAATGGAAAACAATGCATGCTGTGGGTAACTAGAAACTTTTGCGTTAGATAAAAAGTTTCTTTTAAATTCCTGAAACAACCAGGAAATTAGTAGAAGCTCCATTATCAATGCTCACCATTTTACCAGCTATTTAGAGGCTCTGAAAGTTTGCATAAAACTGGTAGTAACATTTAGAAACTGTTTTTCTGTAAAAAATAAATAAAATGAAACCAAACCTTAAAATGAAAGCCTATGAACAGAAACTCCTAGTAACATCAATGTTAATGTGCCTCCAGACAGGCTGTCATCAGGTTTAGCTCTTATCTAAGAAAAAACTGGCCATAAAGCAAAACTGGGGCAAGTGAATTCATAGGTACTCTAAGAAGAGAATCAACAGCAGTACTAGGGATACACCCAGACAGGGAACTCACAGAAGGATTCATGGCGAAGGCAGCCCTCAGCTGAGCCTAGCCCAGCAAGCCAGATTTGCCTGAATAAACAACTGTGGGGAGAGAAGAAAAAAGACAGGATTGTGGTACCGGAAATGAACAAAGGTGTGAAGATGTATATGGCATGGCATGTTTCTGGGAACCCACTGAAGTGGCCAGTGTGTAAGTGACTTGACTTTGAAGCTGGGAGGGCATGCTGGCACCACATAAAACTAATGCTAAAGAGTTTGGACTTTATGTCATAACCAGTAGAGAATCACCAAAGGTTTCTGAACCAGACTAGGACATAATTAAGTAAATGGTTTAGAAATATAAGTATGGCAGCAATATGGCAAAAGGACTGGGAAATGAGGAAGCCTGAAGGCAAGGTGAGCAGTTAAGAAGCTCTTTGTTTATACTGGTGTTAACAATATCCTCGGCACAATGATTTCCTTATCATCTATGACAAGATGATAGCATCTATTAACAAATCACCCCAATATGGAATACTCCCATTGAGACAGAATCCCACTGTAAAATTAATTTAGTTGTTAGAATTGAACACGTAGACCTGCTAGGGCATGCAACACTGGAGCTGGGAATGCTGGCCTTGGGGGTAGGGACTAGGTCTGGCCAGCTCTCTCAAACAGTGCTGACAATGGTGACTTGCAAACATGGTATCCAACAGTGAAACTCTGAAGCAGTCCTATCAAAGTCAGACATTAGACAAGTGTGACCAACTGCCATTGCTATTTTTACATTTAACCCCTCTGCTAATAGTATGAGACGGGCCAGCTACGGTAGCAAGATTCTTGAATGGAAAAAAAAAAAATCCATCCTTATCACATTGATTTGAAACACACATAAACAAACATCCTAAATCCTTATATATAAGCTCAGAGGGGCCTTGCTGCAGAGGTTCCCGTTCTTAATTCAGAGTAGCAGGCCCAGGACTTACACACTCTACTTACTGGCTCCCAAAGAGGCTGCCTCGCTAGCTATGCATTCTAGGGTGTCTTCTCTGCTACACACCTCCCTACCCATCTCATCTAGACAGTGGATCACAGGTTGGTACAGAAATAACACCTCAGTTAGGCATAATATGAAAAAAGATGGCTTTGTTTTCCCCACTCTTTGCTATCAATGCAGTTCCATTACATATTGGCTATACTGATGTATGTGGGAAAACAGTCTCCAAGAGCATTCATTTGTTTTTTTTTCCTCTTCAAATACAAAAACACTCTATCTTGGAGGAATCACAACAGTACCATTGCCCCTCAGTGGCAGACATCATATACAGACATATAGATAGAAACATAAGTCCAGGCGCGGTGGCTCATGCCTGTAATCCCAGGACTTTGGGAGGCGGGGTGGGGGGAGGAGATCACAAGGTCAGGAGTTCAAGACCAGCCTGGCCAACATAGTGAAATCCCCGTCTCTACTAAAAATACAAAAAATTAGCTGGGGGTGGTGGTGGGCACCTGTAATAAAAGCTACTTGGGAGGCTGAGGCAGGAGAATCGCTTGAACCCGGGAGGCAGGGGTTGCAGTGAGCTGAGATCGTGCCATTGCACTCCAGCCCAGATGACGGTGCGAGACTCCGTCTCAAAAAAAAAAAAGATGATAAATAGGCAGATTGTTTGCATGCTAGCTGCAAAATGAATGGAGAAGTCAGAGGCTTACAAAATGAAAATCACTCAGGCTGATCTTGTGCCCTGACAGAGTATACAGCTCTCTAGGAACCAGCATCTTCTGGGGCAAGTCAGCATATTTTTTCAAATTCCAAGCTATTTCACCACTGCTCCAAGTCCCCTATTTAAAGACCTATACTTTATTGTGTAGCTTTGAAGAGCTGCTTCAAAGGTGGAAAAAAAAATAAAAGATGAAGTTTAGGGACTAAAATGCTAAGCACTGCCTCCAAGCTGGTTAAACCTTTCTCTATACAGATGTTTCTCTACACCAATTCTGTTTTGGGGAGCAATATTCCTTCAAGAGGTCTTTGGAAAGGTTATTGCATTCTCACCCATTCAAATTTTCCTTATTTTTCAATTATGCAGACCAAGTTCTACCTCCAATCAATGCTATTTTCTCCCTTCTCAGAAGTCCAGATCCTCTGGGACCCTCTTTCCCGTTTGTCCTTGGACAACAACTTCAGATTCTCTGGCCTTTGGACTCTAGGAGTTACACTAGCAGCCTCCCAGGTTCTCATGCTATGGACTTGGACTGAGCCATGCTACCAGCATCCCAAGGTCTCCAGCTTGCAGCCAGCCTATTGTGGGGCTTCTCAGCCTCCAAAATCATGAGCCAATTTCCCTAATAAATTCCCTCTCATATATCTACATGCAATCATGCATCTTCTCAGAATCGTCATTAGGCGATTTTGTTGCGTGAACATCATAGAGTGCTTAAACAAACCTAGATGGTACAGCCCACTACACACCTAGGCTATACAGTATAGCCTATTGCTGCTAGGCCACAAACCTGTAGAGCATGTGACTGACTGAATACTGTAGATAACGGTAACTAACAGAATGGTATTTGTGCATCTAAACATAGAAAAGGTAATGTTTGGTGCTATGACCATTATGATGGCTACAATGTCACCAGGTGATAGAAATTTTTCAGCTCCACTATAATCTTACAGGACCAGAAACCTAATACAGATTTGGTACCAGAAGTGGAGTGAGTCATACTTTGCACCTCACCTTTAGGGGTCTGCTGGGACTTGGGTCTAGTAATAGGTCTAGAAGCAAAGAGGGGTGGCGGGGTGGGTCCTGATGAGAATCAGCACTGTCTTGTCCGGGAACTGTTTCAGAGGAGGCCATTACTATCTCCACAGGCAATGCAGAATTAATCCCCTTAGACAGGGGTGGAAAGGATGATACCACTGTAGGTGGAAATGCTACTGCCCCTCTGGCAAACAAGACTCATCAGAATTTAGGGGCTCAATGTGTCCAGCCTCATCTTCCCACATGATCCCATCCAAACTTGCAGGACCCCACTCTTTCCCAACCAATACCCTCACTTTAACAGTAGATGCTCTGTGAGGCTAAGAGAGTTCAACTTTCTATTTTATTTATTTATTTATTTTTGTGATGGAGTTTCACTCTTGTTGCCCAAGCTGGAGTGCAGTGGCACAATCTCGGCTCACTGCAACCTCCACCTCCTGGGTTCAAGTGATTCTTCTGCCTCAGCCTCCCGAGTAGCTGGGATTACAGGCGCACGTCACCAAGCCTGGCTAATTTTTTGTATTTTTAGTAGAAACGGGGTTTCACCACATTAGCCAGGCTGGTCTCGAAATCCGGACCTCAGGTGATCCACCCGCCTCAGCCTCCCGAAGTGCTGGGATTACAGGCATGAGCCACCATGACTGGCCAAGAGTTCAACTTCCATTGTAATTTGGCCAGTTACATGATGAAGGCTTGTGTTTGATTTTCAGCAATTTCAGCCCCATGGCTACAGGATAGAAGATTCTAACCCAGGGCACACTTAGAAACTTTTAGGTCATTTATGTGGAACTCCAGCCATGAAACTGAATCCCTGAGCTCATCCTTTTCTTTCATCACTTTGTCCAAAGACAATAGGAGCAACCAACCAATGTCATTATAATCCTTGTTTTCCCAAAAATATTTGAAAATATCACATATAGCGTCACTAAATTCTTTGCCTCTTATAAGCAGTGAATTAGAATAAAAAGGCATTTATTTTGCATATCTATAAACAGTTTGTGTCATGGACTTCCAGTGCTCTCTCTACTATTAGAAGTAGAGCTCTTGGCATTTTTAGATTCTAATCAGATTAAAGAATCAATTCCAAAAACCCCAATTAAGGAAACTCATCTTTAATATTCTGTTTCCCAGAACCATTCCTGGTACCAAAATCTGTGTTAGTATTGGTCTGTCTCTCTGGAGAGCCCTGACCAATAGAGTAATAAATTCAATTCTGGATATAGAGTAGTCCACCCTTATCCCTGGGAGCTACATTCCAAGACCCCCAGTGGATGCCTAAAACCGCAAACAGTACCAATCTCTATATATACTATTTTTTCGTATACATACATACATGTGATAACATTTAATTTATAGATCGGGCATAGTAAGAGATTAACAGCTAATAATAAAATACAACAATTATAGCAATAAACTACAATGAAAGTTATGTGAATGTGGTCTCTCTCTCAAAATATCTTATACTGTAGATCTTAGCGACCTCAGAATAAGATTTTTTTTCTTTCCTTACTAAGTCAAGAACTTAGATCTTTTCACTTAAAGGAAGCACTTCATCAATTCTCTTCAGCATACTGGAAGCACTACTGGAAGCATACTGGAAGCACTACTTTTGTGCTTTGGGGCCATTACTGAGAAAATAAGGGCTACTTAACACAAGCACCGTGACAGTTGGTCTGAGAATCAAGAAACAGCTACTAAGCGACTAAGGGCAGGGCGCAGTGACAGCATGGGAACTCTGGACAAAGGAAGATTCAGGTGCTGGGTGGTACTGGACAGCTCAAGATTTCATGACACTACTGAGAATGGCAAGCAGTTTAAAACTAATGAATTATTTCTGGAATTTTCATTTTAATAGTTTGGGGGACCACAGGTTAACTGAAATAAAGAAAAGTGAAACCTCAGATGAGAGGGGACTAATAGGAGTTTGAAACCTAAGTAGGAAGGTCTAGTAGACAGCTGGAAAACCCTGAAGGAGATTTATAGATTTGGGAATTATGACATGGTAACTGAAAATACCAGAACTGTATGTCTAAGATTTCAAGGGATGTATCTGCTGATACTACATGCAAACTAAGTGGTTTTTCCACAGTGAGCTTAGAGTTTTTATCACGTTCTCAAATATTAAGACCACCAATACAGATGGTACCAATATACAGCTGACCCTCAAACAACACAGGTTTGAATTGTGTGGGTCCACTTAGAGACCAATTTTCTTTACCCGCTGCCACCCCTTAGAGAGCAAAACCAGCTCCTCCTCTTACTCTTGTTCATCAGCCCACTTAGTGTGAAGACAAGGATGAAGACCTTTACGATGACCTAATTCCCCCGAAGGAGTAGGATTTTCTCTTATTTATGATTTTCTTAATAACATTTTCTTTTCTTTAGCTACTTTACTATAAGAAAACAGTAACTAATACATATAAATACAAAATATGTGTCAATTAACTGTTTACGGTATCAGTAAGGCTTCCAGCAAACAGTAAAGTTTTGGGGGAATCAAAGTTATATTCAGATTTTGAATTTCATGGGATTTGGTGCCCCAATCCCTGAGTCGTTCAATGATCAAATGTAGATGGTAACAGAAGTCATGGGAGGAGTGAATGAACTCCCCTAAGAAGAATGTGTAGAGACGGTAGAAGAGAACCCTGAATAATACCAACATGTGGCCAGCTGCAGAGGCTCACGCCTGTAATCCCAGCACTTTGGGGAGCTGAGGTGAGAGGACTGCTTGAGCCCAGGAGTTCAAGACCAGCCTGGGCCCCATAGGAAGACTCCCATCTCTAAAAATAAAAATAATTAGCCAGGTGTGGTGGCATGTGCCTGTGGTCTCAGCTACTTGGGAGTTGGAGGCAGAAGGATCACTTGAGCCTGGGAGGTAAGGCTGCAGTGAGCCATGATGTGCCACTGCACTCCAGCCAGGGTGACAGAGTGAGATCCTGCACCGGGGGGGGGGACAAAAACAAAAACAGAAAAACAAATCAACATGAAGGAATGGGAAGAGGATGAGGACAAGGAGAAGCCAGAGAAGCAGATGGAGCATCAAACGTCAAGGAAGCTCAAGGGAGGGTTTCTAACACGAGTGTTGTAGTCAAAACTACAACAGCTGCTGGAATTGACGAGCTTGTCGGTGACCTTGGTTAGAATGGTCTTACAAGTGTGCTTAGGATAGGGGTCCCCAGCAGTGGGTTGGCTGGTAATAAGAGGCCATCAAGTGGAAACAGTGAGTGTAAATAACCTTTTCAAGAAGTTTAGCTGTGAAAGCACTTTGGGAGGCTGAGGCGGGTGGATCACGAGGTCAGGAGATTGAGACCATCCTGGCTTACACGGTGAAACCCCATCTCTACTAAAAATACAAAAAAAAATTAGCCGTGCGTGGTGGCGGGTGCCTGTAGTCCCAGCTACTCAGGAGGCTGAGGCAGGAAAATGGCGTGAACTCGGGAGGCGGAGCTTGCAGTGAACCGAGATCAGGCCACTGCACTCCAGCCTGGGTGACAGAGCAAGACTTCGTCACCAAAAAAAAAAAAAAAAAAAAAAAGTTTAGCTGTGAAGAGGAAGAGAGACAGTAGATGGGAGGGGATATGGAATCAAGGGAGAGATCTTTTAAGATGGGGATGGATTTAGAATGCGGTTTTAGTAGTCAAGAATTTATCATCTGGAGTTAGACATTTGGAGCTTCAACCCAAGTTTCTACACTTATTATCCAGCCACAGGCAAGCCGGCGTTACATGCATCTCCAAGTCTGTTTTGGCAACCGTGAAACAAGAATAATAATCTTTTAGTATTATAAAACACTGCTGTGAGAAATGAGAAATTAAATGAGGCAATAATCACAAACTATTTGGTAGGGGAACCAGGCATAATGACTTGGGAAAATGTTTAATTACTACTAGTTATAGAAAGAAAGCAGCAGAGAAATTGAAAATACGGGGAGAGGTCGGGCTCGGTGGATCACCTGAGGTCGTCAGGAGTTCGAGACCAGCCTGGCCAACACGGCGAAATCCCGTCTCTACTAAAAATACAAAATTAGCTGGGTGTGGTGGCGCATGCCTGTGATCCCAGCTACATGGGAGGCTGAAGCAGGAGAATCTCTTGAACCTGGGAGGTGGGGGTTGCAGTGAGCTGAGATTGCGCCATTGCACTCCAGCCTGGGGAACAAAAGTAAAACTCAATCTCAAAAAAAAAAAAAAAAAAGAAAAAAAAGAAAGAAAAGAAAAAGAAAATGCATTTGTTGAGGGCCCTGATAACCGCGGGGAATACAGCATCTGGTCCTGAACAAGAGAAGAAATCAGCCTTTGCAGGAAAGGGAGCCAAATTTCCTAACCATTTTCTCTGTCAAACAGGTGGGGAGATAATTTGATGAATGGGAGCTGTGGCGTGGGAAATATAAAGCGTGGACAAGGTTTTAAACGGCTGCAGTAGAGCAGAAGGATGGGAGAGGAGGCAGAAAAACAAATGATAGGTTGCAGAGATACAGCTAGAGTCCATAGAAGGAGATAAACATGGACTCTCTAATGCAAAGTTGAGCAATTTTCTCCAACAGTGCTCTGAAGTTCCGATGTAAAAGCCTAGAAGACTGATACCACGTCTGTGAGCAGATGCTGAAAGCAGAAGGCGGGAGAGCGCAGTTCGCAGCACGTGATGGGCAGCGCCTGGCCCAGGGGGAGCAGACGACCCAGACGACGGCCAGCGGGGTTGGCGGCGGCGCGGGGAGGAGGGGGCCGGATTTGGGAGACCACCGCCCGTCCCCGTCCCGTCCCGGAGCTTACCAGCAGGCCCTCCACGTTGATGGGGTCTCGGCACCGACGGCGAACCGTCTCCTCCGTCGGGTCCAGGAGGAGACTGGGTAACTTCCTCGCCGGCCGCTGCTGACTCATGCTGCCCGGCCGGGCGTCCTGCTCCCCTCGCACCCCACGAGCTCTCCCGCCCTCTCGCGCTCAGCTCGAGCACCGCCCCCCACGCGCCGATTTCCAAGGGCCCAGCACCTAAGGGGTCCGCGGCTTCCTCCGAGGCGCCGCCCGGCTAGGCCGTCCCGCCCGCCAGTAAACGCGGCACGGCCTCACGTGCCCGGGAGCTCCCGACGCAGACGGAAAAAGAGGAGGGAGACCCGCGGATCTCAAGTCGCCCGGCCCGCCATCTTCCCGCATGCGCAGTACACCGCCCCCCTCTGCGCATGCCCGCCGCTGCCGGAGCGCTCCCACGCACCGATCCTCTCCCGGCGGCTGCCGCCCGGGAAACCCGGACCGCGGAATCCACGGAGAGGCTGGCAAAGGAAAAGGAAGAGGTGGAGCCGAATTCCAGAGGAAGGGAACAGGGGTGAGAGAAAAGAGGCAACCGGGAAAACCCAGCGGTCGCCTGGAATTCTCGACGGTGATAACTGAAAGTTCTGAGGTGATAACTGAAAGTTCTGAGCCGCAGAGATGTTCATTTATTCCTTTTTTTTATTTTAATTTTTTTTTTGGTCGCCCAGGCTGGAGTGCAGTGGCGTGGTCAGGGCTCACTGCAGCCTTGAATTCCCGGGCTCAAGCGATCCTCCACCTCAGCCTCCCAAGTAGCTGGGACTACATGCGCGCGCCACTGTGCCTGGCTAATTTTTAATTTTAATTTTAGTAGAGACAGGGTCTCAGTATATTGCCCCGGCTGGTCCTGAACTCTGGGGCTCAAGCCGTCCTCCCACCTTGGCCTCTCAAGTGCTGGGATTATAGGCGTGAGCTACCACACCCAGCCTTCATTTATTCGTGAGCTCTGTTAGCGCATCTTACAGGCAGGTCAGTGTTGATGCTTAGTAAATGTGAGCAACCACACCATTGTGGAATCGTTTTACCTCTGCCTGCCCGCCTGCCTGCCTGCCTGCCTTCCTTCCTTCCTTCCTTCCTTCCTTCCTTCCTCCTTCCTGTTTGACGAATGAGTTATCGTTGACCTATAGTGTCAGATATTGGGGTGGGCACAGGCGATACTTATTCGTTTGAATATGCCACGGGTTCAACCTCCAATTTCAGTGGGGACAGATAAGTAAACAGAGCATGTTAATTTAGCTGGAGCCAGAAGGTGTGTTTTCAAGTCCTGGCTGCCTCTACGTATAAACTAGAAGACCTTATTAAGCCAGTTACTTAATCTGTCTGTGCCTCAGTTTCCTTATTTGGAAAATGCAAATAATGACAATACTTACCTGATAAGGTTGTTGTGAGGATTAAATGGATTAATGGATACAGGTTGCTGTGATTAGAACAGAGGCCAGCACATGTTTGAAATAAAAAGGCAACACACCGTGGTATGTACAGAGTTGGAGGGAAACAACTGGTTAGACTGGGGGTTTCTACACAGCCTGAGGTGGGCGAGGTGAGGCAGGGAAAAATCCCCGAAGAAGCTGGTTCCCCACTAGACTGTGAGGTCAGAGGCCTTCTCTAATCTTTTTTTTTTTTTTTCTGTCACCCAGGCTGGAGGGCAGTGTCACGGTCATAATTCACTGTAGCGTCAAACTCCTGGCCTCAAGTGATCTCCCAGCTAAGACTCCCAAGTAGCTGAGAGTACAGGTGCATGCCACCATGCCTGGCTAATTTTTTTTTATGTTTTATTTTATTTTATTTTTTGAACTCCTTACCTTAAGCAATCCTCCTGCCTCAGCCTCCCAAGGTGCTGGAGTTATAGGCGTGAGACACCCATGCCTGGCTTCTAATCTTTGTATCTCTATCATCTAGCAAAGTGTCTGGCAAATAAAACATGCTCTATTAATGTTTGCTAAATAAACGATGAGAAAAAAAGAGAACGTAGCGGAGGTCTCGAGAAGACTGCATATTGTTGCAGAATGGAGAATTTCCCAGAGCCGTTAGAAATGGCCATTTGAAGGCATTTATTCAGCATCTGCTATGTGTTTGGCATTCCACATGCATTTGCTTATGTAAATCTCATATCAAAACTGAAAGATAGGTATTTTTCTGCCCAATTTGCAGATCAGCAAAATTAAGATCAGCAGGATTACAAAAATTTACTCAAGGTCCTAGTAGGCAGTGGTAGAGGCAGGCTTTGACTCCACAACTGATTAATTAATTTGGCATTCAGATCTTTAGGAAGATTCTTCAAGGACGACTAGATTCTCTACAACCAGAGTTGGGGTTGGGCAAGTAAAGGTGGGGTGTGGATCAGGACGGAGTAGCAAGTGGTCCAGGCTAAAGAAAGAGCATGAGCACAGAGCTGGGGAGAGTCGGGGAAATGGCACAATCCTCACACTTATTGTGCCTGTGACCTGGCTTTTCCCCAAGACATAATCTTTTGCACATTTTTTTTTTTGAAGCATCTCTCATGGGCCAAGCAGTAGGGTAGGTGTTGAGGGAAGAACTGAATCTGATGGGGCCTTACCTTGTGTTCCAGGGGCTACTAGCCTGGGGGAGATACATAAGCAGAAAGCATAAGTACTAAATTAGAGTGTGTCTAACACACAATAGCAGCACAGCAGAGGAAGAAAAAATAATAACTGAATTAGTTGTAAACTACAGGTGCTTTTCCACATCTGCCTGTGAGGCAGCTATTTCAAGAATACTTTATAGAAGGCCGGGCATGGTGGCTCACACCTATAATCTCAGCACTTTGGGAGGCTGAGGCAGGAGGCTCACTTGATTGAGGTCAGGAGTTTGAGACCAGCCTGACCATCATGGCGCAACCCTGTCTCTTCTATAAATACAAAAATTAGCCGGGCGTGGTGGCAGGCGACTGTAATCCCAGCTACTAAGGAGGCTGAGGCAAGAGAATCGCTTGAACTTGGGAGGTAGAGGTTGCAGTGAGCTAAGATCATGCCACTGCACTCCAGCCTGGGTGACACAGCAAGACCCTGTCTCAAAAAAAAAAAAAAAAAAAAAATATATATATATATATATATATATGAGGGTACAGAGGCTCAGAGAAGTTTGTTCCAGGTTGGGTACTCAAATACCAGGACTTTGGCCACTACATCCTTGGCTTTGTCCACCATGGCCTTACATTGATATACAGTCACAGTTCTGAGCACAGAAATTCTGGTATTTCCCAGTTCCAGCCCTGTTTTTGTGTATGCTTCCTGGGGCAAAATGGTGCTAGGGCAGAATGGGGCATGGGCTTTGGGACTTTCAAGTTAGGGCTGAAGACTATACTTCCCAGGGATCATTTTTAAAGTTAGGGCTGAAATATTAGGCCAACTGCACAGGTGTGCTTGAGCAATCCTGAAAGCCCTCATCTGTCAGAAGATATTTTACTTCCCTTCTACTTGAAAATGTCCTCTCCAGAGGTCCGTGAGGAAATGACCATATCCACTAGGGCTTTCTGTGATGATGGAAATGTTCCACATTGTTCCATATGGTGGCCACTGCCCCATGTGGCCACTGGCACCTGAAATAAGGCTGGTGTGTCTGAGGAAGTGAATTTCAATTTAATTTAATTTAATATAATTTGTAATTTAAATAGCCACATAAGTAGTTGCTACCATATTGGATAGCCCAGGCAAAGAAACTAAAATTGTAGATATCATTGAGTCCAGTTGCTATGGTCAGAAGGTTTGTGTTCCCTCAAAATTCACATGTTGAAACCTAATCTCCAATGTGATCATATTCGGACATGGGGCCTTTGGGAGGTGATTAGGTCGTGAGGAAAGATTGCCCAGGAGTGGGATTAGTGCCTAAGCCAAAGGGAAGAGCCAAGCTGAGAACCGCATCATGCAAACCTGCCTCCCATTCTGTTCCTAAATAAGATAGCTACAACGTTAAAAAGCTACATGCTTCCTCCACATTTTCCCCACAGGAAATTCCCTGTGGGCCCCAAGATCTTTACCCTAAAATAGTTCTGTTGAATTTCACCCGGACAATGTAGATTGACAGCTTATCTTCATAGGTATGGACAGGACATAGACAAAGGACAGAACTCAGTCATCCCTCTGCTCACCTGAGACAAATGCATAGCTGATGGCCTCCTCTGCCATGTTTATTTTGTCTTATGTAAAAGTGCAGATTCACTGAGCTAGGTGAATGCATAAGTGACTATTCCTCTACCCGCCTCTTCTGTGTGAACGGCTGATCAAAGTCTCAAAAGAATGCAACCACTTAGCTCTTATCTATCAACACCTTTTAAAAATTTCTTCCCCCTTCCCCAATATCTGCCCTTTCCCCTTTAAATATTGAAGCCCTCAAAATCATCTTCAGAGAAAGGTATAGACCTGTCTCTTAGGCATTGTCCTTAACCTTGGCAAAATAAACCTCTAAATTGATTGAGACCCGTCTCAGATACTTTTTGGTTTATGATGACCATCTGTATTAGTCAGGGTTTTCTAGAGGGACAGAACTAATAGGATAGATTTATATATGAGGGGAAGTTTACTAAAGAGTGTTGACTCACACAATCACAAGGTGAAGTCCCACAATAGGCCGTTTGCAAGCTAAGGAGCAAGGAAGCCAGTCCAAGTCCCAAAACCTCAAAAGTAGGGAAGCCAACAGTACAGCCTTCAGTCTGTGGTTGAAGATCCAAGAGTCCCAAAGCTGGAGAACTTGGAGTCTGATGTTCAAGGACAGGAAGCATCCAGCATGGGAGAAAGATGGAGGCCAGAACACTCAGCCAGTCTAGTCTTTCCATGTTCTCCTGCCTGCATTTTATTCTGGCCACACTGGCAGCTGGTTAGCTGGTGCCCACCCAGATTGAGAGTGGGTCTGCCTTTCCCAGTCCACTGACTCAAATGTTAATCTCCTTTGGCAGCACCCTCACAGACACACACCAGGAACAATACTTTGCATACTTTGTGGCTATTTAAATTAATTGCATCCAATTAAGTTGATGCTCAATATTAACCATCACATTATCTATGAACCAGGAAGCAAAGTGGACCTTCACTGGACACTGAATCTGCCAGTGCCTTGATTTTAGACTTCCCAGCCTCCAGAACTGTGAGTTTCTGTTGTTTATAAGCCCACTCAGTTCACAGTGTTCTGTTATAGTAGCCTGAACAGACTAAGACACCAGTGGTATTCTAAGCGTGGTCTGTGGACCTCAGCATTGCCATCACCTGCAAGCTCATTAAAAATACAAATTCTCTGGTCCTGTGCAGATCTACTGAATCAGAAACTGAAGGTTTGGGTGTACTCTGCAAGGCACTGGCCCAGTCCAACTCCTTATTTTCCAGATAAGGAAACTGCCCCCTGCCCCCTCTTCTGATACCCCTATATTACAGCCAAGTTAACTTTTCTAATGCAGTGTTTTGGGATTGAGGGCTTAGAACAAATACCAAAGGGCACCACTTGTCTCAGTCATTTTATGCCACTATAATAGAATACATTGGCTCACAGTCTGGAGGCTGCGAAGTTCAAGATCAAGATGCTAGCATCTGGTGAGGGCCTTCTTGCTGCATCATCACACTTACTGCTTCATCACATGAACATCTCCCATTGGGCCCCACTTCCCAGCACTGTTGCATTGGAGATTAAGTTTCCAACACATGAATTCTGGGGGGCACATTCAAACTATAGCATCATTGTAACCTAATATTTGCTAGATGTTCTAACTCTCTATCTATACCTCTCGCTCCAGCATAGGCATTCTTAGATCTTACAGATTGTTCTGATAGGTAAAGGTGGATGGGGTGATGGTGCAGAGAATGTAGGAAGAGGAGTCAAACTGGAGGCAAGAAGAACGGTTAGGATGCTGCCATAGTCACCGAACAAATAGCCAAACTGTGTTGGGGCTGTGAAAATGGAGAGGGAATAGACTCAAGAGAGGGAAACATAGAAAGAACAGAGTTTGGAGGCTGTTTGGATTCGAGGGAATCCATTGGCCTGACAATGGCAATTTGGGTGCTTGAAGTTTAGGCATGGATCATTCAGGGAGCGTGAGTGAAGCAACGTGGGGCAAAACCAGAGGATGGAACCCAGAGGAACACCCAAATTTAAAGGCCTAGGCCAGGCATGGTGGCTCACGCCTGTAATCCCAGCACTTGGGGAATGCTGACAGGGATGAGATGCAGACAGCTAATGGAGGAGGGGATGGGAGATGAGAGAAAGGACCCCACCTCCCAAGTGACGGGAGGAGGGGAGAAAAGTGTGAGGACAGATGCAGGTTAATTTGTAAGGTACTTTGGCAGGAAGTTGAGGGAATTCTTATTCTGTGAGGGAGGAGCAAAGGTCATTGGCTGACAGTAAGGTGAGAGGGTAGAATTGGAGATTTGAGAGACAGCAGGTGCTCAGCACATATTTATGGATGGGCAGATGGATGGGGAACAGTAGAGGAGACTGACTTGGGAAACATGACAAGATTGTGGGGCCTCACCAGAGATTATCTGTGCCTGTCTGTGGCTATCTCACAGGATCTCTAAGTACACATCCTCCCATGATAACTGGAGTAGGGAGAGGCACTTGTGAAGCATGGCAGAGGAGAAAGAGTGACAGCAAGGATTGTTCCCCATCAGTTTTCTGTAATATGTAATAGTCTGGGTCCTAGAACCTTAGAGCAGGAAGAGATATTGAGTATACCCTCTTACTTTACAGGGGAGGTGTAGTAGTCTGCTCTCACAGTGCTATAAAGAAATACCAGAGACTGGGTAATTTATAAAGAAAGGAGGTTTGATTGGCCCATGGTGGCACAGGCTGTACAGGAAGCATGGTGCTGGCATCTGCTTGGCTTCTGGGGAGACCTCAGAAGACTTACAATCATGGCGGAAGGTGAGGGGAAGCAGGCGCATCACATGACCAGAGCAGGAGAAAGAGAGTGAGTGAGGGGCAAGGTACTATACACTTTTAAACAACCAGATCTTCTGAGAACACACTCACTGTCATGAGAACAGCATGAGAATCTTATAGCATTTCCCAGGTCAGTCCCCTCTACTGTTCGCCATCCGTTCACCCATCTATAAATCTGTGCTGATTGCCTGCTGTGTCTCCCAAATCTCCAATTCTACCCTCTCCCCTTACTCCCCGCCCATGACCCAAGGGGACGGCGCTAAACCATTCATAAGAAACCCACCCCAATGATTCAGTCATCTCCCCAGGCCCCACCTCTTACATTGGGGATTACAATTCGAGATAAGATTTGGGCAGGGACACAAATCCAAAGCATATTAGTAGGAAACTGAGAACAGCGGTCAAATGACTTGCTTAATGTCCATAAGATGGTCCCTATCAGAGCTGCCACATGAACGCTGGTCTTATTCTTCCCAGATGAGTCCAACTTTTATGAAGGGCCCGGAACAAACACACTTGGCAGGAGAGGAGTGTGGAAGAGATGGGAGGATGCAGAAAGAGGAGGGTGGAGTGACATGAGCAGATGAGCCCAGGCTAGAGTGTGTCCAGCACCAACTCCAATTATCCCTCATGGCAGGTAACCTCATCTTTAGGACTCTCAGTGTCCGTATTTGTAAACTCAAGGTAAACATACATGCAATTGTGTTGTATGAGAGATAATAGGTGTCAAGTCCGTAGTGCAAAATCCATCTTCAATGGTCACTCAAGCTTCACAGTTTCACAGGAGCCATTTCTAATCGAGTCTTGAAGCTCTCTACCCCAGTGACTAAGAATGCTTCTAAAATGACATCAAATGGAACAAAGAGAGGTGCGGTGAACACTTTGTCCTGAGGTTTTGTTCAGAACTTGACAGGTTATCCAGAGGGCTCCCAAGATGGTAGCTCATGGAGGCTTTCATTGGTCCCAGCACATGGATTCAGTCTCTGCACTTAGCAACAGTATCTGCCTCCTGCTTTGGAAAGAAAACAAAAAGGTAACCCTGTAGTCAAAGACACCCACGACAGCAAATCCCCATGACAGCCTGTCCACAAAGAGCTGCGGGAAAGATGAGCTATTGCTGTCCGCCTCAGTGAACTCCAATGAGAGGGTGACAAAGGGAAGGGGATGGGCATGGGGGCTTGTCAGCTCTGCCTCCAAAAAGCATTTCAGCCTCCTCCTTGCCCTCGATTCCCGCTGCCCGCTACTGCCCTCCTCATCATTGTTCCTGGACTGTCACAGCTGCTTCCTAATTCATCTCCCTGTCTTTGGTCTCTCCACTGGCTCTCCACTGTCACTGTCAAAGAGCTGCTTTTTTCTTGTCTTTTCTTCTTCTTATTTTTTATTTTTACTTTTTGCAGCTGTTGACCTCACATTGCCAGAGAAATCATCTCAAAATGCAGATCTGACCTCATCCGTCCTCTGATTGAAATCTGTTGTGTACCTTGTTTTATACTCCTTGTTAGTGTTTTCCCCTGTAAACTGGCCGCTTGCCTGCCTGGTGGTCTCCCCATCACGCTGCCGGCTGCTGGAGGGTTGCAGCTGTTTCTGAACACTCAGGAGCCCCTGGCCACCACCTTATCATGGACTACTTGGTGCATTGCACTCTCTCTGGTCCAGTCACACTAATATTCACTCAATTCCTCCAAAGCTTTTCCTCACTACTGAGTCTCCTCATGTTTTCTTTGCCTAAAACATTATCCCTTTGCTGCTTCCTCTAGCAAACTCCTTATCCTCATTTTGGACATCATTCGCTCAGGGAAACCTTCCCTGGACACCCAGATGAGGCTAGCACCCCAGCTTCCTCCCTGTAGGTAGCTCGATGACCCCAGCAACCTGGGCAAATGACAATAATGATGTTTCACTGTCAACACGTGCATTACATTATAAATAACTAAATTGAATTTGAAAAAGAGAATCTTAACTATGCTGACTTTGAAATATGAAGCAAAACATGATGACAAAATGTAATGTTTTGTCTTAAATCTTCTAAGTAAATATTACAAAGGATTTTGTTTTGATTCAGCCTATCAAATTATTGGTAAGTTTAGCAACTTCTATTTTCCCTCCTGCTTGAATTATATGCTGAATAATAATTTTTTTAGTATTGCTTAAATACTATTGATTCAAATTAGTTTTGTTTTGTAGAAAAAATAGTTAGCCTTGGGAATTCTCAGAAATGAAAATAGTAAGGAAAACGGAATACTCGCACTCAAGTTGTGATAATGATGATAATTTATCTTGTATAAATTTGCAGAGTTCAGATATAATTTGTTAAAGATTTTGTTTTGTTTTGTTTTTGAGACAGAGTCTCACTCTGTCGCCAGGCTGGAGTGCAGTGGCGCCATCTCATCTCACTGCAATCTCCGCCTCCTGGATTCAAGTGATTCTCCTGCCTCAGCCTCCTGAGTAGCTGGGATTACAGGCGTGTACCACCACACCCAGCTAATTTTTTTGTATTATTAGTAGAGACAGGGTTTCACCATGTTGGCCTGGATGGTCTCGATCTCCTGACCTTGTGATCTGCCCGCCTCAGCCTCCTGAAGTGCTGGGATTACAGGCATGAGCCACCGCACCTGGCCAATTTGTTAAAGATTTTACCAGGCCGGGTATGGTGGCTCATACCTGTAATCCCAGCACTTTGGGAGGCAGAGACAGGCAGATTGCTTGAGCCCAGGAGTTCAAGACCAGCCTGGGCAACAAAATAAGACTCCCATCTCTACAAAAAATATAAAAATTAACCAGGCATGGTGGCACACACCTGTAGTCCCCAGCTATTTGGGAGGCTGTAAGGTGGGAGGATCACTTGAGCCCAGGAGTTTGAGGCTGCAGTGAGCCGTGATTGCACCACTGCACTCCAGCCTGGGCAACAGAGTGAGATCGTGTCTCAAAAAAAAAAAATTACCAAAGTTTCATTGGTAATAATTCAGATGAATCATTTCAATTTTTCTTTTGCATTTTCTGTGGTAGGGGTATATATTACAAAAATTCATTTGAATTAATTGTGTTGAAAGAGGAATACAGTCAACAAGCTTAAAATCTTTTGTTTTGCTAAGTAGTCATGTATCATTTACATAATTAAAAAAATTACAGTACCTTCTCCTAAAATAGAAAGAAAGTAGTCAAATATCAGAGAATTATCACATCATATTGGCTTCAGGCTCATGATACCAAGAAATTTTAAATATCATTAGACCTTGGAGAAATTTTGGTCAAGGCAAATTACACAAACAAAAAAACTTTAAATTTTTTTTTGAAGAGGTATATTTACATGGCTCAAAATTCAAAAGACACAAAAGAGTAACAGTGAAAAATCTCCCTTTCACTCTTGTCTCTCGGCAGTAATGTCCTCTCTTTGGAGACTATCATTGTGTTGGTTTCTCAGATATTCTTGCAGAATATTTATGCAAAAATGTTCATCTACGTTATCCTTCCCCCTTTTAGTGCACTAGTAATGTATTTTTTTCCTTCTTTCAACCTAACAAAATACCTTGCAGATTGCTCTCTGTCAGTGCAATAAATACCTTTCTTACTCTTTTTTTTTTTTTCTGGAGAAGGAGTTTTATTTTTGTTGCCCAGGCTGGAGTGCAGTGGTGTAATCTTGGCTCACTGCAACCTCCGCCTCCTGGGTTCAAGTGATTCTCCTGCCTCAGCCTCCTGAGTAGATGGGATTACAGGCACCCACCACCACACTCTGCTGTTTCGTATTTTTAGTAGAGGCAGGGTTTCACCATGTTGGCCAGGCTGGTCTCGAACTCTTGACCTCAGGTGATCCGCCTTCCTTGGCCTCCCAAAGTGCTGGGATTACAGGCATAAGCCACCACACTCGGCCCTTTCTTACTCTTTTTTATGTCTTCACAGTATTGAATTGTGTGTATACACCATAAATTAACCATGCTGTACCCCAAGACTGGACACTTAGGTTATTTCCGATATTTTGCTACTATAAATAACACTGAATATAGAATAATCTTGTGCAGATGTTACTTCATTTAAGGTTGAGTATTTCTAAAAGATAAATGGCTAGAAATGAACTACCAGGTCAGAGATACATGCATTGGTGATTTTGATCATTGGCAATTGCCAAATTGTCCTCCATAGATTATCCTACCAATTTACCTTAACTCTTTCTAGCAAGAGATAAAGGTATGGAACTATGATAAAGCAAATAAATTTTCACTCAGCTTTTAAGAAACAGCATTGTTCATTTGTATTAACACATTTCTCCAACAAAAGAATCCACATTCTTTTGGATAGAAAGAAGCTCTATATCAAAGGCTGCTAACTGCCAGAACAGTAGTTTTCTTTGCTGGTGCTATTAAAGGTTTTCAATCATTTTAGCTTAAAGTCTGACGTGGTACTGAAATGTATATATGAATTTTGGGACACATTACAATCATTCAAGTATATTATATATGTATATAGGCTGGGTGTGGTGGCTCATGCCTGTAATCCCAGCTACTTGGGATTACTTTGGGAGGCTGAAGCGGGCCAATCGCTTGAGCCAGGAGTTTGAGACCAGACTGGGCAACAAGGCAAAACCCCATATCTACAAAAAATACAAAAATTAGCTGGATGTGGTGGTGCACGCCTGTACTGCTAGATACTTGGGAGGCTGAGGTGGCAGGATCAATTGAGCCCAGGGGACCAAGGCCACAGTGAGCCATGATGCCACCACTGCACTCCAGCCTGGGTGACAGAGTGAGACTCTGTCTCAGAAAACAACAAACACACAACAAAACATGTATATAATGTACCTCGTGTATATTACACACTATCACGTGCCTTAAAGAATGAAATCCCAAGAGGTGTTCTTTGGAGAAAAAGAGAAATCGGATGACGAGGTTAAGTGTGATGGGTACAGACATCCACTGTGATATTGTTTTCTACCCTTTGTGTTTTCTTGTCCTATGTAATTTGTTCTGTAACTGCCATTAGAGATCAAGAAGGTGGTCCTTAAATGTTGCTACACACCTGACAGAAAGGTGTATTTCTATGTATGTTATTGGAACAACAGAGTTTCTTCCCATTCAAACGTTTATATAATTTCATCTTCTTTGGTTATTGGGAGCCCAGGTCTAGTGTGCACCCACACTGCACCCAGATTTTTAAAGAAAGTTCCATCAGAGGTGAATTACTACCTTCTATTCTTGAATTCTATGCAAATACTATCTAGTTTGTTAGATAATGTCTTCTTGATTATTAAATGTTCACGTCTCAGGCACTACCCCATGAACTATATTGGTTGCATCAAATTCATTTTGCCCCCCTGATTCCTTCCTCTGTTTTATCTAATATTTAATGTCAACCAAGATGCTTTTGGTAGTGCTGCTACCAGCTGGTCAATCATTTGCAAATGTGTAGTGAAGTCAAAGTGCTCTCCACCAGGTGGCGCACTTTCACCTTAGGGAGTCCATTGAATGGAGCCCTTGAATTTTGGGTGACCAGTATTCCTGATAAGATCCAGGTGAGGATCTTATCCCCTCCCTTACCCCCTCCCTTGGTGGGGAGAGGGGTGCAGTTGGATTTGAGTTCAAGGTTTCTAATGAGGAAATGCCACATCTAGGCTTCAGATTTACTACTGATCAAGATGGAGTTTAGTATTTCTGGTCTAAACCTCACTCAGAAACAAGCCAAACCCGAACCTTACTGCTATGGGTCAAATTGTGTCCTATTTGTGCCAGGACCCTTCCAAAATTCATATGTTGCAGTTCTAACTGGTACCTCAGGATGTGACCTTATTTGGAGAGAGGATCTTTTCAGAGGTAATCAAACTAAAGTGAAGTAATTAGGGCAAGTCCTGTCCCAAATGACTGGTGTGTCTTTATAACAAGAGGAAATTTGGACACAGATTTGCATAGAGGGGCCAGCCATGGTGGTTCATGCCTGTAATCCCAGCACTTTGGGAGGCTAAGGCGGATGGATCACCTGAAGTGAGGAGTTTGAGACCAGCCTGGCCAGCATGGTGAAAGCCCGTCTCTACTGAAAACACAAAAATTAGCTGGGCATGGTGCTGCATGCCTGTAATTCCAGCTACTCAGGAGGCTGAGGCAGGAGAATCACTTGAACCTGGGAGGCGGAGGTTGCAGTGAGCTGAGATCATGCCACTGTACTCCAGCCTCGCTGACAGAGTGAAGACTCAGTCTAAAAAAAAAAAAAATTTGCATAGAAGGAAGGCAATGTGGAGAGACTCAGGGAGAAAGCCATTTACAAGCCAAGAAGAGAAGTCTGGGACAGATCCTCCCTCACAGCCATGAGAAGGAACCAACCTACTCACATCTCAATGCCGGGCTTCTAGCCTCCAAATGGGAGACAATAGATTTCTATTGCTTAAGCCCCTCCGTCTGGAGCACTTTGTTATAGCAGCCCTAGCAAACGAATGCACCTTCCCATCCACATTTTGGGACAATTTAAGCAAGCTAGGTGGAGGGGTGTGAAAATGTGTGGATGGTAGAAAGAAAAAGGTATGAGAAGTGTTGGGTCTGCACAAAACAGAAATACAGGTGCAAACAGACCATATGTATCCAGCAGAGAACTGTTTGTGCGACAAAGCGTGTTTGTGGGTGAGAGTATGGATATGTGTGAAAAAGAGCCATGTGTATGCTTGAAGCACGAGTACTGCATGCATTTAAGGAAGTAGATATGTGTACGGAATCAACATGCATAGCACATGCACCGTTACGTAAGACACGTAAGGGGGAAATGTGTGTGAGAATGTGTATGTGTGAGGGAGAGAACAATGTGTGTGTGTGTGTGTGTGTGTGTGAGAGAGAGAGAGATTCTTTAGGATAATGCTGGCAAAGACACAAAGGTCAGAAGAGAGCCACCTCTAACTGCTTTGCCCACCCCGCCGTTTTTGGGGAAGGCCTCTGCTTATTGAATGGGCTTGGAGAGAGACGGCTCCTTTGCAAGTTACAGGTTGGCCACCAAAGTTTTTTAGCTCGGCCCCATTCTTGTCAACATTTTAAACCGGGCTAATTCAGCTCATTTAAGAAACTATCTTGAAATGACTTTTCCAAGTTTTGGTTCAAGTTCAATAAAGACATAAAACAAGTGGGTCAGGTTCCAGGAAAAACATAATCATTTGTACTTGTGTGCTTGTATTTAAATCAATGAACTAGGAGCGGGGAGGTGATTCATTAAATAAGAAAATAATAAACAACTTTTCATCGAATCTCATTTGTTTTCTTAGCTGAGAAAAGAATTACATTAATTAGTTCTACCAACTAATGAATTCTTAGTTGGTAGGAGTTTATGCATTTCTAAAATTCATTATAGATATTCAAAAATAGGATTAAATGGTTTCTCTCAAAGTCATTGTATTAATTAGTTAAGGTATGGGACATCTTCCTAGGAATTTTTCCCTCAGTGTAACATCATATTCATTTTGATTCTTCTGTTGAGCCAAATTACACTTTTGTCATGATTGAAAGATTGCCTATTTAAAGAAAGGAATTCATTTATGTAATGAATTATTCTATAGCAGGAGTGGGAAATCTAACTATAGCCCAGGGGCCAAATCCATTCAGTTGACTAACTTTTGCTTTTTATTTTTGTTTTACAGTCCAAGTAAGTATATTTTTACATTCTCAAAAGGTTACATTTAGGTGGGGAGCAGGGGCTCGTGCCTGTAACCCCAGCATTTTGGGAGGCTGAGGCAGGATAATTACTTGAGGCGAGGAGTTCCAGACCAGCCTGGGTGACAAGAGCGAGACCCCCTATCTCTAAAAAAAAAAAAAAAAAAGTTACATTTTAAATGGTTTATGTAAGCCTCAACTCTGCATCCTAGAAGGCAATGCCTAAAATATTGGCCTCTTGCCGTTTAAGAAAAATTTGCTGACCTCTGTTCTATGGGATTTTATCTGCTTGGTAAGACACAGCTGTCAAAACGTAAAGAGGAAAAAATGTAAGGACATTTTTCACAGTGATTATTGGTTTAGCAGTTGCAGTAAGTAACCCAAACCATAGAGCAGACATTTGGGCTAATGTTAATTCAACATCATTATTCTGCACGTTTTTACTAGAGTGGCTGAAATGAGCTATACCCTAGAAAGATAAATGCAGTTCAAGAATGCTCACTGCAGTCTTCTTTATAATCTCAACTCAAATGTCTATCAACAGAAGAATGTATATATGACTTGTGCCCTACTCATACAACGGAATGCTATTTAATAGTTAAAATGAATAAACTAGAGCTATATGGATGATCAGATGGATCTTATAATCTTGAGCAAAACAAGACAAACCGACCGGGTTACAGAATGAAACAGGAACACACAGGAAGTTGTAAAAATCTTCTGTATGACTTATGAACACACGCATATGCAGTAATAGTATAAAAACAGGAATGGGATGCTTTGGAAGAGTACTCGGGGTGACATGAGGAAGGCTTCCAGGGGCTTTAACTGTATTGCAATATTCATGTCTTAAACATTTGAAGCAAGTGTGGCCCGATGTTAGGATTGGCTTGTTCTTGAGCACATGGGCTCTTTACATTACTCTCCTAGTTTAGCGTGTGTTTGAAAATTTCACAATGAGAAAAGTCAAATGCGGGTGTTTGAGCTATTTCATGATGAGAAAAGGAAAATGAGGGTGCTGCCAATCAGAGTATGGCGAGCTGCAGGGGTTCACTCACGATGCACTTTTACTGAGGACCTGTGTGCTGGCAGGTGCTGGGGGCTATAACCTCACTCCCGGCTTCTTTTGTTTAACCGCCCAGATTCGTGAACTGTGACTTTTCAGGGTGTTTTCAAAGACAGTGGCTGTTAGGCCCAAGGCCCCACTGTGGGTCCTGGGGGTGAGTGGCAGGGGGCCCAGGGACGGTTTCCTGACTCCAGTTCTGCTTCTGGCTGCCTCCTGAAAACACAGGGGCCTGTCTTTTTATTAAAAAGAGAGAGAGAGAGAAAGAAAAAAAAAGAAATCTCTAGTTCTCTTTGTTTCTTGTCTCAGCTTCTTTGCTAGGGGCCACCTCAGCAGCAGCCGCCAGTGAGGACTGAGGGACTCATTTGAGGTTCGTTCATTTCTTCCTTCCTTCACTCATTTTTTCCGACCTGGCTGTCACCAGGAAAAGCTGGCCGGGTTCCACCCGCAGGGGTCCATCGTTCCAGAATCTTCCTTTTCCTCTCTTGACCTCAGGCTGGGCCCTCATGGACCGCTCGCCGACCTCAGCTGTTGGGGACCGGGTCCCTCAATCTCCGCGTCCTGAGCGGTCGGCGGCGGTGGGGAGAGGGCGGCGGGTGCCCCCGGTCACCGCGCTCGGTCGGGCTCAGTCCCGGCGGCCGAGCGTGGGGATCCGGGGGCCCCTGGGGTGGAGTTGTCCGGAAGCCTGGGCTCCACTCCTGCTGCCTCACAGCCTTGCCGTGTCCCGTCTGGGCGCCTGCGTTCCCAAGTGACAAAATGACCTCGCTCCTCCGAGGGGTCTCCCAACCTCTGTCCAGATCTTCTTCCCCGCTAAGTGCCCTGTCACCGGAGGGGATGTCCAGTGTGACCCCGCGGGAATGTCGGGGTGCTTGGGCCCGGGGGTGGGACAGGGCTGCTGCAGGGAGGGCAGCCCCCGTAAGAGGAGGGAGGACGGCGACACCGCTGAGCGCAGACGGCGCGCGGAGCCGGGGCTGGGCGCTCAGGTGCGAGGTTCCGTCCATCTTTCTGAACCCACGCAGGTGGGCGCGGGAAGGGACCCGGCAGCCGCCAGGGCAGGGTCAGCTGGCGGGGCAGCCCCGCACGGTGACCCTCCTTGGGTCGCGGGGAGCCGGGCACGGGAGTGGGGGAGCGCGTCTTTGTTGGGGAGGAGGGCGGGCGGGACAGGGTAAGACTGGGGTTCCAGGCCCGGGGCGCGAACCCGGGTGGGAGGGCGCAGGGGGCTCCCCTCTGTCCCTGTCACCTCCACCCATCGCCGGCCGCCGCTAGGGGTTCCGGCCCCGCGCCCTCCCCCGACCCTTCCCCGGCGGAGGTCCTGGGGCAGCCAAGCCCACCGCCCGGCCCTCCTCCGCGGCCGTCCCGAAGACCCGGAGAAGTGGACCACAGGGGGCGGCCAGTGTCAGGGGTCGAGTCCTCCGCGCTGGCCGCGGTTCCGGAGATCCGGGCTTTGCCGAGCGCCCCGCGCCGTGGCCGGGGCCGGGGCCAGGTCCGGGTGCGGGGCCTGGCGCTGCGGCCGCGAGCTCAGCCTGTAGGCTGGGCTAGCCTCCGTCGGCGGCGGGCGCTCAGGAGCGGGGCCGCGGCGGCCGGAGGACAAAGGGCCCGAGGTAGGAGCGGTCCCTCCGGGCGGCAGCGGGCGGAGCGGGGGCGCGGGGCTGTGCGGGGCTGCTCGGGGCGGGCACTCGGCGCCCGGCGGGGAAGGTGCGCCCCGCCGGACGCGGGCACTTCCTGGCCCTGGTCCCGGGAAGGAGGTGGAAGGTGTCCGGGATCGGCCCTGGCAGCGTGTAGGGACCTGGGTGCTGCCGCTGCCGTGCGCTTGTGCGTGCGTGTGCGCGCGGGTATAGGTGTGGGCGCGCGTGTGTGTGGGGTGTGCGTGCGTGTGCGTGTATGGGTGTGCGTGTGTGCACGTGTGTGCGTGTGTGAGTGCGCGTGTGCGTGCGTGCATGTGTACGCGTGTATCGGTGTGCGCGCGCGTGTGTGTGTGTGAGAGAGAGAGAGCACCCGAGGCTCCTGGCGCTTGGCACATGGTGAGCCCTCGGTAGGTGGGAGCCGTGAACAGTGACGGTGATAATCGTATTGCAAGGGTGTGTGTGTGTGTGTATCTGCCTCTGTGTTTAGGGAGACTGTCTGGAGCCCAGAGTGGCAGCCACATGTCCCCAGCACTTGGGACCCGGGAGAAAATTTTGGGGTATCTTTCCTGAGTGGCTCTGGGACGGTGGTTTAGGGGCCCCTGCACTTGAAGAGGATGCTTCAGGGGAGGTGGGGACTTCCTAACTGGATCCCAGTTTGGGTCCTGGGAACAAAGGCTGCTTCCCCGAAGTACAAGAAGGGGTGTGTGTGTGTGTGTGTGTGTGTGTGTGTGTGTGTGTGTGTGTGTGGCCCGGCCACCAGGGCGCCGGCAGCTGGAGACTGGGAGAGCCGCCATTCATGCAGAGGGACTCCGGGCCATTTTGCTGTCAACTCTCTTTGATGCCTGGTCTTGAGGACCTGCAAAAAAGAACTACTTACTTTGTATACTGAAGCTTTTCTTTAATAAACTTTTATTAGAGAGTTAAGTGTTACTTCAGGGCTTGAAAGACTTTTTATTATCCCTTTAAAACAATAAATGTGTAAATTTAGCTTGAATAAACACTCTTTTATTCCCAGTGAAAGCACTTTAATTTCTGCATTTAACCTGGGAGTTAGACATGGGGATTCTGAGCTCCATCTTCTATAAATATTGTGGTCATGCCGCCTGGTTTGTAGCACTTTGTTATTGGGAGTTTTAAAGGCCAATTAGAATTCCACTTCTCGATCCTCTTAGGATTTCTTAAATCTCTGGGCAGATTTGCAGAATTGTTCATAAGCAATCCATTGTTTCCAGACCACTGTTTCTGACTGCTTTCTCAGAAAAGTATGTTTCTAGGAAACAAAAACCAAATTTAAAATTGAAACAATTAAACGGAACACAGGTGAGGAGATCTTTCTACAGGTCTTTTTTCATGCCAAAATCTGGTTCATTTAAAGTTTGCAGTGTTATCTGTGGCATTTCCAGTTCCCAGCTGCAGTTCATGAGGCGTTCTGCTGTTCTTGCAGGGACAAGCATTCTTTCTTGAGTAAGAAGTTAACTCAGGAGGCAGGCACGGCTCACACCTGTAATCCCAGCTACTTGGGAGGCTAAGGCCAGAGGACTGCTTGAGGCCAAGAGTTCGAGACCAGCCTGGGCAACATAGCGAGACTCTCATCTCTTAAAAAACAAAAAAAAAAAAAAAAGAAAGAAAGAAAAAGAAAGAAAAAAAATTAGCGAGGTGTGGTGGCACATGCCTGTAGTCCTAGCACTTGGAGCCTAAGCTGGGAGGGTCTCTTGAGCCCACGAGTTCGAGGCTGCAGTGAGTTATGATCGTGCCACTGCACTTCACTGCACGTAGCAGGGGGTGAAAAAAGCTGAGGCTGAAACTAAATTCTGTCTTGGCCTTTCTTGTTATTGCAGATGGTTTAAATAGTTTTTTTTGTTTGTTTGTTTGTTTTGAGACGGAGTCTCGCTCTTTCGCCCAGGCTGGAGTACAGTGGCGCAATCTCGGCTCACTGCAAGCTCCGCCTCCCGGGTTCACGCCATTCTCCTGCTTCCTGAGTAGCTGGGACTACAGGCGCCCGCCACGGCGCCCGGTTATTTTTTTGTATTTTCAGTAGAGACGGGGTTTCACCGTGGTCTCCATCTCCTGTCCTCGTGATCTGCCCGCCTCGGCCTCCCAGAGTGCTGGGATTACAGGCTTGAGCCACCGCGCCTGGCCTGCAGATGGTTTAAATGGTTTATTGGTGGTTTAAAATGATTCCGATTCATGAAGATAGCCAGTTGGACCAATATCTGAAATCTTTTGCTGGGTAGGTAATTAGAAGCAACATTTATTTTATTTTATTTTATTTTATATATATATATGTATTTTTTTTTTTTTTTGAGACAGAGTCTTGCTCTTTTACCCAGGTTGGAGTACAGTGGCACAATCTCAGCTCACTGCCAACCTCTGTTTCCTGGGTTCAAGTGATTCTTGTGCCTCAGCCTCCTGAGTAGCTGGGATCCCAGGTGTGCACCTCCATGCCCAGCTAATTTTTGTATTTTTAGTAGAGATAAGGTTTCACCATCTTGGCCAGGCTGGTCTTGTACTCCTGGCCTCAAGTGATCCACCCACCTCAGCCTCCCAAAGTGCTGGGATTACAGGTGAGAGCCACTGCACTAGTCGGGAAGCTACATTTGAAACATCTGTGTTTCTCACTTGTCACTTTCAATAGGAGAGATTTTGATCTCAAACAGCCTTTCTGAAAGGTTTCTATGCTTGGTACGAAGTTGATCACTGTTTCTTTCATTTAGTAAGCAATTTATTGAATACCTGTGGCATTATAGATGTTCATTCTAGTACTATCATTTTACTTGACATTAGAAACCCCCTTTTAAAGAAAACTGTGTTCACTTTGGGGATTCAAAATTTGAATTATTTAGAGATTCCAGAGTGTTCTGAGGCTATTTCAAAGTAGAGCTAATCAATGGTTAGAAAATCAGGATGGGAAGAAGATAAGTGTAACATAAAGAGAGAGGTCAAGCCCCCTGCATGCTACCCATGACCAGGCACCATAATCAGGATTGAGAGTGACCAGGACATTTAAAGGAAAGGCTGTGGGATGGGCTGGTGACAGGAACTTGCTTTCAATAATCTCACCTTTCTCCTTTTAGCATTCTCTGTTCCAGACTTGGAAAGGAAGCAGTTAGGGCTTTCGAGGGGGCAACTAACCATTAGGGCTGACTTTGGGCAGTTCATAGAACTCTGGGCTAGCTATTCCAGAGCGTCCAGGGTGACCTGTAGTTCCTTCATAATGACGCCAGGCAGTTAACCCTCCCAGCTCTTACACTGCCTTAATGGAGAGTCTTGGAATCTATTGGTTCAGTTTCTGGACATACACATATATTGTAGTACTTTTAAAAAAAATTTAGTTTTAATTGTAATTTTTGTAGAGATGAGGTCTCACTATGTTGCCCAGGCTGGTCTTAAAGTCCTGACCTCAAGTAATCCTCCTGTCTCACTCTCCTAGAGCACTGGGATTATAGGCAACCTCGCCCAGCCTAATTGTAGTACTTTAAAGCTAATTGCACTAAAAAGGCAGGGGAAGGCTCTCATAGAAGTAATATATATTTGTGACGTAAAATTTAAGAAAATACAGAAGAGTTAAAAAAAAACAAAAAACAGCCAGGTGTGGTAGCTGATGCCTATAGTCCCAACGCCTATAATCCCAGCACTTTGGGAGGCTGAGGCGGGTGGGTCACCTGAGGCCAGGAGTTCGAGACTAGCCTGGCTAATGTGGTGAAACCCCGTCTCTACTGAAAATACAAAAATTAGCCAGGCGTGGTGGTGTGTGCCTGTAATTCCAGCTACTTGGGAGGCTGAGGCGGGAGAATTGCTTGAACCCGGGAAGTGGAGGTTGCAGTGAGCTGAGATCACGCCATTGTACTCCAGCCTGGGCAACGAGATCGAAACTCCATCTCGGAAAAATAAACAAACAAAAAAACAACCACAGAAATCTATGATTTAGATATAGTTACTCTGAACACTTTGGTCTATTTTTTCCTGTTATAAAAATGAAATTCTATATGCTTCTAAAAGTTAGTTAAAATTATATTAGATGATATAATTTTATATCTCATTTTAATGTAATATATTATGGACATTGCTTATTTCAATATCAATATTTCTTTGACATTATTATTTTAAATAACAATTTCATGGTCTATTGTGTTGATAAATTGTCATTTCAGTATTTCGCTAGTGGATGCTTGAGCTTTGCCTATCATTTGTACTTTTAATGTTCTAATTTGGTAAAACGTCATTGATTGATGGTAGTACACATTTCTCAAACTTGACTGCTCTTAGGAAGTGACAAAAATATTGAATTTCAGGGACGTGAAATGAAAAGAGATGAAGCCTTGCCTCAGTCCTCTTGATCTCAGTGGGTATAATCTAGCTGACTCTTAACTGTCTCTGATGCCACTGTTCAACCCCGTAGGACAACGCTTGCTTTTTATTTATGCCATCATATTATGGGCTTCTTAGGAACAGATATTTATGTCTTAATTTTGTCTGCATCCCTTGAGTCCCCAGCCAAGGCTTGGCAAGCCATAGATGTTCAAAACACACTGTTTTCCTGAGGGAGAGGGTATATTTTAGGGGTAGTGTGAGAGACTGAGCCCTTCAGAAATGTGCAATGACAAATCTTGATCCAACTGATTCCGATAACTTCTTTTTGATTATGGAAAATTTCAAACATATCTAAAACATGTGCAAAAATAGAACGATTGTGAGCCTCTGTGTTCATCATTCAGCTTCAGCAGTTGTCAAGATTTTGTCAATTTTGTTTCTTGTGTTTCCTCCCTCCCCACACCACAACCCTTTTGGATCACTTTAAAGTAAATCCAAGACATTATATCATTTCATGCCCCTGGTGTTTTTGACCACGAGTTTACATCAGAATCCAATGAGAAGGGAATGTCTTCTGGGGCTCAACAAAAGGCGGTGGACTGCCTGGGAGGTTGTGGCACAGGAAAACTGGTGACCTGGGAGTTGGGGACCTACCATACTTATTTAGTTTTGACCTCGACAGAGGTGGTTCGCCTCTCGGGGCTCAGGTTCTCATCTGCTCCTTGAGGAGGTTGGCTTGGGTAACCTAAAAGCTTCCTTTGACGTTGACTTTACTGAAGCATATGCTCTGCCTGTCTACTGTGGTGGTTCTCAAATTCTAGTACCTGGACCAGCATCAGTGTTGTCAGGGAACTTGTACAAAATACAGATTCTCTGGCCCCTCCTTAGACCAACTCGGAAACTCGGGGGGTGGTGACCAGCAGTCTGTGGTTTAACGAGCCTCTCCAGGGGTCTCTGTTGGGTGGTCAACCTTGAGAACCATGAATCCATGAAGGTGGCCGAGGAGTCTGTAAGCTCTTAAAATAAAAACAACAGAGACGAAACCTCCTGGAAAGTGCGCATTTACTTGCTTGCAGCTCTGTAAGTCAACCGAACGTTAGACTTCTTCCCTCTGTGCAGAATGATACTGGCTGTGGAAGGACAGTGAGATCTTTTGTTGATCAGGAACTCTGACTGAAAGTTAAAGTGATTCATAAAGATTTGGGAAAGAGGCCGGGTGCAGTGGCTCATGCCTGTAATCCCAGCACTTTGGGAGGCCGATGTGGGTGGATCATCTGAGGTCAGCAGTTGGAGACCAGCCTGGCCAACATGGTGAAACTCTGTCTCTATTAAAAATGTAAAAATTAGCTGAGTGTAGTGGTGGGCGCCTGTAATCCCAGCTCCTTGGGAGGCTGAGGCAGGAGAGTGGCTTGAATTTGGGACGTGGAGGTTGCAGTGAGCCGAGCCTGTGCCATTGTACTCCATCCTGGGCAACAAGAGTGAAACTCCGTCTCAAAAAAAAAAAAAAAAAGATTTGGGAAAGGAATTACCAGATAAAATCTATCTGAACTGGGGCATATGTAGGCAGTTTTCATTAAAAAAAAAAAAAAAAAGATTGAGAAGCCCTTTATATGACACACCGCATTTGCAGTGACATATTTATTTGTCTGATATTGTCTCCTCCCAGTATGCAACATAGGTGATTAGATCACTTTTGGTCACCCTTGTATCCCAGCACTCAGTACAATGGCTGGCCCATAGGAGGTACTCAGTAAATACCTGATGAATAAATGAGCTTTTGTTCTTTAGGGAACTTATGAAACTCTGGATAGAATGCCAAGCCTCATACTGGTAGGAACAATTAGAGAACAATTAAGAATTCTACTTTGGGCCGGCCGGGCACAGTGGCTCACACCTGTAATCCCAGCACTTTAGGAGGTGATCAGATCACAAGGTCAGGGGTTCGCAGACCAGCCTGGCCAACCTGGTGAAACCCCGTCTCTACTGAAAATACAAAAATTAGCCACAAAAATTAGCCGGGCGTGGTGGCGCGTGCCTGTAATCCCAGCTACTTGGGAGGCTGAGGCAGGAGAATTGCTTAAACCCCGGGGATGGAGGTTGCAGTGAGCCAAGATCGCACCACTGCCCTCTGACCTGGGCGAGAGAGCCAGACTCCGTCTTGGGGGAAAAAAAAATAAATAAAGAATGCTACTTTGAAGTCTTGCCCCCAAATGTAGGAGACAAAAGATCATTGAGACAAAAGATCATTTAGTTTCATATTTCTCAAATAACAGTATTGTATTATGTGCTTAGCAATGTCTTAGACTCCGGCAGAGAACTATGGAGGCAAGAAAAGAGAAGAATAAAATAAGGGACTCATGCGTGTAAGAGTAGTTCATTGACTTACATATCTTTCATTGCATGGCCTTGCAGACTCAAGAGTTAGTTGAATAATTATTACTATTATAGCCACCACTTCTTGACAATCTACCATGTAAAAGTATTTTAGGTGAATTGCCACTCTCTTTACAACTCAGCAAAGTTGTTATTATCGTTCCCATTTTATAGGTGAGGAACAGGCTCAGAAGTGGCTTGTTAAGGCTGAGCAGTATCTGAATGTCAGAACCGTATTATTATATATTATAATTGTAGTACAATAACATATATATTTATGTATTATATTACTAGATATATAACAAATAATATTGTAATTGTATTACAATTATATACTCTATTATATTACAATTATATATGTTATATATATAATTATAATACAATTTTACAGTTTATGTGCTACAAAAGTTACCTTTTTAGAGAATACAGTTCAGTGCTTTTAAATATATTCAGAGTTGTGCAACTGTCACCATGATCTAATTCCAGAACATTTTCGTCACCCCAGAAAGAAGCCCCAGACCCATTACAGTCACTGCCCACATCCTCCTCTCCCAGTCCCTGACCACCACGACTCTGCCTTTTGCCTCTATGGCAGATTTGCCTATTGTGGATATTTCATATAAATGGAACCATGTAATATGTGGACTTTTGTGTCGAGCTTCTTTTACTCGGCATGTGTTTTCAAGGTTTACCCGTGTTGTAGCATGTATCAGAACTTCGTTTCTTTATATGGCTGAATAATATTCCATTGTATGGATATACCACATTTTATTATCCATTCATCAGACTGATGGATGTTTGGGTTATTTCACTTTTTGGCTATTATGAATGATGCTTGTAGGAATCTTCATAAACAAATTTTTGGTATGGAAATGTGTTTGTCTTTTTCTTTTTTGAGACAGAGTCTCACTCTGTTGCCCAGGCTGGAGTGCAGTGGTGCCATCTCAGCTCACTGCAACCTCTGCCTCCAAGGTTCAAGTGATTCTCCTCTCTCAGCCTCCTGAGTAGCTGGGATTACAGGCGTGCAGCACCACGCCCGGCTAATTTTTGTATTTTTAGTACAGACAGGGTTTTGCCATGTTGGCCAGGCTGGTCTTGAACTCCTGACCTCAGGTGATCTGCCCGCCTTGGCCTCCCAAAGTGTTGGGATTACAGGGGTGAGCCACCACACCCGGCCTTGGAAATGTGTCTTTAATTCTCTTGGGTACGTACTTTAGGAGTAGAATTGCTAGGTCCTATGGGAACTCTAAGTTAACTTTTGGAGGAACTGCCAAGCTGATTTCCAAATTAGCTTCACCATTTTACGTGTCTACCAGCACTGTATAGGGGTTCCTTGTATGGGGGTTCCAGTTTCTCCACGTCCTTGTGCACAGCTGTTACTGTTGGTCTTTTGGCGATACCCATTCTAGTGGGTGGAGAGGTCTCTCACTGGGGCTCTGATTTGCTGTGGTGTGGATTTTCTGTGGTTTAGATCCATTGTTTTTATAGGTTTGCATTTTTCCTACTTACATTATATTCTAAACATTACCAATAAATGGATCAGTACAGCACTGTCTTAATAATTTCCTTGGCATGGTATAAATTTCTGTATCTACTGTTTTCATGATTTAGAAATCTTAAAATGATATCTGCATATTAGTGTGTTCAAGTTTTGTTTTATTTCTTTTAATACAGCTTCTTTGGTAAAATGTCCAAATCCTGACAATGTTATCAGAAGAATGACTTATTAGAAGGCTGAGTTAAAGCTAAAGAAATGGGCTAAATCACTAAAAAGCTTACTAAAGGTTTTTAGAATTAAGTCTGAGAGTAGGGCCAATGACTTAATTCTTACCTTTGGGCTCAGAATGTAATATGATATGACTGAAATCAGAGAGGATTAGAAGCATGTTTTGTCTCTAGCTGAGACTTGGAAGAGCTATTCCACCTTCTTATACCTCCATTTAATCATCTGATAATGACAATAATAATTTCCCAGAATTTTCGTAAGACTGAATATTTTGTTCATGAAAAGTGTTCTTGGCATGTAGTAGGTCTTAAGTAAACATTAGCAGCCTCCCTGTCTGGTTCCCAGGAGTGAGGCTGGAGGCCATAAGTGGCTTAACCTTCTAGTTCCAGGCCCAGCAGCCAGTTTTCTTCAGTTTCTCCTCTTCACCAAGAGCTCATTGACATATTTGGATGCCTGGTTTCTGCCTTGTTCTAATGCTTGGTTCTCTGTGCTCAGTTCTGCGAATTACCCTTCTACCGATTAGTTTAGTGCTCTAATCCACTATGTATGTGAGGCCTGGCCATCTCTGTTCCAACCTCTTTCAGTGACTTCTAGTGTCTGCACCCTGACTCGGTGACTAGTTCCCACTTCTTGGGACAGCTGCCCTTGGTGCTATTGATTTCACGGTCCTCTTCCCTGGATTCCCCATGGCTCTTCCAGCCGTCTGGTTGACTCCCTGCCTGGCTACCATGCATCGTTTCCATGGTCATTTAACGTGGCACTTTACTCTGGGATTGTTCACCTAGCACTGGAGCATCGTCATGGACACGCCAGGCCTGAGTGGGCTCTTCCCTCATGCCCACCCCACTTGGTAGAAGCAACCATGCCACATTTGGCTAAGTCTGAAGTTAGGACAAAAACATCCCTCATTCTTTCTTCTCCAAACCCTCAGTGTGCTCTATCAAGAAATGCTTGTTGGTTGGTTTGTTTCTTGGTCAGCCATTGAAGACTGAGTCAGCTGTACTCCTGGCCATGTGTACAGAATTTCCGCAAAAGGAGGACGATAAATTGGGAGCTCAGCTGTGTTATCACAGTCTGTGATCTGGAGCCGGCTTTGCATGGCAGAGGCTCATTCTCTGCTGTGAGAAGTTTGGGATGAGGGGTGGGTTTCTGTGAGACCCTGACCTGGGTCCCCCCTGAGCTGAGTTCCCACTCACTGGGGCCTGTGAGTGCATGAATGGGGGTGGGGACAGTGGGAATCAAGTTTGCCAGAATCAATGTAAGGGAAGAGAAAAGGGTAAAAGTTTGTTTTGAGGAAAACAGTCTTTCATCTGGACTGTGCCCTAGGGCAGCCCCCTTGAGACTCACACTGAAGGCCTCCTGGGGAGGGAACTGCAATGAGAAGGTGACCCCTAGTGCCTGTGGGGCCAGCAAGAGTCTCCAAGGCAGTTGTGCCAGGCAGTACCCACAGAGGGTGTGCCCTAGGAAAATGGCTCCTTATCTGCTGGGGGCTGGTCACAGCTGGAGCAGAGACCAGACAGGAGTAATGCAAACCAGCAAGACTAGGCTTAAACAATGGGAGCTGAGGCTCAGCAGCTGGAGATATCCTGTCAGGAAGCAGAGCCCAAGTCCCAGGAAGGGCTGATGGCAGCTGCTGGCCTTGAGCAATTGTCCCAAGATGATTGATCGTACAAACCTATCAATGAAGACACCTTGAGTAGCATCCCAACTATATGATTTTCAACTTGGTTAAACAATAAGCCTCCACTTCATGTTGTCCATAGGCTTGTGGAAACTGCGACATGAAGGGAAATGAGGTATGTACTGTATGCCATAGGACTTGAACCTTGTTTATATCAATTAGCCCAGCAGCCCCCAACCTTTTTGGCACCAGGGTCCAGTTTCATGGAAGACAATTTTTCCACAGACAGGGTGTGGGGGAGGGTGAAACTATTCCACCTCAGATCATCAGGTATTAGATTCTCATAAGGAGCGTGCAACCTGGATCCCTTGTAGGCGCAGTTCACAATAGGGTTTGAGCTCCTATGAGAATCTGATGCTGCCACTGATCTGACAGGAGGTGGAGCTCAGGTGGTAATGACAGCAATGGGGAGCGACTGTAAATACAGATGAAACTTCTCTTGCCCACCGCTCACCTCCTGCTGTGTGGCCTGCTTCCTAACAGGCCATGGACCAGTACCAGTCTGTGGCCCGGGGACTGGGGACCCCTGAATTCGCCTATGTAAAATTGGTTTCCTTATACAGTATGTTATACTGAGCCAGTATTAATGCAACCTTATGTTTTTGAAGGTTGCATTTTTTTCCCCAAAATTTTAGAGAGCAGATTTAGTCAGTTCTTTTGACCAGTAAGTCCTTATTGAATGTTTGCTCTGTGCCAGGCATGGTAAGAGGCACATGAGGTATAAGTTGCAAACTCTGACCTCTGGGGGCAATTTGTAAACTCCAGAGATGTAAGGTATTGCTGTTATCCTTACAAATGGCTACAGACATGAGACAGGTTTAGAGAGGGTAGAATTTGAGCTGGTGTGTTTGGGGGCTTAGGAGAAATGAATCTGATGGAGAAAAGATGAAAGAAGAAATGAACAGTTGCTGACCTTTTCCCGAGTCCAGGTACCTTACACAGGCTGCTTCACCACTCCTTATGTGGTAAGCCAGAGTGTGGTACCCATTGTAAAGATGAGGAAACGGAGGTGCAGGAAAGCCTAAGGACTTGCCCAGGGTTGCGCGGCCAGCAGATGGTAGGGAACCCGTTTTTGTCTTACTCCAAAGTGGGAGAGAGGCTGGACAGAGCCAGGGTGAGAAGATGGGCTACAGGGGCAGTCTGATCCGGGGGTGCCCCCAACACTGAAGCCGTCTTCCCTGACTTGTCACCACAGAGACTCATGAAATTTTGGAGTTATCAGACACCCTCTGGATCCTCTAGTGTGGTTTATAGATGGGCTGTGGCAGCATCACCTGGGAAATCAATAGAAATGTTCATTCTTGGGTCCCCAGACCCTCTGAATGAGATTCCCTGATGGGGGTGCCCAGTGCCATCCAGGTGCATCTTATGGATGCTGACAGTTGAGAAGCATTGCTGTGGACACTGCTCTAGAGTTGTTCTCGTAAGAGACTGATGGAGGGGAACTTTGGTCTAGAAATCCGGAGTCCATTCCTGATGCAGCTGCTGACTTCTGGTTTCCTTATTTGGCCCTGTCTTTCAATGATGATAATCCTACACCTTTTTTAATGGGAGTGATCTGAGTGGTTAAGCTAATGGGTGTGTAGTTAAGAGCTGGTCACCTGGAGTCCTATAGACTCAGGGTCAAATCCAAGCTCAGTGACACTTGGGCAGGCTACTTAATGTTCTCTAGATCTGTTTCTTTATCTGTAAGATGGGGTCAGTAATAATCAACACCCATGGGGTGGCTGCCAAAATCCAGCGAGTTTACACCGCAGGTGCTTAGACCATTGCCTCATACATGAAAAGAGCCCCCAACTTGTTATGACTCTTATTATTAGTGTCATCATCACCCATGACCTGTCTTTGGGGCCTGGCCTCAGAGGTGCTCACCGTTGGTGGTGTTCAGTTTTCATGGCTCTCCACATCTCCTGCTCTGTTCCCATGGTGGTTGCTCTGTGTCATTCTGTGACGTTTTGGGAGGAGGGTCTCCCCCGCTTGCCCCTGCCCCCGGTGACATTGATTGGTCTTCCTGGGGAATCAGGCCTGTTACATCGTCTGCTTATCTCCATGCCTCTTTCTATAGACATATTGCTCCTGAGCCATGTTGAGCATCTCACTGGGAAGAAGATTGGTGGTTTTACACCACCAGCTGCTGTCATTCACTAAGTCCCTACTTTGTGCCAACATTTTACATTAGCACTAAGCTACACCGTAGCCTCAGAATGTAAGGACTAGGATACACATTCTACAGATGTGTAAACTGAGGCTCAGAAATTTACTAACTGGGTGGGACTATATGAACCTGCCATTTTTGTAGGTGAAAATTGCAGCATATTGGCAATTTCATTCGGTATTTTTTTCATACAACATAATTGTTTTTCCACAAAATTTAGAAAAAAATGGCCTCAAGGAAGTTTTCTTATTTCTTCTAACCAAACTGTTACCTAAAAGGATGCATTAAAAAAAAATAAGTTGGGGTCATGCACTGTTCCAAGCACTTCACGTGTAACTCACTCAATCCTCATGACAACCTTACGAGGTAGATGGGATTTTTATTATCCTCGTTTTGCAGAGTGGGAAACTGAGGCACACAGATGTTAAGTAGCTTGTCTGAGTCCACACACCTGGGAGATGGCTGAGACAAGAGTTTGGACACACACAGTTTGGGCCCGGGTCCGAGCGCCTAGCCTCCGCCTATACTAGTCCGTTGAATCTTGGTTAGGATAAGTCCCCCCGTTTTTTTTTTTTTTTTTGAGTGAACGGGATTTTCGGTGTTGCAGAACTCGATGAGTGGGGGAAGGAAGGGCCCAGCGTCACTGAGCTCCTCTGTGAGTCTGTGCGTGGCGCTCCTCTTCTGTCTTTGCAGCAGCCTTGGGACGGACGTAACGGCAACCCCGTTTTCCAGGTGAGGATAACCAGACTGGGAGAGGGTAAGGAGGTCACAGCTCCAAAAAGCGGCACGGCTGGGGTTTGAGGCTGTGCCTGACTGTGAAGCTGGCTCTCCTTATCCGTGGCGCTTCCTCCCTCTCCGCACGCAGTGGAGGTGCTGCTGGGACTGTCCTTGAGTCTAGCAGATGCGTCAGCCTCTTTACTTCCTCCCAGAAAGTCGACCTCCTGTGCTCGCTCTGTGGAGATCAGGCACCGGCCACTGTGCGCTGATCCCAGCTCACAGGGATGCAAATGCCTTTCAGATTTGGGCTGGGGTCACCAACAGGGTCTTCTTTCAATGATTCGATCACCACGGATGGGAACAAAAATGCCTTGTTAGGATGTGAACCCTCTCGGTTTATATTTGTCTCAGGTCATTTACATGAGTGAAAAGGACTGGCTCTGACCTGGCCCTTGGATGCTCCCTTCTAATCCCCATTAATATTGTATAAAGGTTTCTAATACCCAGAGAGATTTCTCACACAGGAGACAATGGCAAGCAGCAGCGACTTATCTTCCCCACCCCGCCCGCCCCCCCGTCACATGTCTGACGAACAAGGGGGAGGTCTGGATGAAAGGACGCTCTGCTTCTCAGGTCACACAGCGTTATGGCAAGCTGCTAGCAAGAAGAATATTGTTAAAATGCTGATCTATAGTATTTATTAAATTTTAATTCAAATTTTTATTTCGAGATAATGGTATATTTACATGCACTCATAAGAAATAATACAGAGGTCTCATGTACCATATACTCAGTTTCTCCCAATGATAACATTTTGCAAAACTATCATACACTATGGCAACATTGATACAGTCAAGATACAGAATAGTTCCACCCTGATAAAAACCCCTCATGTTGCTCTTTTATTTATTTTTTATTTTTTTGAGTTGGGGTCTCATTGTGTTGCCCAGGCTGAAATTCAGTAGCGTGATTATAGCTCACTGCAGCCTCGAACTGTCATGCCTGGCTAATTAAAAACATTATTTTGGTAGAGATGGGGTCTCACTTTGTTGCCCAGGCTGGTCTTGAACTCCTGGCCTCAAGTGATCCTCCTGCCTTCGCCTCCCAAAGCACTGGGATTACAGATGTGAGCCACCACGCCTGGCCTGTACTGCCCTTTTATAGCTGTGGTTAATTCTCTTTCCCACCCCTGGCAATTGGTGATCTGTTCTCTATCTCTATAATTTTGTCAATTCAAAAATATCATATAGATGGAATTATATAGTATGTGACCTTTTGAGGTTGACTTTTCTTTTTTCCTACTCATTGTAATTCTCTGGAACTTCATCGAGGTTGTTTTAAGTATCAGTGGTTCATTCCTTTTTATTGCTGAATTGTCTTTCATGATATTGATGGACCACAGTCTGTTGAACCATGAACTTGTTGAAGGATATCTGAGTTGTTTCCAGTTTTTGGCTCTTATGAATAAAGCTGATATGAACACTTGTGTACAGGTTTTTGTGTAAACATATGTTGTAATTTCTATGGGATAAATATCCAAGAGTGCAATTGCTGGGTCTTATTTTAGTTGTATTTTTAATTTTGTAAGAAACTATAAAAGAGTTTTCCAAAGTGACTGTACCATTTCACACTCCCACCAGCAATGTGTGAGGATCCAGCTTCTCTTTGTCCTTGCCAGCATTTGATGGTGTCACTGTTTTTTATTTTAGCTGTTATGATAGATGCATAGTGATGTCATATTGTGGTTTTAATTTGTATTTTCCTATTGAGTAATGACACTGAACATCTTTTCGTGACTTATTTGCCATCTGTATATCCTCTTCAGTAAAACATCTCTTCATGTCTTTCGCCCATTTTCTAATTCACTTCTTTTGCTTTGTTATACTATTGAGTGTTGAAAGTTTTAAAATATATATATTCTAAGTACTAGTCCTTTGTTGTATATGTGGTTTGCAAACATTTTCTTCCATTCTTTAGTTTGTCTTTTCATCCTCTTAACAGGGTCTTTTGCAGAGCAAAACTTTTTTTTTTTTTTTTTTTTTTTTTTTTTTTTTTTTTTTTTAAAGACAGAGTCTCACTGTGTCACCCAGGCTGGAATGCAGTGTCATGAACACGGCTCACTGCAGCCTCGACCTCCTGGCAGAGCAAAACATTTTAATTTTTATGAAGTCCAATGTATCCACTTTTTATTTTATGGATTGTACTTTTGATGTCAAATTTTAAAACTCCTTAGGCCTAGATCATAAAAAATTTGTTTTTTCCAGAAGTGTTATAGTTTTATGTTTTATGTGTAGGTCTATGATCCTTTATGAGTTAATTTTTGTAAAAGGTTTAGGTTTTGTAAAAGGTTTAGGTCAAGGTTCATTTCTTTGCCTGTAGATACCCAGTTGTTCCAGCACCATTTATTGAAAAAGCTGTCTCTCCTACAATGGATTGCCTTTGCATTTATTTATTTTAAGATTTTAAGAATTCCTGCTTTTTATTACCAAGTCAAATATATAGGGACACAACAGTACCTAAAGTTTGCATAATAAATTATGATATTCACCGATGTTCACATAGCTAATTCTAGGCTTCAAGAGGACCACAAAGAGTGTTCAGCTTCGGGACACCGTGAGTCAGAACTGGGGGGCAGTGAGGTGGGGACGTGGGTCAGGGGACAGCCAAGCTGGCCAGGTGATGGGAGTCTGAGTTCCTATGCAGTTTTGCTGCTGGGCAGCTGGGCAGCCTGCCTGCCTGGGGAGAGGGTGGTGACACTTGGCGTCCTGGGCTGATCTGGGGCACACTGACCCACGGGTGGAGCTGACCTTGTGGTAGGCACGGGCATGACTGGGCTGGGTGCCCGTTTTGTCTCCTCTGTCAGCTGCAGACTCACCGAAACTGCTGACTGATTTCAGTTGTCAGCCCCTGTGACATCTCTCCCAGCCCCAAATGTGGCGTGCAGCTGCTGGCTGCTTAAAAACCTATGCAGAGAACATGTGGAACTCAAGTGCTATTTTGGAAGTGTGGGTTTTCATTTTAAAAAATGGTTATGATTTTAAAATGCTTAATTACACAAACATGTTCCTGGTGGTGGGGGGGTGGAACATAAAAAGCACAGATAAGCAACATGTATCTGCAATCCCCATAAACACAGAATTATTATTAATTGTGGAAGGCAGATTGTCTTTTTTGTTTATTTCATTCCAAAACTCCATTCTTACTCCAGTTGGGTCATGAAGACACAAAGCTGGTTTGGAAAAAAGGAAATGTCTTTTCAATGGCTGAATCTGGAGAGAATGTTTGACACTGCTAACCATGCTGCAAATGAGGTCTTTGTGTGTGGGTGCAGGGGTCAGCCTGGGAAACAGCAACAGCAAGGGGTGGGCACACACAGGCCGGCTGCAGCCAGTGCTACGAGAATGATCTTTTGTTTCCGCTGGTCAGCCGTTCAGGATGAAGGCTGAAAACATCAAAGACATGTCTAAACACTGTTATCTGGCCATGTCCTTTGCCCTGACTGTGTAAGGGGTCTCTCTCCATGGGGAATAGAGCCCTGAGCTTAGCTTCTACTGTGCTGTTAATTTCAGGCAAGAGCAGATCAATAATATTTGCATTAGCTACTTACATCAGTCTCTTTTGTTCTGAGGAAAATTTGTTGATTTATTTATCTGATGAAAGTAATTAAAAATCACTTTCTTTACATCTCAAAAATTACATGTGTTAATTGCAGAAAACTTATAAAGCATGGAAGAATACAAAACAAAAACAAATTCCTCTACCTGGACATGACTGTTGTTAGCATTTTGGGAGATTCTTCATATCCTTTTAATGTAGATATGCACATTTTACAAAAAAGGCTATCATATTGTACATATAACTTTGCTGTAGGTCTGCTAGGAACCTGTACCCATGTCATTACTGTAAGCATTCTACTACTCAAATTTTAGTATCTGCAGATATCAGATATCCTTTTACATAATTTCTTTATATTATAGAATTGTTGCTTTAAAAAAATTGAAATGGTATTGTTGCCCTTTCTGATTAGTAAAGTATACTTTTTTTTTTTTGAGGCGGAGTCTCACTCTGTCACCCAGGCTGGAATGCAGTGGTGTCATCTCAGCTCACTGCAACCTCTGCCTCCCGGGTTCGAGCAATTCTCCTGCTTCAGCCTCCTGAGTAGCTGGGATTACAGGCATGCACCACCATGCCTGGCTAGTTTTTTAAAACTTTTATTTATTTATTTATTTGAGACGGAGTCTCACGCTGTTGCCCAGGCTGGAGTGCAGTGGTGTGATCTCGGCTTACCGCAACCTCCACCTCCCGAGTTCAAGTGATTCTCCTGCCTCAGCCTCCTGAGTAGCTGGGATTACAGGCGTGTGCCACTACGCCTGGCTAATTTTTATATTTTTAGTAGAGATGGGGTTTCACCATGTTGGCCAGGCTATTGAACTCCTGACCTCAGGTGATCTGCTCGCCTCGGACTCCCAAAGTGCTGGGATTACCGGCGTAAGCCACTGTGCCTGGCCATTTTTTTTTTTTTTTTTGATTTTTAATAGAGACAGGGTTTCACCATGTTGGCTAGGCTGGTCTCGAACTCCTGACCTCAAGTGATCCACTCGCCTTGGCATCCCAGCTGGGATTACATGCATGAGCCATTGGGCTGGCCCCAATTAGTAAAGTATTCTTATTGCAGCAACAAAAATGTTGCAAATAAAATTACCTACTTGATTTACAGGAAAGGCTTAAATGTATCCTTCAAGTAACGGACTGTTACTTACTAGGGAAGATGGTTTCAGCAGTTGGGAAAGCGGAACCACAGAGCTTTACTCAGTTTTCATAAGCAAATAATGGGGACTTTACATATTGACAGCAGGGAATGGTAAGATTCCCAACCAACTGCGGCATTTCTGTGAGAGCAAGTCAGAGTAAGAGGAATGGCAGAAGAAACGAAACAGAAAGTGGAGAGAGTGACAGGCAAACTGCAGTTGGGTTAAATGAGATATGAGAAAGGTTAGCAGTTCAGGAGACACCATTTCACTCCCCAGTTCAAGCTATGATGTGACTTTAATGTGGTACAGAGCCAGGGTCCCTTCTCAGGGTCTTACATGAGGTAGTGACAAGCTCTGTCTTTCCTCCACTGCCCAGTCCCTTGAGGGTAGGAATCAGGGATCCATCATCTGGGCACCCATGGGACCTGAACTGAGTACTGCAGCTTCGGCCAGTGAACACATTCAGTTTTTTTTCCTGGAGGGACACTCTTTAATCAGCTGTGTTCCCTACTGACTTTGCATTTATCAATGTCATGTCATAGGTATTTTGAGTACATCGAAGCAGTGGTGGTGGGGAGCTGAGAGGCAGAAGGGTGGGCCTGAGAGGGCAGGTGGGATTCTTGATCCTGAAATGTTTTAGACACATTTGCTGCAGATCTCCGAGTTACCATGACCCAGCTCATTAAAGACAGAAGGTGCTGCGTTTTTTTGAGATGGAATCTCTCTCTGTTGCCCTGGCTGGAGTGCAGTGGTGCGATCTTGGCTCACTGTAACCTCTGCCTCCCAGGTTCAAGCGATTGTCCTGCCTCAGCCTCCCAAATAGCTGGGACTACAGGCACGTGCCACCATGCCCGGCTAATTTTTGTATTTTTAGTAGAGACGGCGTTTCACTTTGTTGGCCAGGCTGGTCTCGAACTCCTGACCTCAGGTGATACACCTGCCTTGGCCTCCTAAACTGCTGGTATTACAGACATGAGCCACTGCACCTGGCCAAGGTGCTGTTTTTATATGCTGTTTTGTATCTTTTAGGAAGATAATTTCAAGATGTGTCCAACCTCAAACACATGTGAAGTGCCTACTTCCTGCAAAGTCCTTGCTATGTTTTGTTAATTTTCAAGTATCGTACTCAGAGTTCCCTTTTTATTTATGTTTGTGCGGAACTGATTTCTTACTTATTAGAGCCTGGATTTCCTGTTTTTTTTTGTTTTTTTTTTTTTTTTTTTTTTTTTTTTGAGATGGAGTTTTGCTCTTGTTGCCCAGGCTGGAGTGCAATGGTGCGATCTCGGCTCACTGCAACCTCCACCTCCCGGGTTCAAGCGGTTCTCCTGCCTCAGCCTCCTGAGTAGCTGGGATTACAGGCATGCACCACCACACCTGGCTAATTTTTGTATTATTAGTAGAGACGGCGTTTCACCATGTTGGCCAGGCTGGTCTCGAACTCTTGACCTCAGGTGATCCTCCTGCCTGGGCCTCCCAAAGTTCTGGGATCGCAGGCATGAACCACCACGCCTGGCCCTCTTTTTTTTTTTTTTTTCCTGAGACAGGGTCTCAGTCTGTTGCCTAGGCTGGAGTGCAGTGGTATGGTAACAGCTCACTGCAGCCTCGACTTCCCTGGCTCAAGCAATCCTCTCACCTCTGCCTCCTCAGGAGTTGTTACTACAGGCATGCACCACCAGACCTGGCTAATTTTTTTTTTTTTTTGTAGAAATAGGGTCTCGCCATGTTGCCCAGGCTGGTCTTGAACTCCTGGGCTTAAGGGATCTGCCTGCTTTGGCCTCCCAAAGTGCTGGGATTCCAGGCATGAGCCACTGTGTCTGGCCGGATTTCTTCTTCAGTTTACAGAACTAGTGCAATTTGGGGTTTTCCTCAGTTCATATATTTGCTCCTTTAGTAGTTTATCTTTATTTGGATAAACTACTAAAGGAGCAAATAACTACAAGACAGTTTAACTTGCAAGGAGGAAGATAAACTTTTATCTTTATTATCTATTTATATACAAATATGATGAAAATATTTATTGACCTCAGATATTGTACCAAGTACTTTATATGTGCCTACATCTATTTTATATGTTATCTGGAGCACTTCATATAGTGATGTCACAGGTGGAAGGATTACATCATTTAACTGTGTTAACAAGTCCAGGAGGTGAGTTTTGTTGCTGTCTCATGGTTGAGGAATGGGAGCTTAGAAAGCCTCAGTGACAAGGCCACACAGACAGGAAGGGGTGGAATTGAGATTCATACGAAGTCCATCCGACCTCCAGGCTGTGTTGTTGCTATGGGGCTTCATGGCTCATGTTGGAAAGGAGAAAGGGAGGCTGCTGCAGAGGTGCCTGGTAAAAGTGACTTTCAGAGGGCAAGGAGACCAATGTTCTAGTTGTGTGGGGCTAGCAGAAATCACTCTCATCTTATTTCCCCACCTGGCTTGGCTGTTGTACATGGCCCCAGACAGTAAAAAGAAAGAAACGTTCCTGATGAGGGGAAGTCCCCTTTTCTCCTCCCTCATCCCAGAGGGACAATTCTCATGAGTGTGGCATGGCTTGTTTCTGCCCAGATTTTCACACGTTTATTACATAAATCTGTATCTATTGCTTCGAGTGCTTACATTTTTTGGGTTGTAAATGGCATTGTTCATATTCACATTATTGATGTAGTTCATTTTAGCTAATCTTTGGTATTTGGTAGTGTGAATATATATCACTGTTTTCTCTTTCTCCCTCTAATGGTAGACATTTTCATTGTTTCCTTTTTTATAATATTATGACAAATGTTGCTCTGATCATCCTTTTGTATCTCTTCGTGTCTCAGTAGGGGAGTTTCTAGGAGCGGAATTGCTAGGTTACGTGGTATGTGCACTTCCACTTTGTGTAGGCACTGCCAAATTGCTCGCTAGCGTGGCCAGACTAATTTACATGTCCAGTGGTGGCAGATGAGTGCTTCTTTCCTCACATTTTTGCCAACACCAAATATTGTTGGGCTTCTTAATTTTGGCCACTTTCCGAGTGTGGAATGATGATTCGAGCTTTGATTGCTGATGAGATTGCTCACGTCTGGTTATCTTAGGGTTAGCAGAGCAAGATAACCTTCCTGTTTATTGCATATTACATATTCTGACTTTAACAGGTTTTCCACAATATTCAGCATTCCAGTAATTCCCCCTTGTCCATGGGATATATGTTCCAAGATTCCTAGTGGGTGCCTGAAACCATGGCTAGTACTGGACTATATATATATTGTGTTTCTTCGTATACATACACACCTATGATAAAGTTTAAGTTATAAATTAGGCTCAGTAAAGTATTAATAATAATAACTAATAATAAAATAGAACAATTATAGCAATATACTGTAATAAAAGTTAAGTGAATGTGGTTTCTCTCCTTCTGTCTCTTACTGTACTGTACTCACCCTTCTTCTTGTGATCTGCTGATATGAGAACTGAGATGGGTCATAAGTGACTAGTGGTCATGGGTGGGTGGTGTCCACACTGTGGACACTCTGGACAAAGGAGATTTACGTCCTGGATGGGATGGAGTGAGAAGGTGGGAGATTTCATCATGCTGCTAAGAATGGCATGCAATTTAAAATGTATGACTTATTTTTGGAATTTTTCATTTAGTAGTTTCAGACCTTGGAAAACTGAAACCATGAAAAGTGAAACTGTGGATGAGGGTCTTCAAAGCGATTTTTTAATAGAGATATAATTCACATAACAGAAAACTCACTATGTTGAAGCGATTTTTAGTAGATTTACAAAGTTATGCCACCACCTCCATGAATTCCAAAATATTTCCACTACCCAAAAAGAAATCCTGCATCTATGAGCGAGTAGTCTCCATTCCTTCCTTGCTTGGAAACCACGAATCTACTTTCTGTCTCTATGGATTTTGCTTATTTTGGACATTTTGCATATTTGTGTGTGGGTTCTTTCACCTAGTGTAATGTTTTCAAGTTTCATCCATGTTGTAGCATGTAATAGCACTTTATTCCTTTTACTGGCTGAATAACATTCCATTGTATGGATAGATCACATTTTGTTTATCCAAACATTGCTTGATTGCTTATTTCTACTTGTTGGCCATTATGAATAATTCGACATTACTTTTTGTTTTCATTCCTACACTATTCATTGAGCCCTTTCTTGTGCCAGACACAGCACTTTGGGCCACCTTATTGGCTCTGAGTAACAACTGCCTTGCAAGATAGGTGTGATCACATTCTTTTCATTTAATTTAATTTTATTTTTTGAGATAGAGTCTTGCTCTGTTGCCAGGCTGGAGTGCAGTGACGCCATCTCAGCTCACTGCATCCTCCATCTCCCAGGTTCAAGTGATTCTCTTGCCTCAGCCTCCTAAGTAGTTGGGACTACAGGAGCATGCAACCATGCCCAGCTAATTTTTGCATTTTTAGTAGAGACGGGGTTTCACCATGTTGGCCAGGCTGGTCTTGAACTCCTAACCTCAAGTGATCCACCTGCCTCGGCCTCCCAAAGTGCTGGGATTAAGGCATGAGCCACCGTGCCTGGCAGGTGTCATCACATTCTACCGAGATGGGGACTGCGGCGAGGGGAGTGTAAGTCAGTTTCCCAGCCTGCACTTGATCATGCTTCTCCTTTGCTTAAAATGTCTCCTAATGGCTCTGCATGCTCTTGGGGTGGAGAGCACATTCTGTCATGGTGCCTGCCAGCTCCTTCCTGTCTCTCCAGCCACTGGTCCTCTGGACAGAGCTAGAGTCTTTCACACAAGCAGTTCTCTCCAGCTCTTCTATACTTCCCTGAGAGTTTGTCCCACATCCTCAGGGATGTGAGGAATTCAATAATAATAAATCATTAAATTATAAAAACAATGAAAGTGTTCAGGCTGGGTACAGTGGCTAACGCCTGTAACCCCATGCTTTGGGAGGCCAAGGCAGGAGGATCACCTGAGGTCAGGAGTTTGAGACCAGCCTGGCCAACATAGGGATACCTGGTCTTTACAAAAAATAAAAACAAAAAATTAGCCGGGCGTGGTGATGGGTACTTGTAGTACCAACTACTGGGGAGGCTGAGATGGGAGGATTGCTTGAGCCCAGGAGAACGAGGGTGCAGTGAGCTGTGATCACACCACTGCACTCCAGCCTGGGAAACAGAGCAAGACCCTGTTTTGGGAAAAAAAAAAGTGTTCAAACTAACTTGTAAACGGACTTTGGAAGTAAAGCAGTAGTAAGGCATGCTGTAAATAAATATTAAATCAGGAAAAAGGATAATGTTTAACATCGGCGAACTCTCAGTTGTGATGCAGGGTGCAGAGAGGCAGAGCAATTTACTAATGGTTCTACAGTGAAGGAGCGACAGGGCTGGGTATCAAAGCCTGTTGCGTTTGTTTATTGCTACAACAAATATTTATTGAGCACCTGCAGTATGTCAGGCACCAAGAACAGACCTGTGAGCCCAGTGCACATGGTCCCCGTGCTCACGGGCCTAACATTCTCTGTGGTCTGGGAGTAATGTTTCTAGTCACAGCAAATCATCTCATGTGTTCTTGGTTGAGTATAGATGCTGGAATTTCCTGTCCTTGAGAAGCGTGGTTTGGTAATGTGCCAACAGGTAGTTACCATGCAGCTGAGCCAGGGTCAAATGGTTTATCTGGGGACTGGGCTTGTGGCCATAGCCTGAGGGGAACCAGTGACACCTTTTCTTCAGGGAGGCCAATGGTAAGAGCACCTGAGGCCCAGGAATCAGAGCTTCTCTCCCCATGATCTCCTTGGCAGGCCTTAGCATACCCAGACCAGTGGGCATTTTGTTCATTAGGTGATGAGAAACCTAGGTGGCCAGGGGAAAAGAGTGGAGATTTAGTTGGTGTATTTATTATTTTCTATTAGACCATCTGCCTTTGGAGTTGGTTAGGAATTAGAGGTGGATTTCCCCAAATTAGTTAGAAATGATCATACAGTCCCGTCTTCCCTTCCTTCATGTCTTGAAAGTTCATTATGCTAAAATGTGATGTGTGCTAGGGATGAGATCATGGAAGCTTGGGGAGGCTTGGGAACTGGCAGAATGACCAGAGTTGGAGCAGCAGAGCAGCGTGGAACCCTGAGCTCTGGACTCTCCATCCTGGGGAGGAGCCAACTTCCAGTCCCTGATACTGCACACACACTGCAGTGTGCAGTGGCAGACTGCACTGTACTGTGGATATCACACTTTGTTTTTCAGAACTTTCAGGATCAAGGTTCCACCCACGTTAAATACAACATGTGTTACATCCCTTTATATTTTGTGTGAAGCAATCAAAGAATATTGCTGATTTTGATATAGAATTACAAGATAATCAATAACTTATTATACAAAGAAATTAAAACAGAAATAATCCTTCTCTATATACCAGTTTTCTTGGTAGATGATATCACAAGCATTGGTATTTTTTCATGATTAATTATAGTAATAACAACAGTAACAGGTGGCTCACGCCTGTAATCCCAGCACTCTGGGAGGCCAAGGCAGGCGGATCACCTGAGGTCAGGAGTTTCAGACCAGCCTGGCCAACGTGGCGAAACCCCATCTCTACTAAAAATACAAAACTGAGCCAGGCGTGGTGGCAGGTGCCTATAATCCCAGCTACTCGGGAGGCTGAGGCAGGAGAATTGCTTGAACCCGGGAGGCAGAGGTTATAGTGAGTGGAGATTGCGCCACTGCACTCCAGCCTGGGCAACAGAGCAAGACTCCAAAAAAAAAAAAAAACCATAAACCGAAAAACAATAATGGCAACATAATAATAATAGCATCAAAAGTGGCCCTGTAGTGACTGCCTACTCTGATGCAGGCACTAGATCAGGTAATTTATATTTGGTATCAAGAAACCAAGAGTGAACATGCAAACTGTATTCTGTGTTTTATTAGTTCAGAGACCTTGCCCAGCCCTTGCAGTTCTATCAAATGGGTATTATTTTGACTAACAAGGGAGTCTCCTGGCATGGAGTTGCTGCCTGTCCAGGCGCCAGCCTCCTGCTTCTCAGAGTCCTTCCTGCCCTTGGAGGCTCTGGGTGGAGCTGGTTGCCTGGTGCCCCCAACAGCTGTGTTCATACTGAGTCTGTCCCTCTCTGGTCCCGACTCTACCATGGAGTCCTGAGACCACAGGACTCAGGGAAGCTGTTGCTGCTGTCACCACATAGGCCTTGGAGTGGGTGAGAAGAAAGCTGCCTTTTCCTGAGTTATTTTAACTGAGGATTCTGGACCTTTCTTTAATTCTCTCCATTAACTCATCTAAACAGAGGCTGCATTGTTTACAGTAATATATTGAGGAAATTATCCCAGGAGGGAATTATATGCCAAAAAACATAAAGCCATGTACTAGATATATTGTTTTCAGAGACTTCTAGACAGCTTCTAGTCCATTTCGCCTATGGTAGAGGTTTGCTTTCTTCTTCTTCTGAGAGAAGGAGAAACAGAAAGACAGACAGATAGACACTGAGCTCTTCCAGGCCCTTCAGCCTCTCCCCACTGTGGCCCCAGTCCCATGCCACAGGCCTGCACCCTGGTCCAATTTCTATCCCTAGATCTTCCTTCTCCAGGGGCTCATGGCAGTTGGAATTTCTATTTCCTCCAGGAAAACCCTCCACATTTTACATCCAGGGATTGGCCTCACCCTGCAGCCACCCTCACCATCCTCTGCATCGGGACACATGAGGCTGGCGTTGGAATATTTCCCAGATCCTTCATTTTCCAACAAAGAACAGCGCCCTGCGTGGGTCTTCAGCAGAACGGGCTTTGCACACGCTTTGGCAGCCTCAGGCTGGGCTCCTTTCTGGCTTTCCCCCAGTGTGGCAAAGGTTTGTTTTGCATCCTTCCTGACATCTTTGCCTGGCCACTCCCCTTTTACGTGGCTTGCTGCTTGAACAAGAACGTACATAATCCTCCCAAGAACAAACAGTCATTTTCCAGGACAGTGTAGTCTACACTTGTATTTAGAATGAAACAAAATAAAACAAACATCCTTTTAAAGCCAACATAAACTTTAGAGATTTGGCTTGCACCGTGTTGAAGATTTCTCTTTCTAGATCCACAGCATTTCAAATCATTGTTTGCCAGAATCTCCACCATTATTGCCATTGCCTACCCAAAACGTTCACCGTGGTTGTCTTCCGAAACATGAAGACATCTGAGGCCTAAAGGTGAATCCAAATTTTTCTTTCTCTCTTTTTTTTTTTTTTTTTTCGGGACAGAGTCTCGCTCTGTCGCCCAGGCTGGAGTGCAGTGGCGCGATCTCGGCTCACTGCAAGCTCCGCCTCCCGGGTTCACGCCATTCTCCTGCCTCAGCCTCCCGAGTAGCTGGGACTACAGGCGCCCGCCACCACGCCCGGCTAATTTTTTTGTATTTTTAGTAGAGACGGGGTTTCACCGTGTTAGCCAGGATGGTCTCGATCTCCTGACCTCGTGATCCACCTGCCTTGGCCTCCAAAGTGCTGGGATTACAGGTATGAGCCACCGCGCCCGGCCCCAGATTTTTCTTTCTGTAAGAATTCCCCCTAAGTCCAAAGTGTGCAGGACCATATTCACTTTTTTCTCCTTTTTAAGGCTTTTATCATGGAAAAATTTAAACATACACAAAAGAAAAAGGAATATTTTTATGAGCCCCCATATATATATTTCCCAGATTTAAAAAAATTAGCAACATGTGGGCGATTTTGTTTTATTACACTCTGCACACATTTTTTCTTTGTTAGCTTATTTGAAGCAAATCCCAGGTATATCCTTTCATCCAAAAATGCTTTTATGTGTATCTCTAAAGGTGTTCTCTTTAAAAAAAAAAGTTACCACAATACCGTTATCACACCTAAAAAACATTAACGGTAATTCCTTATTATACCAATTATCCAGTTAATGTTTGCTACGGTTTGAATGTTGGTGTCCTCCTAAAATTTATATGTTGGAGCCTAATCCCCAATGTGATAGTATTCAGAGGTGGGCCTTTAGGAGGGGGTTAGATCATGAAGGCTCTGCCTTCATGAATGGGATTGGCACCCTTAGAAAAGAGGTTCTGAGGGAGCCTGTTTGCCCCTTCCACCATGTGAGGATGCAGTGAGAAGGCCCCATCTTTGAAGCAGAGACGGAGCCCTCACCAGACACTGAGTCTGCTGGTGCCATACCCTTGAACTTCCCAGCCTCCAGAACGTGAGAAATGAATTTCTGTTGTTTATAAATTAGCTGATCTAAGATATTTTGTAAGAGCAGCTCCAATGGGCTAAGACAATTCAATTTCCCCTTATTTCATTAGCATGTTTTTGCAGTTGGTCTGTTTGCTAGAATCAGGATCCAATAAAAAGTCCATGCATTTTGCTTTTTATTGATATGTCTGTTGGGTTTCTTTTGGTTTATAACAGTTTTTTTCTTGCCATTTATTTGTTGAAAACATCCAGTCGCTGTTCCCTTGGAATTCCCTACTTACTGGACTTGGCTGATTGCATCACTGGGCTGTTGTTTAATGTGTATCTTTGTCCCTGTATATTCAGTAAATTAGTAATTTGATATAGGGACTGGATCAGATTCAGATTTAATGTCTGGTGAGAAGATGCCAGAGTGATGGTATGTACCTTATATTGCACCAATGGCAGAATGCAATCTGCTTTTCTCCCTGTGTAATGTTAGTAGTTTCAATAACTATCAGCCTGATCTATCCATCTTAAAATTCCCCCTTCAATCTTTCATCATTGGATTTAGCCACAATTGCCAGTCACTGCTAAGATCCATGATTTCATTAGGGGTTGTAAAATGATGACACCCTAATTTATAATTCCTTCTTCATATATTTGCTGGAATTCTTTTATAAAGACATTTTCCTAATCAACGATTTGGTTACTTGAAAATACAGCTCACACAGGAAAGGTGGGAGGAAGGCTTGGTTCTTTTCCTTTATCCACCAGTTTTCAGGATAATGAGTTCATTTCCTCGCATCCTCCAAAGCTGACCCAGTGTTAGTTTCTTTTTCTTTTTTCAGTATTATGAACATATGGATTTTTTTTTTTTTTTTTTGAGACGGAGTCTTACTCTTGTCACCCAGGCTGGAATGCAGTGGTGCTACTGTGGCTCACTGCAACCTCCGCCTCCTGGGTTCAAGCAGTCCGAGTAGCTGGGATCACAGGTGCCTGTCATCACACCCGGCTATTTTTTGTATTTTTGGTAGAGACAGGGTTTCGCCATGTTGGGCAGGCTGGTCTCGAACTCCTGACCTCAGGTGATCTGCCTATCTCTGCCTCCCAGAGTGCTGGGATTACAGGCATGAGCCACCATGCCTGGCCAATTATGAACGTATGGATTTTTAAAAACACAGTCAGTGTGCCTGATCTGGCAAAGTAATTATTTGTTTTGGTGCTCAAATTGCCCAGCTTTGGCCAGCGCAAACTCTTCACATTGGCTTCTGCAGGGCCAATGGTGAGGGCAGGCATGGGGCGTCAGGCTCACTTCCTCCCAGCAGTCTTCACAAGAACGAAGCTTTTTCCTGGTGAACGGCCATGGGTAGCCAGGCTTGGATGAAAAGATCACTCTGTCCATCATCCAGTAAAGCATTTTTCTAGGGGTCATAGTTTTTCGGGTGCTACACAATCATCCCCATTTTATGGCTGGAGAGCTGGGGCCCAGAGAAGTTACATTTTTCCCCAGATTGCGTAGCCAGGAAAGGCAGAACTAGGAAGACAATTTTTGGCTCCACATCTCTGAGAGTGAATGGGGAGTAAGAATAGAGCAGGGGATGGCATTCTAGGTGGGGTAAACTTTGGGCCAAGGCATGGAGACAAGATGGGAGTGTGAGTTCAGGGAAAGACTGGCTGGAACCAAAGCATATTAGGGGTGGGTGGAGAAGGTAACAGGAACTCCATTTTGGAGAACTTGGATGTCTCCAGATGAGGAAGCAGCGTGCCCTCTGAAGGTGACCCGGTGAGAGGAGGGCGTCTGCGCAGGAGAGCAGCATTCATGTCTCACTGCTCCTCATCCTCATCCAGGAACTCGCCTGCTGCTGAGACCCTGAGCTTAGGGGAATGGGGTTCCTCTGTACTGCACAGTGGGCTTTCATATAGCCCAAAGCAAACACTCAGCCTGTTTGCCCTGTATTTTAGACACCTAGTCTCACTGTGAACTGGGGAGAACAGGGGTCCTGCCTCTAGAGCTGATGTGGGGATTAAGTGAGATGACACACCTCGGATGCCTGGCCCAGCGCTGGTCCGTGGAGGAGACCTTGGTGGGTGTGACTGTTATTACCACCCACCGCCCCTTTCCTCTGACTGTTACTTTGCTGTCTGTGTTCCTGAAAAAAAATCTCGGTCCAGTCTCATTGCTTTCTGTTACTCAGCGATTTCTAGCCTGTAGCGAGTGGAATTCCCAAGGCACTGGCAATGGAGTTATATTCAGAAACAGTGCTGGAAATACATTAAAACAATTGACATGAAATTCACACAACATAAAATTAACCATTTTAAAGTGAACAATTTAGTGGTGTTTAGTACATTGACAATGTTGTGCCACCATCACCTCTAGCAACGCTGTCTTCAAATTCTTTTATTTTCATTTTAAAAAGTTGACCACTAGCTCCTGGGGAGGAATTTGTGTCTTGGGAATCATCATTTAATTTAGTAAAACCTGAAGAGAGAAATTATAATTCTTATGAGGCTGAAGTAGAAAATTTTTTTAAAAAGCAGCTAAGTGCTTTCCTATTAAGTAAAAATTCACTTAACAAATATTTATTGAGTGCTTACTATGTGCTATGCCCTGTGTATTTAGTAATGAATGCAACGGGTGTGATTCCTGCAAGGATTTTCCTGGCAACATTGAAGCAAGGGGAAACGTGTGTATTTCCTAAAGCTTTAGAAAAAAATGACTTGTGTGTGTTTAGACCAAGGATTGTTGAAGATTACTCTGTTTTGGTGGAAGGTGCGGTGAGCTTGGCGTGGGTCCCTGGGTTGGGCTGTGTGCTCCACACCCCACCAGCTAGTACAGGAGCTCTTTGCTCAAATCAACCACCAAGCCTCACTTTCCCTGTGTGACAAAGAGGATAAGACCTCTTGTCTCACACGGCTGTTGGAAGGCTCACTGTGCCCAACACATGGCATGTGCTCAGTGACCCTTGTGGGATCTGAAGAATCCTAAGAAAAGAATGAGACTTAGGAGACTTTTTACGCAGCTTAAGTAATTTTATGTTTTACTTAGGCGGATATGGCTTAAGACTTATAGACAAAGATAATCAGGTCAAAATGACCTTCTTTCAGTTGTTGGGGCAGTGAGGGTGGAGGAACCGGTGGGCTGGAAAGAAAGAGTTATGGATTCTTTCAACACACTGTCCGTCCGCCTGGGAATGGAGATTTTGATAAAGATGAAACTTCTCTGTTCTGGAGCTGAAGCGCAAAGCTTAAAAAAATGGACTTAATTGGGTCTGATTGTTTTCCTATTTGTATTCATAACGAAGACTATGTAAGCAGGTCTGCTACGGTTCTAGAATGCCCCGAGGATGAATCAAATCTGTCTATCCTCTTTATTTTCCCACATAAGGACATTTTTCAGCTGTCCTGGAAGTCTGTTAGGGACTCGCAGCTCATATCCCTGACAGAGGCGGGTGGGCGTCTCTCCCTTGTCCTTGTGTGGGAACAGTAAGGATGTGTATGTCACCCTCATGGATTTCAATCCCAGAATCAAAGGATGGGCATCTCAGGGAAGGAAGTTCGAAGCAGCTCAGGGTCACGGTAATTAATTTATCCGGGAGCAACACTCAAGATCTTTGCCACAAATTAGATTCTCTTAGTCTAGCCCAGTATGGGGTTTATAGGGAAGCTCTTAGTCATCCTTCAAGGCCTACTTCTTTCAGGAAGCCTTCCCTGATCTCCTTAGCTGGTAGAATTTTCTCCCTTTTCTGAAACTCTATAGTCCTGGCTTGGAGATTTATTTTGACTTGCCAGAAACTTAAATTAGCAGCAACACGCAATTTCCTGATCATTCTAGTTAATTGATGGTTTTCGGTCTTGCTTTAAAAAAAAAAAGAACTGTGGCTTCCTTGTAATAACTCACATTTATTTAGTCCCCAGGGTGTATGAAGTGCTCTTCCAGGCCTGGTCCTTCTTGGTACCGATATTGCCATATTGGCTGGACATCCTGGCTTGGTAGGATGCACTCACATGGGCTGTAGTAATACTGGTATCACCAGCATAACTTGTGGTTCTTCAGCCAGTAATTTCTGAGTAATAATCTGTGGCAGGTACTGAGCTAGGCTTCCGGGTTGTAGAGCTGCCTAAGTCCTGGCCGCTGCCCTTAGGAGCTCACATCCTAAGAGGGGAGGATGAAGATTAATCTCCTACTCACTGCAACAGAATAGGAGCTGGATCAGTGCAGAGAGGATGGGGATGGGTGGAGAAGGAATATTTTTGACTGGGAGACTGGACCAGATGGGATAGAGTTGAATCTACATGACAAAAGGCAATGGAAAAGAAATGGTGTCTCCAAATCCCAGGAAGCAGGAAATAGGCGATTAACATTGAGAGCCAAATGTGTGTGTGCCAGATATGGTGCTGGCTTATTTACATAGAGTTCTCATTCAGTCTTTTAAACAACACTGCTCTGTACGTATTACCATGTTACCTACGTAAATATGGAAAAAGTGAGAGTCAGAGAAAATCAGTTATGTTCCAAGTTTGCTATTGCATTGTTGAACTTGGGATTCACCAGTTGGAGACTCTGACTCCAGATCCTACACCCTTTTCACTACACCCCTTTGCCAACATCCACTACCATGCCACACCATGTTTCCATGATCAGATGTCAGTGTTGTGTCCTCAGATGTATGTACTATGTAACTGCTGTCTTGGGGAGAAGTTTGACCCTCAGCAATGTTTGTCAAGCCAAAGAGGAGGGGTGTTGATTACAGAGGACTCTTTAGAGGGAAAGAACTGGAATGAACTTTGGAGGTTTCAGTTGGGCCAAAGGAATGCCACTGCAGGTTTGGGAAGGCACATGCTGAACCCAGTGCCAAGAGATCCTTTGCATCTTTTGGGGCTCAGTCTGCACAACCCCTCTGTGCTCAGTCCATTGCTCTCTCCTCTTTGTTATAGCATTTATCATGTATTGGCTTAGGAATATGGCATTTCCCCCTACTAGGTTGTGAGTCCCTCTGAAGTTGAGAGCAGGCATCAGTCATCTCTGTATGCCCAGTGCTTAGTGCTGTGCTTGGCACAGAGTGGGCACTTAAGAGCTATTAGTTGAATCCATCCGTCCACACATGTATCCATCTTCCCATCTCTTCCTCCACTATCCATCCATCCATCCATCCATCCATCCGCGCATGTGTCCATCCTCTCATCTCTTCCCCCACCTGACCATCTATCTATCCATCCATCCATCCATCCACACATGTATCCATCCTCTCATCTCTTCCCCCACCTGCCCATCTATCCATCCTTCCATCCATCCATCCATCCATCCATCCACCCACCCCCCATCCGTCCATCTATCCATCCATCCATCCATCCATCCATCCGTTCATGCACGCACCCACTCACTCATTCAGTCTTTCAGTAGGTGTTCTCTGAACAGTACAACATACCAGGTATTATGGCCAGTGCAGAGGGAACAGAGATTGAATTGGATAGAGATGATGTGCTCAAAGAACAGAGTCTAGGCGTAGTGAGAGGAAAATGTGCTAAGTAGGAAAGAATGAATTAATGAAAATGTCATTAACTGCAAGCCTGAGGCTCTCCAAGAAGAAATTAGGTTGTTATTGTTGTGTTTTTTAAAAGTCTTGAATAATGTAGACGTGAGTGAGGCAACCTCCCACTCTGTCTTTTTCCATTGTGTTTCTGCCCCTCCGAGGTTTTCTCTGGCACCATCTGGCTGCTTCCTCTGCTGGAAGCCCTGTGAGATGTGAGGCTCTCCCTGGGAGCCTGAGGGCGGGGGGAGGGCAGGGGCACTGACCTGGTGGCTTCAAGGTGGTCACAACCCCGTCCCCTCCTGTGTCTCCCAGGAGGAATGCTGCCTAAAAGGGCAGAGCAGATGTTCTCAGGCCAGAGTGATCCTTCATCAGCCCCTCCTCCGGGAACAGGAGGTGACAGCATATTTCTCTGAGAGCAAAGGCTAAAATCCTCTGGCATTCTTCTTAATTCAGTCTAGTAGGGTTTTGTGAAACACTTCAGACTCCTAGGGGTAGAGTAAATTCTTTCACCTACTCCAGGCTTTGTGCTTAGAGGCCCATGTGGAGCTCCTTAGGGAGGCAGATTTAGCCAGGCAAGACAGCACTTCGGGCATGCCGCAGAAACACAACCAGAGAAAAGCTCATTAGAGCTCAGTGGCTTATTTTCAAACTGACTTGGCAAATCCAGAATCTGGGCATTGAAAGTGAAAATGTGTAGATGGCCTCTGTGGCGGGACATGGTGGATGTCACATGAACCATAGGAAGAAGTGCTGTCTGTCTCACACCCGATCTTTAGACTTGGACATCACTCTGCTTGCTGGAGGTCCTCCCAGAGCATCACGTCCAAAATGAACCCAGCTTTTTCTCCTTAGTCCAGTTTCTCCTCAACTCTTTGATGCCATCTACCAAGACTTGGGTATCTTTCACTGCCTCCAAAACCAGGTAATTACCAAGTGCTGTAGATTTTCCTGCAGGTGTGTGTGTGTGTGTGTGTGTGTGTGTGTGTGTGTGCACGCAATCTGTTCTCTTCTATCTTGCCCTGACTGCTCTGGTGCCGTCCTCAGCTGGACTGTCATAACTGACTTCTCCCAGGTCTCCACACAGACCAGATTCCCACCAGTGCATCCTCGAATGTCTTCTACAACATAGTCACATCACCCAGGGGCTTCAAACCCTGCAGTGTTTCCATTTGGCCTCGGGAGCTAATAAGTGACTCTTCTCTTCCCCACCCCAAGTCCCAGCTGTAGTTGACGTAGGAGTCAGGCAGATGGAGACCAGAATCTCACCTTTCTTACTAAGGCTGTGGGCCCATGCGGTTGAGGCGTGAGGGCCAAACGGCCTTACCCAAGCTCCCCGCCCCAATTCCTGACTCCCTGCAGGATAGACCTTGGCGCCGTCCATCTAAGGGAAAGACCTGCACCCAAGTTACCTAGGAAGCTGCCACACGCAAGCAAGAAAGAGAGACAAAGTCTCTGTGCTAACAGGCTCTCACTGGATTCATTCTACCTAGTGGAGGAAGGAGGAGCAGCTTCTGTCTCCTACTGAGACAGACTTTTCTCTTCCGTGGGCAGTGGGGTGGCGAGGGCTGTGAGGCGGGGAGCATTGTTTTGGGGAAGCCCTTCCAGGAGCAGAGCAGGGGATTAGGATCCAGTCCAAGCTCCTTAATATGGGACATGGATGATGTGACCACTGCTTATTATTCCAGTGGCTGTCTTTGCCGCTGTGTCTGGAAGGTTCCCTGGTGTGAGCAGTGGCCCCAGGGTCACTTGGATGAGTGAGATTTTGGGTGTAGGCTGGGGTCATGTCCTGTGGACCCCTCCAAGGCCAGGCTGGCCCTCTTCCCTGCTGCCCCCGGCCTCCCTGCCCTTTGCCTTCCAGCAGCACCATCCTGTGTGCCTTGTCTGAGTCGGTGTTGTGCAGTCGCTGCCTGAAGGTGCTGATCCTGCCTTGTGCCATTCGGCTCCCTCCGCTCCAACCCAGGCACCTGCTCTTTGGACTGCCTTTTGTGACCACCTCCTTCCCAGCTGGCTCAGGTGCTTTTCCTTACAAAGAGAAAGGGATCGATGGCTGGACCGACCTGAATGCGCCTGGTCTCAGAAGCTAAGCAGGGTTGGCTTGGTCAGTACTTGGATGGGAGACCACTGGGGAGACCCGGTGCTGTAGACTTGAAAAAAAAAAGAGGAAGGGGCTTGATCTGAAGGTAGATTGATGTTAGCTGTGGGAACAGGGTCTTGGCTATGAGGTGTGGGAGCCAGAGTGATTTTGTGCTAATGAAATTCTTGTTTGTTACATTTCACAACTAGTAGTGAAGCATTTTTTAAATTTTTTTTTTGAGACAGAGTCTCGCTCTGTCGCCCAGGCTGGAGTGCAGTGGTGCCATCTCGGCTCACTGCAAGCTCCGCCTCCCGGGTTCATGCCATTCTCCTGCCTCAGCCTCCCGAGTAGCTGGGACTACAGGTGCCCGCCGCCATGCCCGGCTAATTTTTTTTGTATTTTTAGTAGAGACGGGGTTTCACCGTGTTAGCCAGGATGGTCTCGATCTCCTGACGTCGTGATCCACCTGCCTTGGCCTCCCAAAGTGCTGGGATTATAACAGTGAAGCATCTTTAACAGCAGTTTAAAGATGCTGGTAACTTCACAATACCCGGAGAGTTTTCCAAGGAGTGAGTTTGTTTTTTGTTTCCCCTTGACTGTGGGCATTTTGCCAGAGAGGGTAATTTAGTGCTATTCCTCAAGAGCAAAGGAATAAAGGATACAATAACTAACAAAATGGAATATGCATGCTAATTTTTAGGCAATAGTTTTCTTTTATGGTCTGCAATGGAGTGGACAACCTGCTGAGAGAACTGAGGCCTCCTTCCAGTTGTTTGACGTCAAGGTCAGGAGGAGCATGGAGATCCATTTGGGTGGAATTTATGACTTTGCAATCATTGAAAGTTGAACACATTAAAAAAATTCGTGTATAGGAGAAAGTAGTCATGCTCATTTAAAGGTATTTTGGGCTGTTTGGGTAAGGTGACTGTGTTTTCCTTTCTTTTCAGTAGGAAAAAGTTGCTATTTTTCTCTCTGGAGCTTGTCATTGTATCTCAGACACTGAGTTTTGAGTTCCAGAAACCTAGAGTCAGGGCATCGAATGAGAATGCAGCTTTATCTGTGCACAGGGCTGCTGCTGCTGCAGTGGGCAGGGGGCGGGTAGGGGGTGGGGGTGTGTGGCATGGGCCTGGTTAATGCAGACAGATCCATCCAGTCCTGGCCTCCAGATGCATTTGCAGCATCTCCTTTAATCAAGGTTCAAACCTGCTAAAATGATTTACATTAGATTCTGATGATATTTTGATGTCAATTTGAATAGAACTTGGGCAAGTTCTTCAGGTCTGTAGAGCAGTAGATAGGGCAGTAAAGTGAAATACAAAAAAAAAAAAAAGAAAAAGCGCATATGCATAAAATATAAGCATGTGTCTTTTTAAATGAAAAAATCCCGCCAGGCGAGGTGGCTCACTTCTGTAATCCCAGCACTTTGGGAGGCCGAGGCGGGTGGATCACGAGGTCAGGAGACTGAGACCATCTTGGCTAACATACAGTGAAACTCTGTCTCTACTAAAAATACAAAAAATTAGTTGGGCGTGGTGGTAGGTGCCTGTAGGCCCAGCTACTTGGGAGGCTGAGGCAGGATGGCGTGAACCCAGGAGGCGGAGCTTGCAGTGAGCCGAGATCGCGCCACTGCACTCCAGCCTGGGTGAAAGAATGAGACTCCGTCTCAGAAAAAAAAAAAAAAAAAGGAAAAATCCCCTCGAAAGTCTTATCTTTTTCCTTGGCAGATGTCTTCCAAAAATTGTTTTGACAGAAAGGTACCAATTACTTTCTCTTTTAATCAGACTAGTAGTTTAATAAAATTTAGATAGACATCGTTACCTATACTGTTGGTAATAAGGGCTATCTGGATGTTACTGCTTGTTGGATTATTAAAGGCTGGCATTTTGAACATAGGAAATGACCATCTGTGAGGGTCTTTATTAGGTCTCTGTGAAGTTAGTAAGTCCCCCAGGTATTCTCTGATTATCCTGTAATTTCCTGGTCTTAGCCTTTTCACATCTTATGATTACTTGTTTTGGTTTTTTTTTTTTTTTTTTTTTTTGAGGCAGAGTTTCGCTCTTGTCGCCCAGGCTGGAGCGCAATGGCACGATCTCGGCTCACTGCAACCTCTACCTCCCGGGTTCATGAGATTCTCCTCCCTCAGTCTCCTGAGTAGCTTGGATTACAGGCACCTGCCATCACGCCTGGCTAATTTTTGTGTTTCTTAGTAGAGATGGGGTTTCACCATGTTGCCAGGCTGGTCTCGACCTCTTGACCTCAGGTGATCCACCTGCCTTGGCCTCCCAAAGTGCTGTGATTACAGGCGTGAACCACTGTGCCCAGCCTGATTACTTGCTTAATTATTTAGCCTCTCACCCTCAAGACTAAAGTTCTGTGAGAACATGAAGTGTACTTATCTTGTTCACCATTAAAAAATTAAATGAGGCCAAGCGTGTTGGCTCACGTCTATAATCCCAGCACTTTGGGAGGCTGAACGGGGGTGGACTGCTTGAGCCCAGGAGTTCAAGAGCAGCCTGGGCAACATGGCCAAACCCCATCTCTACAGAAAATACAAAAATTAGCCAGGCATGGTGCCTTGGGTTTGTGGTCCCAGCTACGCAAGAGGCTGAGATGGGAGGATCACTTGAGCCCAGGAGGTCGAGGCTGCAGTGAGCCGTGATTGTACCATGGTACCCCAATCTGGGAGACAGAGTGAGACCCTGTCCCCTGCCACCAAAAAGTTAAATGATTAATTAAGTACTTACCATAATACTCAGCCTTGTTTTAAGCTCTTTTTATAGATTAAGCTCATTTCATCTTTATAGCAAACCTTTGAGATAGAGTATTAGCTTCCTATTGCTGCTGTAACAAATTATCATAGATCTATTGGCTTAAAACAGCACATATTTATTATCTATCTTCCAGTTCTGGAGGCCAGAAGATCGGTTTTGGTCTCACTGGGCTAGATTCATGATGTCAGCAAGGCGGCATTCTTTTCCTGTGGCTCCAGGAGGAATCTGTTTCCTTATTTGGGTTGTTGGCATAATTCAGTTCCCTGTAGGGAAGGCCTATCAGCTGCTGGCCATTCCTAGCTTCTAGAGGCCACTCACATTTCTTGGCTGGAGCTTCCTTTCTTCTACCTTCAAAGCCAACAGGGTTGGTCAAGTCTCTCTCATGCTTTGAATTCCTTCTCCACCCTCTCTCTCCTCTTTCCTTTTCCTCCTTCTTCTTGTATTATCCCTGATTACAGATGGCAAAGTATCTTTCTTTTTAAAGACTCACGTGATTAGATTGTGCTCCCCAGGTAGTCCAGCATTATCTCCGCATCTCAAGGTCTGGAACCTGAATCACATCTGAATCACATCTGCAAAGTGCCATTTCCCACTAAGGTCACATATTGACAGGTGCCGGGCTTTAGGGGGTGGCTGTGTTTGGGGAGCCATTATCCTGCTTTCCATAGGTAGTTACTACCATTCTCTTCCTCTTACAGATGAGGCAGCTGAGGTGCAGAGAGATTAACTAATGTTTTCAAGGTCACACAGTTAGCAGGGGGCGTCTGGGATCCCACTGCGGGCAGTGCTAGAATTCTTATGCCCTCTGCCGTGTGGGCTCCATGGTCTATCAGGACCTGAGCCAGGCATGTATAGGCAACTCAGCACTCACCCAGGGAGGGATGAATTTATGCTGGTCTTTTCTCTTCTTTGTCTTTTTTTTTGAGCGAGGGTCTTACTCTGTTGCCCAGGCTGGAGTGCTCTGGTGTGACCATAGTTCACTGTAGCCTTGACCTCCCTGGGCTCAGGTGATGCCTCCTGCCTCAGCCTCCTGAGTAGCTGGGACCACAGGCATGTGCCACCATACCAAGCTAATTTTTGTATTTTTAGTAGAGATGGGGTGTCACAATGTTGCCCGGGCTGGTCTTGAACTCCTGGGCCCAAGCAATTGGCCTACCCTGGTCTCCTAAAATGCCGAGAGTACAGGCATGAACCATTGTGCCCGGCCTAGTCTCTTTTCTTAGAACAGAAGTGATTGATATTCAAGGATATTAAAAAAATTGGCATGTGTGAATTTCTAAAACTTTTAAAGGATAAAACAATTTGTGTCCCACGTAGATGAATTGCTTTTTAACTTTGCAATTTTTCTTGATTTGGGAAGCTCCCTTGCTATAAACTCGGCTGTTTCACTTCTACTCATCTTGTGCTCCTTAACCCCAGTGAGAGTTCTCTGTCAAATATGAGGCCCAAAAAATCAGCTACGGAGCCTCTCCTTTGTCATCAAAGAACTCATTCCGATTCAAAATAAATTTTAACGTGTAAATAAATCTACTTGAAAATCTTGCAAAATGCTAATAACGCAAACCATTTCTGGTTGGCTACTTTGTGCCGTATTTAGAAATATTCTGAGCCAGTTTTCACCACACTGTAATTATTGCCTCAAAAGACTTTAGTGGGTGGCACTGATGCTCTTCATCTTTGTACAATGTACTCCACTGTACCAGGCCCTGTTCCCACACGTGTCCTGCAGCGATCTGTGGTCTACACGTTGTGATCTCTGCTTTTCTCCCGCTGGGTGTAGTTAATCTCGGCTCTTTAAACTCAAAATACGGAGTTGTCTGCAGGAAGTCTCTGCTTTGTGCCTGGTAGACGAAGAGGAGCACAGATCATCCCCCAGGGGCATCTGTCTATCTGTCTGGCTTTGTCAGGCATTCTGCACAACTCCCAAGTTCCAGGGTTCTGCACATTTGCATTATAAGATTTTCAAGTAGATTTTTTTTTGGGTGTTAACATTAATTCTAAATATGAATGAGTCCCAGGAGAACAATTAAACCCATTTATGCCTAGTGTTCCATTATTGGAACACTAAGTATGTAGGAATTATTTATATCCTACTGCTCAATGTCATTGCCAAGGTCTGATTTTTCACACACGTCTGCAATTCAAAAAATTGCAACCTCCAGCATAAATGGGTTAAAGTAGAGTGTTTTTGCAGCTAATGCTTTTTAAGCCTCTGTATTTGAAAGAGGCTTACTTAGGAAGTTGAACTTGGCTGGGTCTGTCACAACTGTCGCCTGAATACTGGTTTTTGTGCTGGACCCTGCACACTGCTGCAGGACTCGCAGCAGGAACCTACAAATCATGGTCCCTGCCCTCCCGGAGCTTTTGGCTTTGAAGAGGACAGCCACTGAACATGTGGTTCTTACACCCGTGGCAGGTGTGGTTCAACTCCTACTTTAGGGAGTTCAAGTCCAAGGACACATCCGCTCTGTCTGATAAAACACTTCTGATGGGACACAGAATGACACAAGCAGAGGGACCTGGGGAGGCTTCCGCTGGGGAGCATCTTAGCTGTGCAGACTCAGGGATAGCAATGTCATGGGATGTCTGATATATAGATCCCCTTTGCCTGTGCAGGCTTGAAACAAAGGTTTTGTTGTTTTCAGCACATCTCACCAGGATTCCCAAAGTGCCTGTCATCCATCCTGTGCACCTTGTTTGACATCTTCCAGTTAGAAAAATATCATCTTCTTGCAGCACTATTCACAATAGCAAAGATATGGAATCAACCTAGATGCCCATCAGTGGTAGACAGGATGGATAAAGACAGTGTGGTACAGATACACCATGGAATACTATGCAGCCATAAAAAAGAATGAGATCATGTCTTTTGCAGGAACATGGATAGAGCTGGAGGCCATTATCCTTAGCAGACTAACACAGGAACAGAAAACCAAACACTGCAATGTTCTCACTTATAAATGGGAGCTAAATGATGAGAACCAATGGACACACAGGGAGGAACAACAGATACTGGGGCCTACTTGAGAATGGAGAGTGGGAGGAGGGGGAGGATCAGAAAAAATAACTATTGGGTACTAGACTTTGTACCCGGGTGATGAAACAATCTGTGCAAAACCCCCCCCATGACATGAGTTTACCTGTATAACAAACCTGCACACGCACCCTAAACCTAAAATAAAAGTTAAAAAAAGAAAAAATATCATGTTCAGTGGATTCTATGTTTTAATGTCACTTTTATTTTGGAAGCTAATTGCTATTGGTCTTGGGATGCCATGGTAGATGGTCCATAAAACTCTGTTGATTGGTACGGCTTCTGTAACGTGTGTCTTTCCTTGGACGCAGTAAATGGGCATCCTGTCCTCGACACAGAGATCTGCAGAGCTCTTAACTGTCCTTGAGTTCTAAGCTATATTTTGGATAGATGTCTGGTATGCCGAGCAGAAGTCTTAATGTTGTGATTCAAATGAAAACCAGAAAGACGGGAGGACCTGCAAACAACCCTGGTTTTCAGTCTTTCTGATCAGTCTCCTTCCTGTTTTCTTTTCCAGTGATCATAGACAGGCCATGGGAGGCTTTAGCTTCTTTGCCCCCGGCTTACTGTGTTCACAGCCTGTGCAGCTCATGATTTGGGGGTCTCCATCAGTTACCATGGTCTCTGCTCTCTAGATTGGTTCAAAGTGTCTGGCACAGAATGGAACTGCTTTCTAAGCAGATGGTACCCATGAATTCATACTGGGACAGGTCTTTTCTCAGGCTCATTCAGGCTCAGCCCAAGGACTCTTTATTTACAGGAAAGGGATCACAGTGTATCATGTCTGAAGAAATGCACACACGTGCATGCACACTCACACACACACACACACACAGAGTACACATTGCATTTAAATTTGCCAGTGCAAATTTGTACTCCTTGTAATGAAATTATTAAACACTTCAATATAAAATTCATCTTTTTTCTCCCTCCTCTCAGTAGAAGGTGTTAGTTGTAGAAGACAAGTTGGACATTATTGATAAGGCCTGGTGAAGAGGAAAGAGCTTGTTCAACAGTCTGAAGGAGGTGGGCTGGGGCTTCTCATGGCCAGGCCCAGGAGACAGGTTGTAATGCTAAACAGGTTGCAATGCAGTTGCTAATTGACAGCCATTAGGTTGGGTGACATGACAGAGGGAGGTGACATGTCCATGACTCTTGAGGACAGGGCCAAGAGTCATAGGACTGTTTGAGGGTGAAATGAAGTGGCATGTGAAATGCTGGCAAGAGTACCCTCTAAGGGAAATCTGTGTGCCATACTTAGGTGGAAATAGCCACCTCTGCAGGATTGTAAAATAACACTTTGATATTTTTGTGTTTCCCTTGCAGTACCACGTCCTGTCTGAACATCCTCTTCTTCTCAAAAGGTCATCATGACCTTATTGTCTGGGACATATTTGGCCTTGCTCTGTTTTGTTCTTTCGTTACTTTTCATACTGTGCTTTCCAAAACACATCAGTCATCTTCTCTTCACTGGTTGCATGGATGCTGGAGTCTGTGTGGCCTGTGGCAGACAACCCTGTCCATCCCCCCACTTCCTGGCTAGCAGAACTCTGATTTTGTTAGGGATAGCAGAGTACCTGGCTAAAAGCTTGATTTCCTAGGGTCTTTTGGAGTTAAGGTGGCCAAAAAACTAAGTCCTGGCCAATGTTTTGTAAGCAGACATCTATGGGCGGGTCTTCTAGAAACGCTGTTGTTTTTCTGGTAAAGCGGCCGTGTTCTTTTCATCCCTCATGTTTCTCTCTTCTGGTTTGGAAAGCGGACTACACTTGCTGCCTTCCAAAAGGCAGAAGGAGCTTTGATCTTGAAGTCATTGCAGACTTGCTGTTCCATGGGAAGAACAGACCTCTACTGGGTTAAGCCATTGTGGTTGGCTGTGTTACATGCAGCCAAATATGATTATTGATACGTGAGGTGCTTCTCTGAACTCATACTGATATGAGCCAAGCAATTTAAACATGTTTAATGGGGCCTTTAAAATGGCATCCGGGCTGGGCACGGTGGCTCACGCCTGTAATCTCAGCACTTCAGGAGGCCGAAGGGGGTGGATCACTTGAGGTCAGGAGTTCAAGACCAACCTGGCCAACATGGTGAAACCCCATCTCTACTAAAAATATAAAAATTAGCTGGGTGTGTGCCTGTAGTCCCAGCTACTTGGAAGTCTGAGGCAGGAGGATCGCTTGAACCTAGGAAGTGGAGGTTGCCATGAGCTGAAATTGTACCACTGCACTCCAGCCTGGGTGACAGAGGGAGACTCCATCTCAAAAAAAAAAAAAAAAAAAAAGGCATTCAGGTCATATTCTCTTTCCTTTTGCCTGTTTCCTTTTGGAATGACCTACTCTGTTGATTGACTTGGGCCTCAGTTGGCCAAGACATGGGAGGCTATTCTCACACAGAAATTCTACCACTCTTGGTGATAGGGAAGCACTAACTGCAGGGTGTAAGACACCACTCTCCAGGCCAGGACTGCCCTACCCAGAGACAGACCAGCCTGGCAGGATGGAGCATGAGGTCGGGGCTCCAGCAGTCAGAACTTCATATGCCTGGTTCTGAACGACCCATCTAGATTCTCCTGGCCCCGGCTCCATCCTGCTGTGAACTCACCTCCTGCCTGGACTCTCAGCATCATTGCTTTCCCCATGCTCTGCCGTGCCCTGATGGATCCTTTGTTGTAAAGCTTTGGGCTGCGTGGAGTCAAGTGCCTTCTGAATTTAACTTTGCCCGGAGAGTAACTCTGCTGTCATCTGTGGGTGGTGCTTCTAAGGCGTATTTCAGCTTGGCATAGAAGCATCAGACATTTGAGAGGGTTTCATCAAAGGCTTTCTTTTATCAATGCTAACTTAGCTTGTTCTAGTGCAAGAAAAATCCATAGAGGGCTTGAGTTCACGCAGGTTAATTATGGATAGAGCCCTAGTTTTATGAATGGTCTTAAACATTGTCCTTCGTTCTTCTGCACTCATCTTTGCCACATTTCTTTCTTTTTTACATCATACGGCACTTCATGAGACTCTGTGGCTCTAAGCTTTCTTCCTTTATATCACTAGTCCTCTTAGAGGAGAATAAGAGAGGAGCAGAATGTAGTAGAAAGATTATGAGCTTTGGATTTCAGTAAAGCTGTATTAAAATCTCAGCTTAACTACTTACTAGTTATGTGATCTTGGTTACTTAATATCTATAAGCCTTAGTTTTCTCATTAGTAAAACAAGAATTTTAGTGAAGATTAAATAACATTATGTATTCGGTACTAATTGTGATCTTATTCTCTATAGCTACTCATGCCTTCTTCCCATATCTTGTTCTCTGGGGGCAAAAACTTTAAATCCTTTTTTTTTTTTTTTTAGAGAGAGAGTCTCACCCTGTTGCCCAGGCTGGAGTGCAGTGCCGCCATCTTGGCTCACTGCAACCTCTGCCTCCCAGGTTCAAGTGATTCTCCTGCCTCAGCCTCTCGAGCAGCTGGGATTATAGGCACCGGCCACCACGACTGGCCAATTTTTGTATTTTTTTAGTAGAAATGGAGTTTCCCCATGTTGGCCAGGCTGGTTTCAAACTCCTGACCTCAAGTGATCCACCCACCTCAGCCTCCCAAAGCGCTGAGATTATAGGCATGAGCCACCGCTCCCGGCTTCAATCCTTTTAACTGATTCTTTTGGTAATTATCTTGATATTTCTAAATAACATATTTTGCTACTTCTTGATTTTTGAATTTTAGGTAATATTCTTAAGCTTTCTAATATGGAAGATAAGGATGTTGCTCTTTTTCACACATGCCTCATCCTCCCTACACAGACACCCACATCCTGCCCTCCATCCTTCCACTACAGTTATTTATGATTTAGATAGCCCAATTCAATGTATACATCACTATAGTCATGTAAACACTTGGACAGCAGAGCCATGTAGTGTACTACTATTAGTTTTTTGTCCTGAATAGTTTTTTGCTTTCCCTGAAATTAGTCATTGCTTATTTTTTGAATGCACCTATTGCTATCATGCGGTCAAAAAAAATGGGGAAGTGATAAGTGCTACTAGTCATATTATTAGAAAGAAAGAGGCATGTCACTTCTTCAAGGGAAAAGATATTTTCTCATGGCATTAAATTCTCAAAGTAACTTTGGTTGTGGGACCTCATATAAATGATACAGTGGACTTAATTTGTTAGGAAATGCCAAAGCCAATTCCATATGGCTGTTTTCTGTAATGGTTTCAGAAAATAACCAAGGTAATAACATTTCAGTGCAACTTTGGAAAGATAACTTCACGAGGGACCGAGCTGCTCAGCCTAAAAATGCTTTGTGGGGAAGCTTGGTCCCAGAGTGGGACCTGGGCATCTGGTGGATTGGCTGGACAACCCATCCCCTGGACAGTCTTTCCTGAAGGCCAGCCTCTCCAAATAGCAAGACTGCACTCATTCATTCAACCAGGAGCTATTCAGTGAGGCAGCCAGGCACTGCCTAGGCTCCATAGATTCTATAGTAAAACAGATGTGGACTCAGCTCTCATGTAGTTCAGGGTCCTACGGGAAGACAGACACTGAAGCATGAAGAGCTGGTGTGACGGGTGCTCCAAAGGAAAAGTGCAGGAGGCCTGGGAGGGCGCCACACTTGACCCTAATCCCAAAAGCATTCTAACAAAGTCCCCCACATTTGTTGTTCTGCTGATACAGATCCTCAAACTGCTTTAAGACCTATCAATATCCCTAAGTCCCTTAATTTCCTTTCCCTTTAACTTTTTTGAAGGCTTTTCTTCTTTCTGCACTGACAGTCAAATAACTGCAGAATAAACACACAATATCTCAGAATCAGCCTTTCTCAGGTTGTAAAATCAAATTCCACCAAACCCAAAACATCCTGAGGAAAACAGTACACCAGGGATTATGTCAGACCTTCCTGGTCCTAGCTGTTCACACCAGGAAAGTGCCCTGAATTCATAGGCTTGTGACTGTCTGAGGAACAGATCACAAAAATCTAGAGATCACTGGTGAAACAGAAGAATGATGACTTTTCTATCTCTTTACATCTACTCCAAATCCACATTTATGTGAAAGCTCATTTGTGGCAGAAAGATCTTTCAAATCTATCCATACAAGGCAAGAATTTATACACTGCAAATACCCTCGTTGAAAGTAGCAGAATTATTTACTCCGATCAAGTGTTCTTCTATTCCTTGTCTTTAAAATGATATAACAGTTTCTTATTATGAGTCAGAGGGTTAGACTAGGTGAGAGATTTGAGTCCCCTTTGAGTTGTAAAATCTATGGTTATAGAATTTTTTTTTTGAGATTGAGTCTCGCTATGTAGCCCAGGCTGGAGTGCAGTGGCTATTCACAATCACAATTATAGTTCTCTGCAGTCTTGAACTCCCAGGCTTAAGCAACCCTCCTGCCTCAGCCTCCCAAGTAGAATATTTTATAAAGTCCTTTACCAAGTTATGCTTCATCTGTAAGCATTAATTGGTACCAAGTCTGTATTTCCTGGGCAAACTCCTTAATACCAATATGCCTATGAAATAATGTATGTTTGTGAAATTTTTCCTTTTTTTTGCTACCTATAGATGTTTATTCTAAAAGAATAACCAGACAATATTTTTTAGAAGTCATTCATTAATTAAATTGAATAAAGAATGAGCCCTTGGCAATTTTTTCAACTAGCTTTGGCAGTTCTCTACATTATTAAAATGTGACTTTGATTACTTGAAGTGCAGAGTTGCATTGCAGCAGTTATTATCTTCAAAAAAGAGAAGACTTTATTTTCTCCTGGTTTATATATATTTTTTGCCCACAGTGACTTTGAAAGTTCCCATTCACCAGAATTCAGAGAATCTGCCTCATTTGAAAATAATGGGAAGAGTAATCTAAAGAATATTTAAGGTAGTGAAATTGACAAATCTGTATTAAACCTGTAAAGATGGAAGAGTACCCCTCAACCCCATGAGAGAAAAGAGCCTGTAAAGCAGTAAAAAGACACATTGGAATCTATTGTAGGGCAGGGATGAAAACTAATTAAGAGCAAGATATGACTATCCACAGAAGGTTCTTTTGGTTTGCTAAGATAAACTGAGGCGCTGGCTTAGGAATTGGAAAGAAACGAGAAACAGATAGTTAATACCCATAGGACGAGATGCTCAACTTCACTAGTAACAAGGGAAGTGCAAATTAAAACCACAATGAGATACCCTTTTACACCCACCAGACTGCCAAAAATTCAAAAGTCTGACGGTGACAAGCATGGATGAGGTTGTGGAACAGCCAGAACACTTACTTACCTGATGATGGGGGTGTAAGTGGGTACCACCCCCTTGCTCTAGGGGAGCGATTTATGTAGCCCATAGTGTGAGCCCCCTGGAGTTCCCTGGCAGCTTTGTGACTTGTGTGTGTAACAGGAGACAAATAGTAATGTTGATTGATACAAGTTATGTGTGTACCCTCCTGACACACAAATGCTAGAAATACCTCAAATAGACATAACATGTAGATTGGGAAGAGAAAGTGGTATATTTATATCATAAAATACTATACAGCATTGAATGTGAATGACTCACAGGTACAGGCAACATTGTGGATGAACTTCAGGAACATTGTATGAGGCAGAAAAGCAAGTCTTAGAAAATTCATACAGCATGAGCCCATTCATACACAGTTGAGAAATGTAAAACTAAACAAAACTAAATGTAAAATGAAACAATATGTTTCTTAGTTTAAAAGTTAAATGAAAATTAAGTTAAATTGGCTTGTCAGAAATGCTAAATTTGGAGGCTGTAGCCCAGAGGTACTGAAATAGAATCTGCATTTTAATAAGACCCCTAGGTGATTTTTTATTTTATTTTATTTTATTTTATTTTTTTCTGAGACAGAGTCTCACTCTGTTGTCTAGGCTGGATGGAGGACAGGGGCACCATCTTGGCTCACTGCAATCTCAACCTCCTGGGCTCAAACTATTCTCCCACCTCAGCCTCCCTAGTAGCTGGGACTACAGGTGCAAGCCACCACACCCAGCTAATTTTTGCACTTTTTGTAGAGATGGGGTTTCACCAGGTTGCCCAGGCTGGTCTCCAACTCCTGGCCTCAAGTGATCCACCCACTTTGGCCTCCCAAAGTGTTGGGATTACAGGTGTGATCCAGTGCGCCCGGCCCTAGGTGATTCTTATGCACACTAAAGTTGATCTTTGCCAAATAGGAAAAAAAAAAAAAGTAAAATCTATGTTAAAATTTAGGTTAAAAGTTAAGTTACCAGGAGGCTGAGGCAGGGGAATCGCTTGAACCGGGAGGCGGAGGTTGCAGTGAGCTGAGATTGCACCACTGCTCTCCAGCCTGAGGACAGAGCGAGACTCGGTCTCAAAAAAAAAAAAAAAAAAAAATTAAGTTACAATTAAATCCATCATGTTGTTAAAATCATGAAGAGCAAGGGAAAAATAAACATAAAATTCAGGATGTGAGTTAATGGGGGGCAGGGATGGAGGACAAGAAGGGGACTTCAAAGACGATGATGAAGTGCACCTTCACCAGAACCTGCATGTGGTGCATGGTGTTCATCATATCATGAGTCTGTGCAACATACATACCAATATTCTTTTGTATCTACTTAAGTTTAATACACACAATTTTTAAAAAGGGGTTAGAGTGAGGGTTGGCCAATGTGGGAAGGCTGTGTGGGGGAAATAGGATCTGAGGCTGGCCAGGAAGGGTGGGGAAGTTTGGTGTTTGCGGAGCAGACACCGGCTCTCTCTGGCCAGAGAAGCCCTTTGTACAAGGCTGCCCATCCCAGTCCATAACTCCATTAACCCCCCCAAAACTAGCCTAGTGCCAGGGAGAAAGAGTTCCCTAGGTAGGTGGGCCTGTTTGGAGGGTGTGGGCAGGTGCCCTGGCTGCTTCCTGAGTGGCCTCAGGCCCTGTACTGGAGGTCAGCTCAGTCAGTGTCACCCAGGCCTGGGGATATTTGCTTCTATTTAGCTCCCAGTAGGTTCCCAGTTTACTGTGGGAGTGTAGTTGCTTGACGCATACAAGCAGATGTTGAGCTAGAGCCTAGGCTGCCAAGGAGCTGGTTTAGTTCAGACCACTAATTGTATAGAGGTTAAGTGACTTGCCTGCTGGAGATAGGCAGAGCCAGGTTGGTGCGACTCCAGCATTTGGTTCCTTTCATCTGTTCCACGTTGTGCAGCCTACAGAGAGATTCAAGCTTGACGGAATTTCATGATTATAATTTACCCCAAAAAAGCTGTTTATAAAAAATGCATGTGATCATTTGTAAAAAATTTAGAAAATACAGATGATTAGAAACAAGAAAAAAAAATTGCGTATAATTCTTGCTTTTATTTTATTTTTAAACATTTAATTAATTAATTAATTATTATTATTATTTTGAGATAGAGTCTTGCTCTGTCATCCAGGCTGGAGTACAGTGGCACCATCTTGGCTCACTGCAACCTTGGCATCTCGGGTTCAAGCGATTCTCCTGCATCAGCCTCCCAAGTAGCTGGGATTATAGGCACCTGCCACCATGACCAGCTAATTTTTGTATTTTTAGTAGGGACAGGGTTTCGCCCTGTTGGCCGGGCTGGTCTTGATCTCCTGACCTGAAGTGATCCACCCGTCTCGGCCTCCCAAAGTGCTGGGATTACCGCATGAACCACCGCACCTCGCCTAATTCTTGTTTTAAAATACCCACTGTTAACATTTTAGTGTATTTCCTCCCAGTCTTTTTTCTATGCATTTAAGAAAATTACAATTAGATTAGGTGTTAAAGATGTGAATGATACCGCTTTCTCTCTTTATATATACTTTTCTCTGCTTTCTACTATTGTTTCGTACTTTCTGTCATTTGAATATGCCATATTAAATATGTTGAAATTATCTTTGCTAAGGAGTCAACATTAGCAAGAATAAAGTGGGAAATGTTCATTTATTCCTGAAGAGTTTAGCAAAGATCATATATTCGAGTCATTAATTCTTGCTTCTTAACTGCTTGAAAATCAACCCGCGTATAGGAGCCCTTCATCAGTCAACACTCTCATGGCACTTATTTCTGGTAGGGGCCGGGAAACAGATGGGAAAGACAACTTCCTAGGAGCTCTGGTCTTGGAGCGAGGGAGGTTCATGAAAATTATACCTATGTTCAATTGTGGCCAATAAAATAAAGAAAATCAAGTGTGAATGGTTTCCTTGATCAGGGCTTGCTTCTGAAGGGCAGAGCTGATAACGTCCTCACTTTGAGCAAAAGCCACAAAGTAGTTATCTTTCCTTACGCCTTTAGTTTTTGTTTAAAGGTTCATTACGAACTTTAGCAGTGAAAAAAAGTGTGGCAACTGGGTCATTCTGACCTAGAAGCAACCAAAATACTTCTGATTGCCGCAGCAGACAATGATGAATCATACCTAAACAAGTTTGCTGCCTTTTCATTTCTGTGGGTCGTAATCAGACTCATTGTTTTGTAGCCAGTGAGACATTTGCAGCAGCATGTTTGGGTCTGTGGGAGGAGGGAGGCTTGCAGATCTTCCCAGCGATGTGTGTGCTTGTCCCCACTAGCGCAGTGGAAACAGTGTTCTTGTTATCCAGGTTTAAGCCCTGTTAGGGATATGGCTTGTCCATTGTCATCGTGATGATACTGCTTAAAGATATCCTTTGTTGAGCACCTGCCATATGGCAGACGGTGTAAAAGGTGCTTTACGGTCCTGGTGTCATGGAAAGCCTTCCAACAACCTTATGATAGAGGTATTATTATCTTCATTTTGCCAAGAAAACTGAGGCTCTGGGAAGTTAAGTCAGTCACATAGCCAGTAGATACCAGGCACCCATAAATGTTTGTTGAGTGAATGAATAAATGAAGGAATGAATGGCAACTCCAAACTAATGGGAGAGAAATGCAAGAAGAGAGAGACTGATCAACATGAGACAAAAAACTTGGTGCTACAAGTTAAGAGGTTTTGCACATCCCAATTATTCATTTTTGCAATTTTTAAGCTCCACTTTCAAATAGAGACGGGGATTGGGATGGGATTTCAATGCAGGCGAATAACACAAGACAGATGGAGGAATATGTTTATGATCAGCAAAGAGATCACTCATCTTGAAAAAAACAGATAAATGGGAAAACACTGAAGTGCCAGCCACAGTACTAAATACTCTACTACATTATCTCATTTAATCCTCACAAAGTCAGCTTTGAAGTCAGCACTGTTATCTCTGTTTATGGCTGAGGAAACTGGAGCTCAGGGAGTGAGGGAGGCTGTCCAAGGTCACACAGCTCCGGTGGGTGAGGGGGCAGGGACTGGACCCAGGCACACCCAGCTCCACAGCGTCCCTGAGACTCTGTAAACAGAAGCCGGGAACAACAATTTCATTATTTATGCTTGAATTTAATTTTGTGTTTGATGGAGGAAAAAATGGATGATACACAGATTGCTACCAACAAAACCCAACAATTGGTTCTTTGAGATTCTAGCTTAGTGCAGGGAGAAAGGCAAGCCGGTGATGAACGTTTTGGGGTAGCCAGAAACAATGAACTAGGGGTGACTGGTGTGAAATTCAGTTGTGTGGACCATATTTTCTAAACTAGAATCTGCACACCATGCTCTCCCGCCATGTTCTCCCCTAGGAGAAAATTGTAGCTTGCAGGCAGAAATGTAAACACATAATCAATTCTACTATAACTTGATATATGTGTTCCTAAAAATTATTGCACCATGCAAGATTGGGCAATAAAAACCGCAGGGTTTATGACGAATACAGGCTTAGGGCAACAGCTCTCAAAAACTTCATCAATGACACATTTTTTAAAAAGATAAAAACCTAATAAAAAGGGCAGCACCGTTTTACACATGCTAAATGGTTAAGAGATACATAAATACTGCAGTAGAGATGGGATTTTACCTCAAAGTGCAAAGGTAAATGAAATAAAGTTTTTTCAATGGAAGGCTTGCAGCTCTTGAGGACCTGCCAAATGGAAGAAGGACAGAGACCTGGAGCCCTATGGAAAGTTCTGACACCATGTGTGGAAGGACATGGCTTTTAACACGTGTGGTGACTGGAGGTAGGTGGTAGGTGCTTGAGGCTGGTGTGTGTGCGCCTTTTGTATATTCTCAAGCAGCTGGGGTCAGTTGGGCACCATTTTTCTGAACTTACTTTTGTGTTTCTTGCAGAGGAAATCACCAGGCACACACAAAACCCACAAGGTATTCAAATTGTTCTGTAATATGTCAATCTGTCCGTACAAATTTGCAGTTTCAAAACAAGCGTTATAGCTGAACTGACTGTATGTGGGAACATCACTGCAACTCTTGCTGACCCTGTGTGCTGAAGTGGGGAGCGTGCGGCTTTCATACCCCCAGCCTTTCTGCACAGCTCTTCAGTTTACCTGGGGGCCCCTCAGCAGTAAAGCCAGATCAACAGGCTCACCCGTGAGAGCTCCTCTTGTGTGATTGTTGAGTGGCTCAGTGATTGGGTTGGTTGGGAAACAGAGTGTGGCCCTCAGTCTTCCTGAGGATGGTAATTAGAGGGGGATGTGTGCTTCTTCTTCACATATACCTGGTTGTTCTCTGATTGCTTTGGTGTCTTTTCTTCTGTTTCTTCTCCTGGATGTTGTTTTCATGTTTCCTTCCTTAAGTGCTACATGACCCTTGGATTTTCATGTGTGTTTAAGAGTGAGGCAGAGAAGGTTGACTGGGAGTGTTGTGTCCACAGGGGGCGCTGGTGTCTGGCAGGTGTCACTTTTGGGGTGCTCAGGACAGAATCAGCTGGCATTCTGGAGGCCTCTGAATGCCAGACTGTGCGTTAGCGGCTCTAGTTCTTGTTGGTTGATTCAATTTGTATCAGAAGAGCTTTCGGTATTTTTTGCCTGGGGTGAACGCCTGGCTCCTGGGAGATCTGCATGTGGCCCTGGGGTGGGAGGTAGAGGAGCTACCTGCTCTGTAGACAGGATTTCACAGAAGACCCCTGGTCCCAGCGCTGCTGTGCACTCCTCCCAACACTTGTCTGGCGTATCTGAGTCTCTGCATTTCCTCAGGGCCAGTTGGTCCCCCCAGGTATGCACCCTTCTCCTGTGTCAGCTCCACATTCCCTCTCTAGTCTGGCTTCTGGAAGTTTATGAAACCTGAACCTCTAGTTAGCTAATGGCATCCCTTCCATCTTTTCATCACTGTGGCTTAAAATACCTCACCCCACTTATTTATTTATTTATTTATTTATTTTTAATTCAGTATCTTTTGAAGGTCATCTCAGGAAGGGCCAGGTACCATGTTGAATTAGAAGTTAATTCTCATACCATAATCTAAATGTCTGTTTCCATTAAACAGCATTTTTACAAGGAAAGGACTTTACTCTTCGAGTTTCCAGTGCCTGGCACACAGGATGACACTTAAAAAATAATAATAAATAAATAATAGAGAAATAAGGTGTGTGTTGATTGAAATACATTGATTGAGTTCTTTGGTTACTTCTAGGTCTGAGAGTCTAGGATTCGGTGATTCAAGGGGAGAGGCTGAGGAAAGTCTTTAACTAGATGGGAAGGCTTGGGTCCTTGGGTTTTCACGAGTATAGAAAAAGGTTGCATTAGCCCCACTTACATGATTTGTTTTATCTTCCCCACTTCCTGACCGTGCCCACTAAATCTCTGAAATCTCTGGGCTGTCTACATTTTGCCTGGATATGGATGTCGGAATTGTTCATCTTCTTTCTTCTTGCTGCCCTGAACTCTTTTTTTTTTCCCTGTAAAATGCAAACACTACCTTGTAAATAAACTCTTATCAGATACCTTCTATTTCCTAGGCACTGTGATTGGCCAAGGGCGTACATCTGCATGTTCTCTGCTCTCCTGGGGATCCCAGGCAGCAGGGGAGAGAGGGAAGCACACAGATTAACCATGGTCCTGGGAGACCACCGCAAGCCTGGAGCATACACAGGAGTGGTGGGGACACAAAGAGAATGCCCAGCTCAGTTTCGGGAGGTCAGAACCACCACACAATTGAAGAGATGCTTGAACTGGGTCTTGAGGGATGAGGCAGCGGGAACACAGCATGTGCAGAGTCGGAGGTGTGACAGGATACGGAGGCACTGCTTGTGCCCCAGGCAGTCAGCAACCAGGCAGTGCCAGCAGCACCAACCCCGCATGATTTGTCCCAGTAAAGCTTTGTCTTCTCTAGTGATCTGGAAACCTCTCAGGGAAACATTTTGTAAAAGCCAAGCCATATTTATTTATTAATGGTGGTTATATAGTTTCTAGAGCATTTTGTTGGATAGGTAGAGACTTTTCTGCTTTTTGAAAGTTATCACTCCTAGCCATTGTGGCCAAAAAGAGAAAAATGCCAAAAAGTGCCAAACTGTGGCTATGATTGTCATGTTTAATGTGGAGAGGATTTGGCCAGGGGTAGAAGAGCATTATGTATAGAATAGAACAAAGAGATTTATGGCAAGAAGAGATACTGGCATTAAGCAAAGAATTGCAGATTTAAACTGAGAAGAGAGCCGCACAGCAGATGGAGTTAACACTGGAGGTGAGCTCTCTCCTCTTTAGGTACCTCATTGCTATTTTCACATCAAAAGCCTATTTTTGACAGTAATTAGAAAGCATAGTGGGTTCAAAGTCATTGCAATTCACACCTAATGAAGGCAAACTTTGCTAATTTTCTCCTCATAATAGTAAGTTACATCAATTTTAAAAGTTAGCAATTTACAGCACAGTTGAAAGAAGCATGTTTTAAAAAACCTTGAATTCTTAGAGGCAAGTACCATAGATATTTTCTTTTTTTTTATTTTTCTTTGAGATGGAGTTTCACTCTTGTCGCCCAGGCTGGAGTGCAGTGTTGGAATTGTGGCTCATTGCAACCTCCTCCTCCTGGGTTCAAGAGATTCTCCTGCCTCATCCTCCCAAGTAACTGAGATTACAGGCACCCGCCACCGCGCCTGGCTGATTTTTGCATTTTTTAGTAGACATGGGGTTTCACCATGTTGGCTAGGCTGGGATTGAACTCCTGACCACAGGTGATTTGCCTGCCTTGGCTTCCCAAAGTCCTGGGATAACAGTCGTGAGCCACCGCGCCGGCCGACATTTTCTTTCAGTCCCTTTTACACATTTAATTTATTTATTCACAGGTGGCAAGCTTCATATTGGTAAGAATTGTTACTATTATCCTGGCATGTATAATATTATATATGTGCCAGGTACCATGCTAAGCACCCTATACATACTAATTATTAAATCCACACAACTCTAAGAAGCAAGTACTTTTCTCCCATTTTTCAGTTGGGGAAACTGAGGCACATAAAGGTTAAGTAACTTGCTCAAGGTCTAATATCCAGTAAGTGAAGATTCAAACCCAAACCTGGCTCCAGAGCCCATCATCTTAAAAACTCTACTGCTTAAACTCTCTTCCCTTCTCTAAAAATATAATAAATAGTATATACTATTTTAACATGTTATAAGTTTATATATTATATAAAAATATAAAAATATTTTATATATTATATATTACATAAATATCATATATTAGATAAATATATGATATTTATATAATATATAATAATATATAAATTTTATATATTTATAAATAAAATATACTATTTTAACATAAAATACATACATGTATTTTAATATATATGATCTCATATATAAGAATTTAAAATTATCCGCAGGATCTACCTATCTTTCTATACAGTAAATGTATCTTGCTGAATGTTGTATCCTAAGTGTGTCTGCATCATTGACAAACTCTTCATGCACATAGCTTTTATGCATTTATTGCAGGCTGTGTTAAGTATGCATTTTTTGCTGGGTATTTTGTTAGTTTCCAGTTTCCCACCGTCACACACGGTGCCCTGAGTGGCAGAAGGCACGGGGCACTCCACGTACAGACCGCGTACAGTGTGCCTCCCCAACGAGTAAAGCCCTGGCACTAGGGATGCTTCAGAGCTGCAGATGCTCGCTCGGGCAGAACCTCCAGCGGGTGCCACCCCTGCCTGGCGATGAAGGTGCAGGGATGGGTGGGGTCTCCACTGCCCTTTCTAGGGAGGCACTGCCCAGCCTGGGAACGAAGAAGCCCACCACACAAGTTCTACCCTTTAGCGCCTGGCAATTTTGGGGACTGAGCCCAGGAACAGCTGGGAACTCTCCTCCCTGACTGGGGCACCAAGAGGAGTAATCCACCTCTTTAACCTTTTTTTACAAAAGATAAATGACCTTGAACCCTCTGGGTCATATTCAAGTCACTTTTGCAGGAAGTTAGTGATCCTAGCAAGAAGAGAAAAAGCAAAGTTAAAGGTATTTGCACAATTGGAGTGGGCTCTCATGATTTATTTTCTTTCCTTTTTGAATTAGGATTTGATCAGGAGTCCTGGATTCGTAAGAGTCAATTGCAACAGGGATGTAAAGAGAGCTCTGGACAGGAGCTTGTGTTTCTTTCTTTCTTTCTTTCTTTCTTTCTTTCTTTCTTTCTTTCTTTCTTTCTTTCTTTCTTTCTTTCTTTCTTTCTTTCCTTCCTCCCTCCCTCCCTCCCTTCCTCCCTCCCCCTCTCTCTCACTTTCCCTTCCTTCTTTCCTTCCTTTCTTCCTTCCTTCCTTCCCGTCTTCCTTCCTTCCTTCCCTTCTTTACTTCCTTCCTTCCTCCCTCCCTTCCTCCCTCCCTCCATCCCTTCCTTCCTTCCTCCCTCCGTCCCTCCCTTTTTCCCTCCCTCTCTTTCTTTTCCTTCCTTCCTTCCCCCTCCCCTCCCCTCGTGTCCCCTCCCCTCCCCTCGTGTCCCCTCCCCTCCTCTCCCCTCCCTTCCCCTCCTCTCCTCTCTTCTCCTCCTTTCTCCCTTCTCCTCCCTTCTCTTCTCTTCTCTTCTCTTCTCTTCTCTTCTCTTCTCTTCTCTTCTCTTATGATAGGGTCTCACTTTGTCATCCAGGCTGGAGTGCAGTGGTGCGATCACAGCTCACTGCACCCTCTGCCTCCTGGGCTCAAGCGATCCTCCCACCTGAACCTTCTAAGTAGCTGGGACTTCAGGTGTGCACCACCACAGCCAGTTAATTTTTATTTTTTGTAGAGATGTGGTCTCATTATGTTGCCCAGGCTGGTTTCCCACTCCTGGGCTCAAGCAATCCTCCCATCTCGGCCTCCCACAGTGCTGGGATTACAGGTGTGAACCATTGTGCCCAGCCAATAGCTGGTGTTTTCTTGAAGATTTCCTGGGCCTCTCCAGGGGGTTTTTGTTGTTGGGGCATGTTCCATGGTATTCACAGCAGAGTTGTTTGAAGGGGCACGTGCTCGCTTATGTGGCTTAGGTCCACGCTACCTGTAGTCCTTCGGAGGCAAGCCAGGCTGCCAGCTGACTGTCTTCCACCACAAAGCCTGTGTTCTTCTCCTGACCCTTTGTTCTTTGCACAGCGTACTGTGGCTCCAGTCCAAGTACACAAACTTCCATGTAGTTTAAAAAGAATCAGTTTAACTGTTGGTGGTTAGACAGATTGGTATGTACCTGTGTGGAGAGCACTGTGACCCAGCAAAACACTTCAGGGCTAAGAAGACACGAAACGGTGGCATTTGCCATCTGACCCGGCAGGCGCTGGGGCAGATGAAGCTCCAGTTGGAAGGGCTACTGCTGAATTTTTTTTTTTTTTTTTTTTTTGGTTGTTGTTGTAGCTCTGGGAGCAGATACTAGCTCTGAAACTTTTCCCCTGGCTGGCTTGGCTGCCTCTCCCTGCCGGGCAGGGGCCAGGAAGCCTGGGTGTCAGGCAGACCCGAGCCAGGCTCTGCACAGCAGGGCATTACGCGCCCCACGCATCCTCTTCCATCCCCAGGCACAGATCAAAGGCGCAGCCCAGGAGGCGGGAGCCCCTGCACACTTTCCACCTCTGCTGGGCTTAGCCTCTTGGCTGGTTGGTCTGTGGAGTGCCTGAAGTGACCAGCTTTTTGTAAGGTACGGTTTATTTGACTTTGCAAGCGAGCACCTGCTTTGGGGGTTGGAGAGGTTTGTGTTGACTTACGAAGACAGCTGTGGCCTGTGTTCAGCAGAATAATGGCAAAGCATTGGCCCTTCTAATAAGGTGCAGGGGAGCAGTAAACCGAGACAAGTCCACTTAATGAACGGGTGTCCTTATTTTTATTGTTTGAAATGATATCCAAAGGGATTGCAGATAATTAGTTTGTGTTCTTATGAATGATAGGCTAAGGAGATTCAAAACACTGCTTGGGCCCTGCCTGGTTGGTTCCAGAGAGAAGGTTTTCAGTGGTTTCTGCTTCCCTGGCTTTATTCTGAAGGTCCTTCTCTTCCATTCAGTTCTTACTGCAATCGGAGGGGACATAGCTGATGGCTCTGTAGTTCCATTTGAGAGCACTTAAAGATATTCTCCAAAGAAACACTCTCTGACATTCTGTGCACAGATGTAGAGCAGCTCGGGGCTGAGCTGTGGCTGTGGGCCAGGCAGTCTGAGTTGGAGAGACAAACAAATTAGACACCAGTCGCCTCTCAGCCCAGCTTTTCTCCCTTCAGTAACACCTGTGGAGTTTATGAGTTCCTCTAGGGAAAATCGGAGAAATCTACATGAGAATGATGTCTTGTTTCCTGCTGGGAGGACCGTCAAAGAGTTTATAGGAGACCATCCTGCAGTCTCAATGCGTTTATTGCCGTGTCATATATTGGGGGCTGACTATTGCCACATTACTGGAGCACCCCATTCCCATCCTTCCTCAGCTGTTGAAAGTGAGACAGGTTGAGGACGCAGTCCGGAGAGTGTTGCTTTTTTCAAGTCTTGTTTTCTCAAACTTTGGACTCACCAGAAGTAAGTCACCATGCTTCTGTGTTGGCTGGGGAATTCTTCCAGTTAGAATTTAGTTGTAGGGAAGTTAGAAGAGGAGGGAGCATGGGTCAGTGATGTCTGGAATTTGGGGTGTTCTAGTGAGATTTGGGGTGGGGTCATGTCCCTGTGGCTGGCCAGGGTAGTGGCCCTGAAGGGCCAGGTTGGCAGGGCTTCTAGGAGAAGGCCATCTCCCAGAAGGAGATGGAACCCCAGGTGGGAGGGTATGTGGTGTGTTTTGGATGTGATTCAGAATGGAGGCAGTGAGGCAGAAAGGGAAGGGAAAGGGAGGCCGGGCAGGAAGCCAGGGTTGGGGTTTTGCTCTTATAGACTTGACTCCAGACCATGGCCCTTCCTTCTCTGCCATGGATCCTTCTGGAGGAGAGGGTATCACACCGCTTGAGGCTCTGTGCACAGGCGGGTTCTGTGGGCATCCGCGAGTGAGTGGATGGCAAGTGAGAGGGGGGCCATGGGGATCGGAACACTTGGCATCGTGACCTCTCAGCTCTCTCTTCAGACCCCCATGCACTACTCTTCTCTATGACAGTGAGACCACCACTGCCTCCGACTCTTTCCAAAGCCCGAGGTCAGCTAGGCTCCTCGTGCTACTCACCCTGCACAGAGGCAGTCTTTAGTCCTCTTTGAGTCTTGGTCTATTGCAGTATCCTCCTAGAAGCCTTCCTTAGGAAGCCGCAGGAATCTCAAACACAGCCTCATCAGCCCTGCCTAACTCCTTTGGTGGCTTGACGTGGTTAATTTCAAACACCTTAGCAGGGCTTAGGCTGAACGGGCCCCTCGTTGCCCTCCTACCCCCTGTCCCTGCATACACCTCATGCTGGAAGGACCTGTGTTGCCCAGGCACACAATAGGTGTCTCGCCCTTGGGTCAAGCCGATGCCTTGTATACGTTCTGCCTGGAAAGCCCCTTCTTTTCAGACAGCAAACCTGTACTCAACTTTGATGACTGAGCCTTCCATGAGGCCCGCCAAGACTGACCTGATAGAATTTTCCATTCCCTTCTCTGTTTCCCTCCAGGCCTTCTTGCCCCCATCTCTTCTATTTTGCATTACACTGCTGACCTGCACTTCCTGTGTCTCGGTGAGGTTCTTCAGGGCAGGAACTGTGTCTAGTTCAGTTTCACCCTTAGCAACAAGTGGTAATGAAATATTTCTGCCAAGGATCCAATTCAGATTATGTAAGCATTTACCTTTGTTTAAGGCAAAATCCTGATTCTGGAAGAGGAAAGTTCTTTGCTTCTCACAGGGCAGGCATAGAACAGGCCAGAAGCTGTCCATGTGTGGCTTGGGAGAGACCTGGCTATCTGTACTTGAGCCCTGAGACCCCGAAGGCCCCCGGCTGCATCTGCTCTTGGAGCTTGGGGTGGCCTGGGTGGTGGTCGAGTAGGATCTGCAGCGTGGGATCATCGGCAGAGTCAATGCCATTCCCTTGCAGATCCACTCTCCCGTAAGAAACTGTTCTGGGCTCTGAGAGGAACGAGGGGAAGAGGGGAGATGGGTGAGCTTCCTTGCTGCATTTAGCAACTCAGTCCCTGGGGGAGGTGTAGACACTGACACACTCCCTGTGGCCCCAGGGAGAACAAACCCAGAGCCCAGTGAGGGTGCAGTATGAGCAAAGTGCTGGGGCGGGGGGAGGGCAGAAGAGGGAGCAGTTGATTTTGGCTTAAGAGTAAACTGAAGAGAGAACAGACACGGGGCGGCTGAGCAGCAGTGTGTTCATGGAGAAAGAATCAAAGCGCACATCTTGTACTTTGATGCCCATAGGAAGGGCTCTCCTCTGGCCCCTCTGGCTTTGTTTGGAGCAGAAAACAACAAAGTGAGTTCAGGTAATACCTGGGGCAGTGGGAATTAGCTAATTAGTTTTCTGGAATTCTAACAGCGGTGGCATCCCAGGGGCCTAAATTAAAGCCGCAGATGTGTTTATTTGGTACACCTGGGGCTTTAAATGCTAATCCAAATGCTTTCAGACAGGACCTCAGTCTATTTCTTGACAATCCTCTCTGTAACCTTAAGCATGTGGTCTTCCTTTTCCTCGTCTACTGTCTCTTTTTAGGGGTTGTTTTCTGGGGACCTGCAGTGTTCCGGGCACCATGGGAAGTAAAGAGGTGACTGGAATAGTCCCTGCTGTCAAAGCCCTTCAAGTTTAGTTGGGAAGCTGGCAGAAGGGGGGATAAGAGACTAAATGATATATTATCTGCTCAGAGAGGCACGTTTCAATAGGTGTACTCCTAAGGAAGCCAGAAGTTTAATTAATTCCATTGGATAAACTACTCTGTGATAGTGAATAAAATTAAGGCAAGCTTAAGACTTAAAATTAAGTCTTTAGTTAACATCTAGAAATTAGAATTATGGGCAGTTAATTCCAATTTTAGAGAGGAAACTGGAACTTATTAACATCTATTTTATGCCAACTGCCCTGCATGTTAATTTAGTCCTCACTACAGCCGTGTAAGGTGGTTCTTAGTATCTCCATTTTATAAAAGAGGAAATGGAGGTTCAGAGAAGTTAGGTAACTTGCCCAAGGTCACACAGCTTGAAAGCAGCATAACCATGAATCAAGCCCCTGGTGGTCTTATTGAAAAGTGAATGCTTTTACCACTATAGCAGACAGATTATGAACACTTTGCAAAGCCCAAGTTTGAGAATTTTTTTGACATTGGTGAAGTTCAATGATAATGAGTTTATTATCTCATAACTTGAAGAGACCTGTAAGACCTTCTCTATGAGTCCTGCTGGTTTTGATCTAGCTGGATGTTGCAACTGGGAACCCCAGAGCGC